>NC_000002.12:206883557-207186587 GCF_000001405.40 Homo sapiens | reverse complement strand
ATCCAAGTTCAGGAAAAAACGAGAACCTTATTTAAGGTAGTGGCAAGAAATGAATGGATTAACTGGACATTTAAAAAGTATTTGATAGAACTTGGTGATAGGAGGTGGGGCAGTTAGGGACTAGCAGGAATTTAGGATGAGAGGCTCATTCAGTTGGGCTTATGTTTTACTGAGGTCAATTCCAAAAGGAAGGAAAGAAAAATCCAGCCAAATAACCTTTAATGGACTAAGTCTTCTTTCATAAGTCAGTTTGCACAACTTCTTCACAGGAATCAGATTTTAAATATCATAACTGAAGAGAAAAAAAACAGCAAGAGGAGTTTACCTTTATGGTGGAATGACACTAATCTTTCATGCTTTCAAATTTCTTGAAATTTCCTTCGTATGCATTATCTTATTTGCTGTTCACAGTAAAACTGTGTATTGGCTAAGCCAGTTTTTATGAAAATATAAGCAGTGAGAAAAAGTAAGATAGTATGTCAGTTAGTAGATTTTTTTATGGACATTGTGACAGAGGACACAACTTAAACTGGCTTTTTTTTTTTTTTTTTTTTTTTTGAGACAGAGTTTTGCTCTTGTTGCCCAGGCTGGAGTGCAATGGCACGATCTCGGCTCACTGCAACCTCCGCCCCCTGGGTTCAAGTGATTCTCCTGCCTCAGCCTCCCGAGTAGCTGGAAACACAGGTGCCTGCCACCGCGTCCGGCTAATTTTTTGTATTTTTAGTAGAGATGGAGTTTCACCATGTTGGCCAGGCTAGTCTCAAACTCCTGACCTCAGGTGATCCACCTGCCTCAGCCTCCCAAACTGCTGGGATTACAGGTGTGAGCCACCGCACCTGGCAAAAGGGTTTTGTTTCTAAAGGTACAAGAACAGGTACAGCTTCGGGTCAGTGTGATTCAGCCCTCAACAAAGCCACCAGGATCCATTTCTTGGCTCTGCTTCATTGCTTCTCATAGGCTGGCTCATTCTCAGACTGTACGTGATATGGTTCAGTGGCTTTAGGCTCCAAGCATGACAACACCCAACACTCAGATTGATGGAGCTAGAGCAAGTCTCTTCAGGCAGCGTCTAGGAAAGTTCTGAAATTCACTCTGATTGGCTGCCCATCTCTGAATCAACCACGTAACCCAAGGAAATAGGAACTGCTGATGGGTCAGGGTCGGTTCACATGCTTCATACCTGGAGCTGAGAAGACATCAACTCCATCCTGGAGCTCATGGGCTGTGACTAGAGCAGACGGAGTTCTCAGAGGAAAGTCAGAGTACAGTTATCAAAGCAAGCAGTTACAGATGCTAGATGACCAAAATCCAATAACTGCCCAGTAAAAATATTATACTAAAATCTAGGAACATGTGGCTGATGGACAGTCATTACCAGGAAAAAAAAGTTGTTAGGTCTAAATGTAAAAATTGAGGCAAAGAAAGTGCCCGAGCTAGAATTAGAACCCTGACTACCTGAATATTAGATCGGTTAGTGCCACTTCTACCCTACCGCTGCTGAGGGGGGAGGTGAACAGTCTCTCAGGTTGCAGACAGTGGATGGTTTCCCTCCCTCTATCTTCTCATTTCATGGTGGAGCTGAATCATCCTATGTTCTACATGCTGACAGTGGAAGGTTATGACCATACCCATATCCTGTTGTCTCTGAGTCTCCTGTGGTGCAGAGATCCCTGAGACTTGTAGAACAGAACCTGAGTGGAAAGTGGGAGGGGGATTGGGGGTGGTTCCCACGAATCAAGCAGCAACCTGGAGACAAGGAACACCTGCAACCTCAGCAGTGGATCAGAACGGCTGACTGAGCAATGGACATACTGTGCATCTTTCATTAGTGCTGAGACCAACTTCTAGCTTGGAGTCCCATGAAAGGGAAACTTAGCCCTAACACCACAACAAGGAGCACAGTGTCAAGTGGGGACATTGCAGCAGAGTTGCCGCAAAGACTCTGAAGTGCTATGGGAAGGGATATTTCCTAGGAGGGGTTAAAGGGATTCTCCTTAAGAAGGGGGCTGGGGGAATCTGAGTAAGAGGTGGGGGAAAGCAGCCAAAGCATGATACTTAGTCATAGCATCACAAGAATTTGACTCAGAGTTCCTACAAGGTTGTCCTAAAATGCCCTGGTTCAGGTGGGTCAGCTTTGAAAGCACCCAAATTACCCCGTTTTCTGTACTATGTTTAAAGGCAATTTGAAAGAAAGACCCCTAATTTGGAAACATGTGCTAAGGCTAAATCACTTTTTCAACTGAAAATTCTTTTTTATGTATTGTTACACTCCATTTTCTGTCTTGTGTTTTTTGTTGTTGTTGTTATTTGTTTCTTTTTTCTTTTTCTTTCTTTTTTTTTTTTTTTTGAGACAGAGTCTCGCTCTGTCCCCAGGCTAGAGTGTAGTGGCGCGATCTAGGCTCACTGCCACCTCTGCCTCCCAGGTTCAAGCAATTCTCTTGCCTCAGCCTCCTGAGTAGCTGGGATTATAGGCGCCCACCACCACACCCAGCGACTTTTTGTATTTTTAGTAGAGATGGGGTTTCGTCATGTTGGCCAGGCTGCTCTTGAACTCCTGACCTCAGGTGATCTGCCTCCCTCGGCCTCCCAAAGTGCTGGGATTACAGGCGTGAGCCACCGCACCCCAGCCCATTTCCTGAATTTCAGGGGGAGTGAATTAATTCTAATATAGAGAGTGGGTAAAAGGACCAATTTTTTCATTACTATTTGACTTCATATCATCTTGCTTTGCAATGCCCTGGTTTTTACATCTATAAATCAGAAATGATAAGCAACCTGCTTTATAGGAATGCAATGAAGATAAGGAGATACAATATAAAAATATACATTGAGTCAGAAAGACAGATAACACTATTTAAACCAGTGTATTCTTATAATCCTCATTATTACTAAGAATGATGTTAACAGTTATGATAAAAAGTCAACATGCAGAAAGAAGAGAATAAAGTAATTTCTAGTTTGGGCCAAGATGTACTCTGTAGACATGAATTTTTAAAAGATGAGTGGTTAACACTTAGCATTTGATTCTGTGCTTGTTATAAGTGAGCAACTGAGAATTTCTATCTTTTGGAGAGAGAGAGAGAGAGAGAGAGAGAGTGTGTGTGTGTGTGTGTGTGTGTGTGTGTGTGTGTGTGTTATACAGGGAACAAGCATTATTTTGCATTTGAGGTCAAAACTGGAGAAATCAGGGAGACGTCAAGTTTTGTTCATTAACTTTCATACCTTTCTAACAACAGCCCCCAGATTAAACCAATCTTCTACTGTCAAATTTGGGGACATTTTCTTTAGTGGATGGTCATAAATCTTGAGGGGAATATTGCTCACTTCTTTTAAGAATTAATGGTGATTCCTAGGTGGGAGTATGGAGTCATGTATCATACCCTGAAGCATTATGTTTTTCCCAGCAGAGATGCTCAATAGAAGTCTGGAAGCTTTTGCGGCTGCCAGCAATTTCATGGTTACTGTCCGAAGCAGAAAGGGCACATCATCAAATTCTTCCTTCTAATGCAATTTTGCCTTCCTGGAATTTGTACTATTTTTCTTACATGGATAGGGAATTTTTTTTGAGAGTGCACAGTCATGTTAAAGTAAATACCCTGGAGAAATACTTTCAATTAAAATTCAGAAGTTTTAAAATCCAGGCTAGAAAGGATTTCCCTGACCTACAAAACCTAATAAGATATTTTTTCTTTCCATTTTCTCCCTCCTCATTCCCCTAAGTGTGTGGAGCTGTCCTGCTTTCTTACCTGGTGGCCCCATTTAGCTTTGCCTTCTAGACATTTAAGTCAGAAAATGGCTTTAAAGAATGTTTTGAGAAAACTTGACATACTGATCTACTCTCAACTCAATGATTTTCTTTTTTTTGAGTGGAAAAGAGAAAGAAACCACAGAAGCAAAGCAATAATAAAATCTTTTAGTCAAGTAAGAAAAATTTGACCAGGAGATACAGAGATAGTATTTGTGGTGATTGAGGCAGTTAATACCAGAAAAGTTTAGAAAGCAGAGATTTTGAGGCCCGAAGGGAGGGGAGTCAAACAGGCAGCAAGTCGACGTGGAGCAAGATAGTCTTATGTTGGAGAGTGGCCCTCTCCTCTGTGGGGCCTGGGCCTGGCATTTCATCTCTCGGTTGGGCTATGAATGCCTAGGTTGCAGAATTTCTTAGTGAGTTTTGCACATTATATATGCAACACACCTATGCAATATGAGTACAGTGCCTCAAACCTAGGTACTCAGTTATTTAGAGTTACCATTGTAAAATATTAAATGCCTGGGTATGAAAGAATGAAAATCTCTTCCTCTCTCAATGTGTTCTCGGGATTATGGCTTTAAAAAATAGCTGTTCAACTAAAACTAATTAAAACTTCCAGGTTAGAACCTAGAAGCAGACATACAACGACTAAAATGAGTGCAAGAGGATAATGGTGTCCATTAGAGATTATTCTTACTCAGAGGCAGGGCTAGGACTAGGGAGAGGCAAGAGAAGCATCCAGGGTGAACACTTAAGAGGCACCCAGCTTCAGGGCCTGCAGGCACTAAGCCTGAGCTTGCACAACACTGAGAGTGCGACTCCATGCCCTACCCTAGGCCCTGTCCTGTTCAAAGGACATCCTACCTGGCTCATTGGCAGGATATCTTGCCCCGTCCCCAATGGTTTCTTTCACACTCGCAATACCTGGAGACAAAACAGCCACCATTGTCAGACTTCTTTGACTTTCCAAACAAACTCCAGAAAGATCATTACAGGACCCAGCATGAGAAGGGAAACCGAGGTGCATTGAAAGCAATAAAATTTAACCGCAGAGATGATTTCATGTTCAATCATCAAAATACACAGAGGGACTTGCTAAAATGTCCACCGTTGAGGGTAACAACCCATGACCTTATTCTTTCTCACACCAGCCTTAGTATATATAAATGCTAAGAATAGCAAACAGGATCTTTTTTATTGGCTTTTCAAGAACAACATTGGGGCCTGGAAGACACCAGTCACCTTCAAAAACAAGCAACAATAGGAAGCTTGAAGCTGTTGGTGCACAGCTTTCAACATACACACTTTTTAAAAAATAATTTCAACTTAAAAATTTTAGATTTAGGAGGTACATGTGTGGGTTTGTTACATGGGTATATTGCATGATGCTGAGGTTTGCGGTACGATTGATCCCATCACCCAGGTACTGAGCATAGTTGCCAATTGGTGGTTGTTTTTAACCCTTGTTCCACTCCCTTCCTCTCCATTCGAGTAGTCCCTACTGACTATTGTTGCCCTCTTTAGTCTATGAGCAGCCAATGTTTAGCTCCCCCTTATAAGTGAGAACATGTGGTATTTGGTTTTCTGTTCCTGCATTAACTTGCTTAGGATAGTGGCCTCCAGCAGCATCTATGTTGTTGTAAAAGACATGATTGCATTCTTTTTATGGCTGTATAGTATTTCACAGTGAACATATTTTTCTTAGACATTGTTTTCAAAACATTTCATTGCTTGATTTGCTCAACCCCATTCTCCATCTAAATCATTTGTAAACATAGCCTGATAATTACTTTGGATTAATTGGTATTATTTGATAAAATCATACAAAGCTAGATTTTTGAGAATGGTAATATGTTAGGAATGTGTTTGGCTATGAGTAACAGAAAACCCAACTACATGACTTTTAGCATAGGGGTTTATTTTTCTTATGTAACAAGATATCCAGACTCAGGCAGTTTCTGGTATAGGTTCAGTTCCTTAGTTCTCTGGGTCATTCTCTCATAATAATGACATGGCTGGGTAGCTCCAACTACTGAGGCAGTATATAAGGCAGAGAGAAGGAGGGGCAGTGGAAGGAAGGCACACCATGGTTGTCCCCTTTTACAAAGAAAGCAAAAGCTTCCCCAGCAACCCATACCAGCCCCCCTCATTATGGGTTGAGTGTTGTCCTCTCCAAAGCCAGATATGTTTTTCCCAACCTCCAGTACCTCTGAATCAGCATAGTTTTTGTTCTTTGTGAATCTGAACTTACTTGGAGATAGGTCTTTACAGAGGTAATCAAATTAAAAGGGTGACGGTCATTGGGGTGGACCCTAACCCAATATAAAAAAGGGAAATGTGGACACAGAGACATGCATACTAGGAGAGAACCATGTGAATGAGAAGCATGCATCTACAAGCCAGGGAGAGAGGCCTGGAGTAGATCCTTCCCTCAGAGCCAAGCTTACAAACATCTTGATTTCAGACTTCTAGCCTCCAGAACTATGGGACAATACATTGCCTTTCCAGAAGCCACCCAGGTTTTGGTACTTTGCAATGGCAGCCCCAGAAAACTAATGCATACCAGAAGACTTGTTTTCATACATTATTAGCCAGAACTGTGCCCCTGGCTTCCCTGACTACAAGGGAGGCCAGGCAAGTATATATTTAACTGAACATATTTCAATCAGAGCATTAGGATTCTGGTAGCAAAGAAAAAAAGTGGGGGAAGGGCGTAAATAATCAAGAGCATTTTCCACCAGGGAGAAAACGCTTGCACTTAATGAGTGGCCACAGGATGGGTAGCTCTCCCTCCAACACTAATCAGATTTGAAGTAACAGCATGTTGGGGATAAAGTTAGGCAGTAGAAAGAGTGCAAGGGGTTTGGGGACTAGCACTCACTTTGCCGCAACTTCCTACGTGGTTTCACACAAGTTGCTTTAACCTCCAAGCCTCAGCTTTTTTAATCTGATAAATGGGATTAATAATCTATGCTCTTAGCATTTTAATAGAGCTTTTTTTTTTTTTTTTTTTTTTTTTTCCAGACGGAGTCTCACTCTGTCACCAGGCTGGAGTGCAGTGGCACGATCTCGGCTCACTGCAACCTCCACCTCCTGGATTCAAGCAGTTCTCCTGCCTCAGCCTCCCGAGTAGCTGAGACTACAGGCACGCATCACCATACCCAGCTAATTTTTGTATTTTTAGTAGAGACGGGGTTTCATCATGTTAGCCACGACAGTCTCGATCTCTTGACCTCGTAATCCACCTGCCTTGGCCTCTCAAAGTGCTGGGATTACAGATGTGAGCCACCGTGCCCGGCCAATTTTTATTATTTTTGGTTTTTTTTTTTTTTTTTTTTTTTTTTTTTGAGATGGAGTCTCACTCTGTTGCCCAGGCTGGAGTGCAGTGGCACAGTCTTGGCTCACTGCAACCTCCGCCTCCCAGGTTCAAGTGATTCTCCTGCCTCAGCCTCATGAGTAGCTGGGACTATATGTGCCTGCCACCACGCCCAGCTAATTTTTGTATTTTTAGTAGAGATGGGGTTTCACCATATTGGCCAGGCTGGTCTCAAACTCCTGACGTTGTGATCCTCCCACCTTGGCTTCCAAAAGTGCTGGGATTACAGGAGGGCAGTTTTTAAAAGGGTTTATCATTCTAGTGTTGTCTATCTACACTGCCCTCTGAGATCTGATGGGGTAAAGCAAAGGATACCAACTAAGCTTGCAGGCTTTGGAGTCACCTCACCTGTTCCTATCACTTAGATGTTGTGTGGTCCAGGATCAGTTACTTAACATCTCTGTGCCACAGTTTTCTTATATGTGTATAATAGGTATATGATTAGTAGCTAAATGAGACAGTTGTGAGCATGAAATAATATATGTAAAGCATTCAGAACAGTGCCTGGCACATAGCAAACTTTATATATGTTAGCTGTTATTATCAGGCCTATCCAATTTATAAGTGATATGGAATCGAGAAGGATAGCAAATGTTTTAGACCATAAAATCAAGAATCTAAAAAAGATTTTGACAGAAAGGAAATGAGCCAAATATAAAAAGATGAAGTTTAATAAGTACACATAAAGGTCCTGTCTTGGGGTAAAATAGCAAGAATGAGGGAGGCCTATAGGTTTTTAGTTTATTATAAATTTAATATAAGTTAACCATGAGATGCACTTACAAAACAAAATTAGATTTAGGTTGCCTTGATAGAAACACAGTATTGGAAACAAAGGAAAATAGAACCCAACTCTGTCTCTGCACTGGTTGGACCACACTTGAAATAATAGATTTCCTTCTAGTATTCCTCACAGCAGCCCCTGAAAATTGATAATTGCCTTCACGTTCTTTAAGGGCTGGTATATGAAAAAGAAAAGAGATGTATTTTGGGGATGCTACAGAAGACAGAACATCCCCAATATGAATAAAGTAGAGGTCTGCTGGACTACAGCTCAGTCTTAGATGACTATGAGCCACCTGGAAATGGAATGGCCTCCTTCAGGTGGGTTGCATGGGGGCCCCTGCTCACCTAAATGCTTAAGCCATAGCTGGTGGGATAATTCGTGGTGAAGGATGTTGCCAAGCAGACCAACAAGTAGGCATCCCTACTGCTTTGAGGAAGGGGTAGGTACTCCCACAGAAGTCACATGTTGGTTGCCCATTGGCCAAATTTGGTCTGCTATTGTGTAGTTTTTGTTCTATGTGAAATATTTTTTTTTTCTTGTATATCTGGATTCCTTGTCAAAATTTAAAAATCAGGAGATTTCACACAAAAAAAATTCTTTTTCTTTTTTTTTGCTTTCTTTGAAAGATAAGATGATCTAGCAGCACATGGTGGATCTGTATTGTCACAGATGGCTGGAGTTGAGCAGTAGCCATCACCTTTAAATGGAATGTGCGTCCTCCAATTATCCAACATCCTCACCTGGCCCACCTTACTCATTGAGGTTACCTGTCTGGTCCATAAGCATTTGAGTTTGTGATTCACATGCCGGTCTCTAGGGGCTTCCCTTACCCTGAGGGTCTAGACATTTCCTTAGTTTTGTCCTGCAAACATTAGGAGAAATTAGTTAAATCTGTGGAAGTGTGGGTAAAATTCAGATACATGTAGAGACTGGGGATGTGTTACAGAATAACTGCAAGTTTTAGAAAACACTGACATAGCAAATGTTTAAAGCTAAGTCTACATTAAGGAGCAAAAAACATTAAAAAATTTTATTTGAATTTTGGTTGCAATCTACATGTTCTAAATATATATGGTTCTTGCTGATATCTCCCTAATCTTTGAACCCGTTCCATTCTTCATAAGTCATCATGGATCCTTGCATTGTATTTATTGATGGATGGATGGACAAATGGATAGAAATCATGCAGGAAGGATGGAGAACATAGAGAAAAATGTAACCAAATGAGTACTATTGTTTCTTTCTGTGACATATGATCATGTAATAAGTGTGTATTAAGTATTCTGTGTCAAGCATGGTGCCAGGTTTTAGGGGATGCAAAAAAGGAGTAAAAAACACAGACATGTTCTGAGGACCTTGTTACTTTTGCCCTTATTGTTAGTTTCAGCTTAAAAGTTAGGACTCTAAAATTTGAAATCCAGGCTCATTGGGTTCAAATCCAGGCTGTACTCCTTCTGTGCTCTGTAATTTTGAGCAATTTACTTAACCGCTTAATAAAATAAGGATGATGCCAATAATATCTATTTCCTGATGTTGTTTGGAGGATTAAATGAGAGAATCATGTAAGAGCATTTAGTACAGCACTCAGCACTTAGTGAGCATTCAATAAATTATTCTAAACTAGCTTCCTTCAATACCTGCAGAAGGAACATCAAAATGAGAAAAGAAGGTTCATTTGTGTGGACACACAGACACACACACACACACACACACACCCTCACTCAAAACTGGTCTTACTTTCACACTTCTTTTCCCTTTCCTCCTTCTCCCCTTTATCTGCTGCCTCCTCCACCTCTTTTCTCTATGACTTCAAAGTTAATTTTTTTAACAATTTATCATCAACTTTTTAAACATATAGCAATGTTGAAAATTTTTTCCAGTAAATAACCATAAATAGGTGAGATTCTGTGCTCTAGGGGCATTGATTCACACTAAGCAAAGTTACAAGGAGCTAGAATAACAATGTATATCTACTATATTTCTTTCTCCCTTATCCTCTGGTATTTGACTTCTGTCTTTTATTTAATACTTTTTTTTTGTATTGTAGTTCCTGTATTTTATTGTATTTGTTCATACTTCCTCTCTGGAATAAAAGAAATAAGAAACAAGTATGTAAATAAATAAAAATAGATACTATGTGTTTACAAAGGGAAATCTCATATAAGTCAGTTCATTCAAAAGAGGAAATCACAGATCAGAAGGTTGCTATGGTAAAGACAAATCAAAAAGGGGAAATTCTAGGTTGTCAAATACTTAGTAAAGCTACTAAAGTAGATCTGTTTCCATTCTAAATTATCTTTAAAGGTCACTTAGGACAACAGTTACCCCAGGGCAGTGTGGAAGAAAGTTATATTTAACCAGTCCTTACTCTTTAGCTTTCCTTTGGCTAATGCTGTTACTAGTTCACAAAAAGGCCTGTTATTATATCACCTTTTGAAATGTTACAATATTCAAGATTATAGTTTCCCTTAAAATGTGATAAATGTAACAGTAACTGTTTCTTAATAGATTGAGAAGTGCCTTAAATTCTGAAAAATATATTACTCTAAATCCCTCTGTAAAGTGGGTTCTTTGAGAACATCTCATATTCTTTGGGTAGATTTTGGTAATTTTAATTATGAAAATTTTTCTACGTGCGTTAGAACTTCTATATTCTTTCAAGCACATTTGATATCATTTGAGCTAATATCATCTGCTCCTGTTTAGGCCAAGCTGACAGAATCCAGCACGAACAATATGGTGTCCAAACAATACTATAGAAAGCAATATTATTTTAAAATTTTATTAAAGATATTTTGTATGTTCTTTAATAAATTGTTTTTTAAAATAATAGTTTTGAACATGTAGAAAGGACAAAACAAAAGAGGATTGCTTTAACATGAATATTCCTCAAAGATTGAAAATTGATATCACAGAAAAGGAAAGGATTGGGGCTTATATGTGGCACAACGAGAGCTGGGTGGAATTTCCCATTTGGACAAATTGGGTAAGAGGAGTAAGCCTCTCTGAGTTATGCTACCTTTTGGTCTTCATCAAATGAGATTGCACTGGCTTCCCAAATAATGACCAAAGGGAGGCAGAGCAGCTAAGGGCATACCTTCCACGATGCCCAGTTTGGGAGAAGCCAAAATGAAATGACACAGTATAAAGCATGACCACATTTGCTTCAAACAATCTTTGAGCATTGCAAAGCGGGAGGAGAAGAGAGTTAGGGGAATTGTGAAGCATTCTGAGAGGGGCATTGAAGCATTATTTCTCCCATTTAGATGGCACAAATGGAGGAATTTTTTTTTTTTTTTTTTTTTTTTTTTTTTTGAGGCGGAGTCTCGCTCTGTCGCCCAGGCTGGAGTACACTGGTGCGATCTCGGCTCACTGCAAGCTCCGCCTCCCGGGTTCATGCCATTCTCCTGCCTCAGCCTCCGGAGTAGCTGGGACTACAGGCGCCCGCCACCACGCCCGGCTACTTTTTTTGCATTTTTTAGTAGAGACGGGGTTTCACCGTGTCAGCCAGGATGGTCTCGATCTCCTGATCTCGTGATCTGCCTGCCTCGGCCTCCCAAAGTGCTGGGACTACAGGCGTGAGCCACCGCGGCCGGCCCAAATGGAGGATTTTAAAGCATGTGATAACTTACTCCTGAGAAGAGCAGGGACCAGCATTAAAAACTATGACTCAGCTGAGTTTTCAAAGCACTCAAGTAAGCATCCTTCTGGTAAAGGAAATTTAGTCAGATTCAAATGAGAGACTAGTCAGAAAAAAAGCAAAACAAAACAAAACCTGCTTCTGACATTATTAATTTTCCAAACTATCTAGATCTATCATATACATAAAAACTCATCATTGAGCACTTGTGGAATAGGTATCTCTCACTTAAAGGAATGGTCATTGTCAGCAAAGTTTGCAGTACAGAGACTTTCCATCAAATCAATCTTATTCTCCCATTGATTTCCATTACAAAATCCAAGATGCATTCTGCTGTTAAATCCCATTAACTGCATACCAAGCCCTTTGGAAATGGCACTTTTAAAAGAAAAATGATAATATTCTGATAAAACATTGAGAGTGATATTTAACATATTAATAATTACACTGTTGTATTCAACATGTCACAACAAAAAATGCTTAGGTTGAAACACAACACTCTTACAAATTGTGCCTCACATGCCACAAAAGCTAAGAATCTCTAAAACATTAGCAACTTGATTTCTCACTGGCTTCACAACTATCTGGGCATTTGCGTCATTGCACAGCAAAATTAATTCTTTTTACTATTTTTTAAATTTTTTTCTCATTTCCTACTGGCTTCTTTTCCAAAATCTTTGTCCAGAGACCCCTGAATAGCTTGTGATGCTATTCTTAGATGGGGAAAATCATCCAATCAGGTTCAATCATAGCAGCTTATCCTAGTGCTTGCTGGGATCTCCCTACCATTGGAGGAACTGGGCATCTCCTGAAAAGCAGTGTTGCAAAGGGAAGCAGTAGATCTGATGAAGGTTGGACTAGACACTTCAAATGCCTTTTCTAACTTCTGAGACACAGTACTACTCTCTCAGAAATTGATATTGGTAATATGTCTGTGTTTACCATTTTATTTTCAACCTAAGTCCTTTGCATAATATATGTTAAATGACTGGTTTACATAATATATGTTGAATGACTGATTGAATTCAAATGATGATTTTGTTCTTCATAGAGGATACTGACACTTTAGGTGCTGACAGCTCAAGCTAGAAAAGTGACTACTAATATTTATCTCCACAGGAATCCTGTAACACAGGTCATAATGACATTCAAAGTCCAACATTCTAAGGTTGGACAGAGCATTCTTGACAGTGAACTTTTGCTGGACTTGTGAATTCCTTACCTTTATCATGATGGTAGGTGAATTTTTGTTAAGCAATAGATCACCTGAGTTAGAAGGAAGCAGCAAATTGTCTCCTGGGTCACACGCCCATAACTCACAATCTACCAGGTCCCTCTTTTATCCATTTTGTATGACCCCTTGCAATGTAAGATGTAACATTCAGGGTTGGCTTTGGCATTTTATTTAAAAATAAATGTTTTGTTAAACTGTAATATGCCCACAGAATTCTAAAAGCTAGTGGCAAGATTGGGATGTCTTCTGAAGAAGATAATAAGAGTTCTTGGTTAATTCACCGAGACCATTTTTTAAAGTATATCATGTCTAGAAATCTCAATATGTTAGTGTCTTAAAATTAAACAAACCTAGGAAGTCAGACCCATGCTAATTAAACTCACAAAAAACACACATATTAACTAAAATGTCTTTGGATGTTTGCATTGACAATAGCAATAGTACTGCCG
Source organism: Homo sapiens (assembly GCF_000001405.40). Lineage (NCBI taxonomy): Eukaryota > Metazoa > Chordata > Mammalia > Primates > Hominidae > Homo > Homo sapiens. The sequence goes on along the minus strand of NC_000002.12, from coordinate 207,173,353 downwards.
CGGTGACCAGGCTCCTGTGGTTGTAACCAGTTCATTTTTTCCTGTAGGCAGAACAAGCGGGAAGTCAAATTATGGGCAGAAAGTGAGCACAGAATGAAGACAGAGAGACGTATTTTCAAGAAATATTTTTATCCAGGACACTAGAGGCCTGATGAGACCACCATTTCATTTTTCTCAATTATGAAACAGCTCTCACAAGTGGCCACATACATGTTCTCATGTTCTTCCAAATTCAAACCATGTTTCTCAGGCAGTCTTGTTTACCAACCTCCGCCTCTCTGACACTCACATTTTCTACGACACAACCCAAGTTCACACTTTCCTCCACTGTAGTAAGATGGTGAAGGGAAGAAAAAGTCAGTACACAAAAATATTTATTAATGATAGGACCACTTATAAATTAGTCCCCCACTCAAACATCCCTTCTTAACAATCTTCTCTCCTGCTCTCATAGTGGCAAACATTTACAATACAATGCAATATATTCAATTATACTGCAAAGTAAAATTGCAAATCGTGCCAAAAGTGTTAGATTTTATGATGTCAATGAAAGTAAGGTTGATAAGGCCACTGGCAAATAGAGATTTGTAGAGTTAAACTAACAAGTGAAGGTAAAAATCAACAGGGAGGGTGACTATATTGCTGATTCAGAAGAGAATACTTTGAATACAAAAAACTAATAGAGACCCTTGGGGAAACTGATGAAGCCCTCTAACATTTTTACAAAATGACCCTCTTTTTGATTATCCTGTAAAAGTCAAATATGAAATAAGGCATATTGTAAGTTGAGTTGGGGAGAAAAAGTAATAACTTTTCCTCCCTTATCACAAGGTTTATGGCTGACACTCCTATAACAAAAGACAGTTTAACAAGAGATAAGTATCACAAATCTATTTAATCAAAGTTTTACATGACATGGGAGCCTTCAAAAATGAAGACACAAAGACCCAGGGAAAACTGTATTTTAGTGCTTAGGTGGGATAAAGGATGAACAGTCGTGTTGAAGTGGGATTGGATAAAAAGGAGGTATGGCCTAAAGTTAATAAACTGGAAACTTAACAAGGCCTGTTTGTTCAGATTCTCTTTGGCCTCTAGGGAGGGGCAGAACACCTGTCACACGAAGGTCTTCAGGGCAAAAGGGAGGAGGTCAGAGAGTGACCTTCTTAGGTTTTATGGCTTGCTTTGAGGGAGAGAAATTTCAGTTTCTATGATCTGTTTCAGGAGAGAAAATAGGAGTAGGGGAAGGTCAGAGAGAAATTCCTGCTTTAGTGGCTCTCCCAATCTCCTTTGGCTCAAAATACTCAGTATGTCAGGGTGCCATACATATTGGGGTATTGTGTTCTGGGCCCCAACCGGTGCTTTACCTTTTGTAGAAAAATTAAACCAACAATCACTTTCTTGATTTATTCATTTTACAATTAGCACATAGTCATACTAACAACGTAAATATTGTTAAATACAGGCATACTATGAAAATATTGCTGACTTTGGTTACAGCCCACTGCAATAAAGCAAATATCACAATAAAGTGGGTCATGCAAGTTTTTTGTTTCCCAGTGCATATGAGTTATATTTACCCTATACTCTATAGTAAGTGTGCAATAGCATTGTGTCTAAGAAAAAACAATGTACATACCTTAATTTTAAAATATTTTGCTACTAAAAATTGGTAACTATCATCTGAGCCTTCAGCAAGTCATAATCTTTTTCCTGGTAGAAGGTCTTTCCTCAATGTCAATGGCTGCTGACTGATCAGAGTGGGTTGCTGAAGGCTGGAGGGGCTGTGGCAATTTCTTAGAAAAAGACAACAATAAATTTGGTCACACTGATGCTTCCTTTCATGACAGGTTTCTCTGTAGCATGCAATGCTGTTTGATAGCATGTTACCAAAAGTACAGCTTCTTTCAAAATTAGAGTCAATCCTCTCAAACCCTGTGATTACCTTATCAACTCATTTTATGTATAATAATATTCTAAGTAGTTTGTTATTTCAACAATGTTCATAGCATCTTCACCAGAAGTAGATTCCATCTCAGAAAAGAACTTTCTTTGCTAATCCGTAAGAAGCAACTCCTCATTCATGTAATTTTTATCATGAGATTGCAGCATTTTTGTCACCTCTTTGGGCTCTACTTCTAGTTCTTTTGCTATTCTCACCCGATCTGCAGTTACTTTCTCCACTGAAGTCTTGAACCCCTCAAAGTCACCCAGAAGGGTTGGGATCAACTTCTTCTAAACTCCTGTTAATGTTGATATTCTGACCTCTTCCACAAATGAATCACAAATGTTCTCAATAGCATCTAGTATGGTGAATTCTTTTCAGAAGGTTGTTAATTTACTTTGCCCAGATCCATCAGAAAATCACTATCTATGGCAATTATAGTCTTATGAAATGTATTTCCTTAATAATAAGATTTAAAAGCTGAAATTATTCCTTGATCCACAGGCTGCATAATGGATGTTGTGTTAGCTAGGCATGACAACAACATGTACAACTCCTTATATATCTCCATTAGAACTCTTGGATGGCCAGGTGCATTGTCAATGAGCAGTAACATTTTGAAAGGAATCTTTTTTCCTAAAGAGTAGGTCTCAACAGTGAGCTTAAAATATTAGTAAACCATCATATAAACAGATGTGCTTTGTTCTTCTATTTATAGAACACAGGTAGAGTAGATGTAGTATAATTCTTAAGGGCCCTACAACTTTCAAAATGGTAAATGAGCATTGCCTTCAAGTTAAAGGAACCAGGTGCATTAGATCCTAACAAGAGAATCAACCTGTCCTTTGAAGTTTTGAAGCCAGACATTGCTTTCTTCCTCTAGCTATGAAAGTCCTAGAGAGCATCTTCTTTCAATGGAAGGCTGCATCATCTACCCTTATCAATGATTTTAGCTCAGTCTTTTGGATAATTTGCTGCATCTTCTACATTACTACTTGCTCCTTCCCTTGTACTTTAATGTCATGGAGATGACTTTTTCCCTTAAACCTCATAAATCGACCTCTGCTATCTTCCAACTTTTCTTCTGCAACTTCCTCACCTCTCTCATCCTTCGTAATATTGAAGAGAGTCAGGGTTTTGCTCTGGATTAGGTTTTAGCTTAAAAGAATGTTGTTGCTGGTTTGATCTTCCATCCACACCACTAAAACGTTCTCCATATCAGCAATAAAGCTGTTTTGCTTTCTTATCATCTGTGTGTTTATTGGAGTAGCATTTTTAATTTCCTTCAATAACTTTTTCTTTCCATTCACAGAGTGGCCAACTGTTTGGTGTAAAGGCCTAGCTTTTGGTCTATCTCGGTGTTTGATATACCTTCTTCACTAAGCTTATGTCTAGATTTTGATTTAAAGAGATATGTCACTCTTCCTTTCACTTGCACACTTAGAGGCCATAGTGGGGATATTAACTGGCCTAATTTCATTATTGTTGTGTCTTAACGAATAGGGAGGCCTGAGGAGAGGAGGGGAAGAGCCAGTCGGTGGAGTAATTAGCACGCACACACACACTAGTTAAGTTCTATGTCTTATTTGGGCACAGTTCATGGTGCCTTAAAACAATTACAATGGTAAAACCGAAATAACTGATCACAGATCACCATATCAGATATAATAACAAAAAAAGTTTGAACTATTGTGAGGATTACCAAAATGTTACACAGAGACATAAAGTGGGTACATGTTGTTGGGAAAATTGTGCTGATAAGACTTGTTCCAAGCAGGGTTGCCACAAACCTTCGATTTGTATAAAAAAGCAGTATCTGCAAGGCATAATAAAGCTATGTACAATAAAATGAGGTATGCCCATATAGGACAGAATGAATGTATTTTAATAACATTTAGTTTTATTTTCAAATAAAGTCTTAAGCAAAGCTTTCTTCACTGATTGGTCTGAAATTTGGTCCCAGCTTTAAGTAGATTTACTTTGAGGAGTACTAATCACACTGGGATAATAAAGACTTCCTACACTAATGAAGCAAAACTTTACTGGTGGAAACAGCCTGATGCCTTTAATGTGTGTATTCACATATTAAATTTTTACTATTTTATTCTTAAAATATCCTCATTTATTTCTAAGCTCCCCCCGGGTGGGGGGATAATTTATTATTTACTCTAGGGTGTTTTCTATAGGATTACTTCCAAAGATTGACATTATTAGAAGTAAAATGAACACCTCCCAAGGCAATACTTGTGGAGAAGACAGATTTTGGAGTCGATTTGGAGGCAGACCTGTATTCTAATCTGCTTTTACCCACTTACTGGACACATGGTAATGAGCAAATTACATGCACTCTCTAAACTTCAGTATCTTCATCTATAAAAATGGAGCACTAAGAGTTCCCTCACAGGATTGTGGAGATCAGAGGTATGTGTAAAATGCTAGGTACAAAGAAGGTAATCAACCAGTAAGTGGTAGTTACAACAGTGCAGTTTATTTTGGTTTGCTGAACTGCCAAAGTTCTCTTGTGATCTTAATTTGTTGATTACTTTGTACATCTGGATACCTTGCATGTGTTTTGCAATGTGAATCTTGGGTCTCTAGGGTATAAAAAGTAGCTAAATATAACTAATATTGAAAATGTGCCTTTCAGAATGCCTTGCTGCATAAATCTCTTAAAATGAATCTAAAATATTCTACAAAGCTTGGAGCAAAGACCATAATGAGGTTTGCAGTATTTGCTTTGTAAAATTTTGGTTGAGTCCTTTTGCAAGTCAGACGGCTGATAGTTACATAGGAAAAGTCTCAATGGAAGCCTCCTCCTCCGGCCCCACCCAAGCAATTTTTGTAAACACACACTGACTTAAAGCTGAGGAACCCCATTTTTCACCATACAAAGCTCAGTACAGAACAGTGTGGGGAGTCAGATGCTCTTGGATTTGAACCCCTGCTTGACCACTTCCAGGTTGTGAGACCTTGACCAACTTACTTAGTATTTCCAAGCGTGGGTATCTTCATCCATAAAGTTGGGGATACTTTGGGGCTGTCCTTAAGATTAAATGAGACATTGCATATAAAGTGTTTATGCGCATACGGCACATTCGAAGTGCTTAATAAATGGGAACTATTATTTGTAAAATCTTCAAACTCACGTTAACCGATATGTCCTATTTTATTCAAAAATTGTTATAATGTAACACACACAAAATAAGTTCACTTGAGTCTCAAGTACCAAATTATATGGTTGGTCTTGCCTCACCTTTTGCCTCTAGTTTTCTATACCCAAGTTCCTTTCCTTCCCCTATTATTCATGAACATGTTTTTTGCCCTAGTGTTTCTCAATGGTTCCTGCCCATCCCCCCAGTTGAAATAGCATGGGGGTCAGGGGAGAGCATGGAGAAGGGGAGACCTTGTAACAAACTAGCAAGGGGTTTCTACCTTTCCTCTATCTCCAAGATTCTATTAATAGTATATTCTCCTAAAGGTCCTATTAGTTTACATAGCTCAAGTGGGGAGACAATGATAGCTAATATTTAGTATTCACCTAATAGTGTCAGATACTATGCTAGGTGAGTTACCAAAGATATTTTGACTCTTCATAACAACTAGACAACGCGGATCCCACTATTTCTGTTTCTGAGATGGGTAGATACAAGTTCTGACCCAGTAATTCGCTCAAAGTCGTGCAGCTAGTTAGCTGGCAGCGTCCTTGCACATCTAATTGCAGATGCATCTGCATCTACATTAGAGTAAATGTTCCAATTATACTCATACAATGAATGCTATGAATCTGGCCAACAGAATTCCAGACACTAACAAGTAAATAAATCAGGCTTTCCTCAATCCCAGTAATTCATGTTTAATATTCCTTGGCAAATACTGAATTTCAATCTGTGCTTATTTCATAGAGTAGAATCTTTCAAATGTTGTGTTATCGAGTCCTACATAGTCAAAGGGAGGGGAAAGACAAGGAGGGTGATTAAGGTGAAGCGTTTCTTCCATTACTGGTAGAACGAAGTTTCTCATCTCTTAAGCACCGAATTCTGCAATCATTCCAAAAGTGGAAGCTCAGCTCACAGCGCATTTTGGGGAAGCTTAAACCACACTAACCATTTAAGGTCAAGCAAACAATTGGCCAACCCTAACGTGAATTGTGCAGGGTTTTCATCTCAGATGTAACAGATCTCTCTATGTCTACATCCCAACTCCAGAAAACGAGAAATCGAGTTCCTCCTCTCACCATCGAAGCTCTGCAGACACCTCGCTGGAGACCCCATGGTGAGCCTCATCACGTAAAGGCCCCCTCGCAAGCTGCCGGCTCCAGCTTGCGCCCCACGTCTACCTAGGCTCCCTCTAGCCTCTTTAACGCACAGTCGAGCAACAGGCCCCTTGCAATCAACTCTAGCCGCCGGACTCCCGACCAGGTCTCTCGCTCGGGGTCAGAAGGAGGCGCGGGAGGGAGGGCGGCGGCGGCGGCGCCCGCGGGGCGGGGCGGGGACTGTGCGCAAGCGGGGGGCGGGCGCAGGCCGCGGTCTCGCTCCGCTCCCCTTTGTTCTCTCCCATTGTGTGGCACTTCCTCCTCAGGCGCTTCTTCTCTGCACCCTGGCAGCCCGTGGGGAGTTCGGGAAGGGGCCCTGGATGCCTTTTCTGCTTGTTTTTGAGTACGTGAGGACCTCCCCGGCACCGCCTCGCGCGGGTCCCTGCCCCGTGCCCAGGCGGAGGCGGGGTGGCCACTGTCCTTCCTTCCCGCTCCGCGCCCTCGGCGGCTTCCCCGCGGCCCCCTGCGCCGCGCCCCCTCCAGGAGGCGTCCTGACCCCGCACTCCGGCCTTTCACCTCCCGACCGTCAGCCTCAGGGCCGCCGCGGCGACGCGCGACCCCTTCCCTCTGAGGGGCGCGGGCTCCGGACGCGCCGGGCTCTGCCAGGCATCTAGTGGAGGGTCGGAGGTCGGCGACCAGCCCGAGCCCAGCCGTCCCGGGAGCTGGCGCGAGTGTCGCCACGACCCTCCCTGTCCCTTGCGCTCGCGCTGCCCGGCCGCCGGGCGGCCGCCTCAGCCCCCTTATATAGCCCTCTAAAAATAGCTCGCCTCGCACCGCCTTGTAAGGCAGCAGGGAGATCCGCAGCGTGCCAATCCGCGCCCGCCGCCAGGGCCAAGCCCCGCCCCAGGCTCTGCTCCGGGCTCCCCATTGGTCCTCAGTGACTTCATGAGCCCCCTGTTTACCTTACATGGTCACACGCGGCCTAATGGACGCCCTCCTCGAGATCCCACGGCTGCGCGGAGAACCGAACGGAGGGAGGGAGTTTGGGGAGGGGGAAGAGCAGGAGGAGGAGAAAAGGGAGGGGGAAGACTACAAACTAGCAAGGATGGGGTGGGGGGTGGGGAGGGAAGGGAAGGGGGGGGAAGAGAAGCGATCGCGAGAGAAAAAAATGCAACCTCCCAAAATAAAGAGCAAAGATTGCATTAGGAGCGAACAGCGCTGCAGAAATAGATGGCAGCTTCGTGTCAGTGAGTTTGCATCCCCCTTCCTGATCCACGAGCTGGAGTGATTAGAGCCCTGGAAGGGAATTGTTACTCCCGTGGAGAAGTCCCCTTTTCCTGGCAGTCGTCTGCACTGTACACGCTGGATGCCTCTCTCCATCCACCCCACTCACTCGCTCCTCTCTCACCTCCTCTCTCCCTCTCCTGCATTGATTTTTTTTTTTCCTTTTTAGTTGACTGAAACAAAACAAAACAAAAGGGCCACTGGATGTCTGCCTTCTTGGGGGGTGAGCCAGACAGACTGACAAACAAACAGCCCCAACTGTGTTCGGGGGAGGGTTTCGCCTCCCGTTTTGCCCGGCAGCAGCAGCATGGACGTGTTGGCTAGTTATAGTATATTCCAGGAGCTACAACTTGTCCACGACACCGGCTACTTCTCAGCTTTACCATCCCTGGAGGAGACCTGGCAGCAGGTGAATGATTTAAATTACTTGTGTAAATCGTGTGGTGGCGGCGGAGACGCAGGGGCTGCGTTGGTGTGGGCTCTGGGTTGAAATTTTTGTTTGTTTGTTTGACTTTTTTTTCTTCCTTTTTGGCTGTCTGTTGTTGAAAATGTTTTCTGAAACAGTCATCTGCGCTTACCTCTCCACCCACCCCTAACCTCGTAGAGTGCCGAGCTGAGCAGCCGGTGCGAGCTGCCTGCGTTTCAGTCGCCAACACACATCCCTGCGCACACGTTGTCGGGTTTGCTGTCCCCTATCAGAGACCTGCCGAACTTCTGGGGTTCGGAGGAGCCGGGTGGGAAGGTGGTTTGGGGTGTTAGGAGCGATTGCTGACAGGGACCACGTTCTCGCATGCATGAGCTCTACCCACTTGATACCTGAAATCAGGTTCATCTGTTTCAACTGGTGCTTATGACCATCGGATGGGGGGCGGGGGAGGGTGGGCAGGAGCAAAGCGGAGTGTTTTTCAGTAATTAGCGAGTGTCAATAAAGAATAGGAGCTTGATTTTGAGATTAGAAGGTAGGCAAAAGAGAGAAGAGCCCACTGACAAAAGATACTCAAGGAGGACGGGAAGATGTAGCTGAGGCTGACAATGAATTGTAGGTTTTCCCAGTGTGATCCCTCCAGAAAGAGAACACCCTCTATGCGTGTCCTTGTTTCTCTTTTTTGTTTAGGGTCCTTCTCTAGTTAGGCAGCACAACCTCGGACAAAGGCTGATGTGTGCTTCCATGCCTTTGACTTTGTCTTAGAGGACTAGTTAAGAAACTCCCAGGATGCTGAAGGGCACCGATGCCAAGTTGGCTAGCCGTCCCAGGGAGGATGAAGTGGGGCTGGTGACAAGTTCACTGGGCTTTGTGAAGTGGAATAAAGAAAGTGCTGGTCAGTGGAAAGTGCTGGCTCTGCTGCGGAAACAGTGGTTTTTTTCAGCAGCGATTAGGAGCTGCTGAGGGGACATTCTGCAGGAAAGATGGTGGGTGGGGGCGGGGGGACACGGGTATTTAAAAATTGTACAGTGTGCACCATGGAAAGTCCAAGAAGACAGTCCGGATTTGCACATAGGAAGTGTGAACTTGTACAGTCCGTCCTGGAGAAACCCGCTTGCCCTTGGGGGGAGGGCTGTGAGAGGCTCGGTGTGTGGCTGCTCGTGTAATTTCTTCGCTTAGTGACAGCAGCTTGTTAAGGCTAATGAACGGCTGAATTTCCTCTGCCGGGATCCAAAGCAGGATTTGCCAGCTTGAGGCTGAGATGTAACAGTCTCTGCTTTAGCAAAAGAGGTTTGGCTTTTGGTATAAGGAGCCGAGTGGCAAGGCGGATCCTTTAACTGTACCATTGTTGCTAGTTCACTTCTGGTCAGAGGCTGTGAGTTTTCCTCCAGGTATTGGCGTCTGGTGTCTCTGTGTCCACACATGCATTCTTGTCCAAGGACGCTAGCAGATGCTTGACTCTGTCTCTCTGTAAACACATACACAGTTCACATATTTTTAGAATAAAGTCTTTCTTCAATGCATCCTTTTCCTTATCCTTAACGAGAGTGTGTCTCATGAAGGGTCTCACTGGATCTTTTTCTTCCTTTTATTTCCAATGCTAATTAAACCAAAATCTTCTGAAATAGCCTTCATTTCACACTGTCAGCCCACTGGTATGGAATCGGTTGCATATTAACAACTGTCTAGACAGGTTAGAGAAGGGAATCTGTTGATTTAGTCAGCCTGCCCAAGGCAGCCCTTGTTTGTGACTAACTGTTAAGCAGTGTTAGAAGGAAGAAAGTTGGCTTTATTTGTTAGAACGTTCCCTACTGATGAATCATGCAACTTTGTTTTGGTTCAAGTTTTCAGAGTAGTAAAGCCAGATTTGGAGGAAGGTCTCTTCACAGGAAACCTGCTTTTCTAGATCTGGCTAGACCATCCAGGACAAACTCTAGATCTGCAAAGAAACATCATCGGTTTGACAACTAGAGGATGTATTAGATCTATTGTTTCCTAAGAAGCCATCTCTGCTCTTCCTTCTCCCCTCCTCCCCCTGCTCCTCTGCCTCCTCCCCATTCAGGGAAGCTCTAGTTTAGTTTCTACAGGCAAAGGATTTTTCACCCCTCGGAACCCCCTCATTTTTTGCCTTAACCCTCTCCAACTGCCAGCCACTCTCACCTTAAAACCCTTAGCCAACTTATTCAGCGTCATGCTTATAGCCAATGCTGATGCATAGCTTGTGGGGAAGCACTAATAAACAATATATCACTCCAGTGAGCTTTATGTTCTGGACTCCGTAATCACAACTGCTCTATATAAAGGCGACTAGGACCATAGGTTTACACTGATGACAAAACCTTTAACCTCTAGCCCTTCCTTCTTCCCCCTCCCAAAACCGTCTTGCTGCTTCTGAGTATAAGGGGTGGTGATGGTGATATGCAACTGTTAGTTCCAAATCAACTATCGGATAATGAAATTTTGAGACTCTTTTGCTCAAAACAGCTCAACAGGGTTTCTGCAAAGAACCCCAGACAGGAAGAAGTTTCTTTATGCTCTGGGGTAATCAGATTTTAGAGGTCAAATGAGGAGTAATTATTAGATGTTCTTCTTAAAGTGAACAATGTACCTGGGCTCATGGAGATGAGCAAAATGTGGAGACTCTGATAATCTGACTTGGTTTCTAGAGAAAGAGTGGCTTCGATGATAAACTCAAGAACATTTTTACGTTTGAAAATTGAAGATAAACAATTTGGGGATTTTATTTTAAACTTAGGATATGGGATAATTGTCCTGCTTAATAGTCAGTGAGCCTGTGACAAAGTCACTGACTGTGGCAGGGCTCCCTCTCGTCACGGAGATCCTCGTTTTGACATTGGATTTTCTGGCAATGATGCCTTAGCCACATAGCTCCAAGTCTGAAAATAATCGTTGCTGGTATAATTCTGAAATCCAAATGGACATCACACATTAACAGCTCTCCATTCCTGGGCTCTGACTGCATACTTAAGCACTCGGCCCAAGTAACATCATCTTTCTGCCTGTCATATAACTGTAAATTACACTGTGCTTATGTGGTCTATTATTTTATAGAATTCAGCTGACGCGCAATTCTTAAGACTACCAGCCTTAAGCGCTTTGAAAACTTGTAGGAAAATTTCCAAGAGCTGTCTGAGCAAAAGTAGGAAAAGGTCAAGGGTAGGACAGAAACCAGAGTTTCTTATGGGGTACCACTTGATTATGAGTAAAGGGAAACTCATTCATGACTTTTTTTGCCAATAGAAATCATAATCTTTTTTTTTAGACACACTGCTGACTTGGAAAATAAAAAGAATTTGATACAATGCTTTTATTTTCTTCTTGAATATACAAAGACTTTTAGAACTTTTATATGTTTTATCTCTAGTCTGCTATTTCATGAGTGCAGGTCAAGCAGTGATGATCTAAGTCTTATTTGGACTTAGCTTTGCGTCGTGTCATTGAGGAGCATCGCATGTTTGCTTGAAAAGTCTTATGGAATTATGTTTGTTGTTAATGCTGATTCATAATTGGCAGATGGGGTCAGTTTCAGGCCTCTCTTTGCTCAGAGAAAATTTTCCACTGCTACTGGAAACAAATAAATAAATCATAGAACATTCTTCTCTCCTCCCCCATTCCCCTATTGTTTTAAACTAATGGCATACTTGGCTACTGTAAGGACTAAAGTGTCCCCATAACACTGCAATTTCATCTTGGTTTCAGGCACCCTGAAACACTTTTTATGAGGGCCTTTGGTATAAGGAATCTCTAGGGGAAAACGTACAGAAATGGTTGCATTCCAAGAACAGCCTCATGGTACCAGGGATGGGATTTGGTCTGTGAGCCACATTGCTTCTCCTTTTATGTGAAGATCTTGCCTTTGCACTTCCTTCTGCAGGCCTGGGCTGCCAGGTGCTATATCAGCCAGGAAAACAAAGCAAACTGTAGGGTCTGTCCATCCGTAGGTTTGCCTCAGTCCCCAATTCGCAGATAGCCTTGTCATGAATTAGAATTTCTTGGCAACAGCACCACCCAGGGAAATTTGTAGACACAAAGGAGCCTTGCTAGCCACACTGAAAGGATAAAATAACTGTTTTTTTTTGGTATGTGATTTGTGTGTTCTTCAGTTACTGTAAATCTGTTTCTTTATTTGAAACAGCAACTTGGTAGATGAAATAAAAATATAACTGCCCGTTACCCAGAATTTATCTTTATGAAGATGCAATCACTAAATAGATGTAACTCTACAAATGAAAGCACATGTGACTGCAATCAATCACACACTTAGCCTTTAATAGATTCATTTCCATGTTCCTTTAACAGACACATCTTTGTGTAGATTTAGGGGCTTCAAACATTATCATTCAGTCTACCTGTTTGCAGTTTGGTATTTTAAAGTGGGCAAACATTATAATGCAGTTATTTTTTACTACATCTGTCCTTAGTAGGGGGAAAAGGAGGTCACTATTCTTTGTTCTCCATGAACTTCCCACCCCCACTCCTTACCCTGAGGAGAATGGGATGTTGGGGTCCCATCCATTTAAAAGGCAGAGCAGAAGATGCAAGATGACAGCCTTGCCCTGAAATGATTTATGTATGGGTGTGTCAGAGACCTTAAGCATCCAAATGTGGGCTGCTTCTTTCTGCCAGCCCATTCTAAACATAAATGCCAGTGGGGGCTAATTTGCCTCTCTACTTAAATGGAGATAGTTCAGAGAGGGTCCTAATGGGGCCTTTAATAGCCATTCTTTTATGAATCTTCACATTGTACTCTCTTCAGAGAATTCTTGCGTTTTAACTTTTGGAGTACAAGAAGACATTGCAATCTTCTTTAATTGCTCTCTGTGCCTGTTGAGGAAAGAAGAATACAATTTCCTCTGGCCAGTCCCATCTGGCTCAAGTTGATAGGATAGCTGGTCTGATTCCAGACGGGGTCGGTGGATACCCCTTATCTTTTCATTTTATAGTATTGTGCAATGGGCTTTTAATTATCTTTGCTGGACCCCACGACTGGCAAATGCAGAAAATCGCTCTGTGATTCCAGTTCACTCGATATATCAGTTAGCCTATGTGTTAGAACTGCGATTTGCTGAAAGTTTAGGACAGCTCCCCAACTTAACTTGAATGGTGCCAGAGGGTGAGGGGCAGAGATTTCCTCTGTCCAGTAGTCCCTTTGTTCTCCCAAATCAACTGACTGCTTGCTTAGCATAAACGATTGGGGGTAGGGGGGCGGAATGTTTTAACCCCAAAATGCCGAATCTTACCAAGTACAGTGATTAGAAAACTCAACTACTAATGGTGTTAAAGTTGGTGAAACAAATTATAGTGTCTAATTATTCATGTTACATGTAACATTGACAAGTTAAAAAACACTCCTCTCTGTATACTCATTGTAGAATATACATATCCTTATTCTATCTAAAATTCCCCAAATAAACAAAATGTTGCCATTACTGGGACATGCTTTTACCTAAGATTGTTTGTGATTTTGCTGTGCCCCACCTTGCCCAGATTAGTTCCTGCTAATTGGCAGAATTATTTCTACCACCCTACATCCCTTTAGTTTTCCTTCTCGGGGTATTTGGTGTGACCCTAAGAACTTGGTCCCGTTTAAACGACTCATGTCCATCCCCCCTCCATTCGAGCAGTACCACATGCTTGATATATAAATGTTACAGCTGAGCGTTTGCAGTAGCCTTGAGATCTGAGTCTAGTATCAGCCCAAATGAGGTGCGAGTGACTTCTGATTTCAGGGGGATACCATTCTTCATTGAGCTGGTAGATGGACCTAGTCACACTTTGTGGGATTTTTGTTGTTTATATTCAAGTATAGAAAATATTCCACAGTAAATACTTCATTCCTTAAGCCCTTTTTATGTGCATAATACTGTATTTGGGCAATGCAAAATTGAATTGGATATAGAATCTGCCCTCTAGGAGCTTGACTGTAGTAAGGCAGAGAAAGCATGTTCAAAATTAAGTTAAACAGAATAGAGCATGAGTGCCAGAAAGAAGGAAAGAAAGAAAGAAACATTCAGTTCTGTGTTGGAACACTGACCTGTGCCTATCTGTATTACCCACATAGTTCCAACCTTGTTTATAAAACATACTTGAGATTTACTAAGTTCTGTTGTGAAAAAGCTTTCAGCCAATGTCATGTTGTGGGCTGGATACTTTTAGGGCAGATGAGTATACAATGTGAATACACATATCCATAATGGCCAGGAAACAGTGCCCATGTCTGTGCCATTCGGAAATGATTAGAGGTAATTAAAATAACGTAGAGCCATATGCGATATCTATTTTTGAATGTGGGTGTATTGACATTTCCTGAGGGTCATTTTGAAAGTCAGGTTCTCAGCCTTGTACCAAAGCGAGGAACATAGAATCTCAGAATTTCAAATCTTGAAAGGGTCTTGGTTTCCTCAACTCTAAAATACTGGGTTGAACTAAGTGATTGTTAAAGCCAGATGAGGCATTGCACTCTCCAAGGTCACACAGCTTATTAACACTGATGGTTTCAGGGCCCAGGACTCTCAGATGCCCAGACCAGTTTACTTGCTTTCTGTCACCTGAATATACCTTGACTCACTTCTGATTCTTTTCTCTTTCTTTTTTGCCTTCAAAGGAGGCAAGAAAATTCCCTTTTTACTTTTAAGACTACTGGTTCATGGAATTTTGGGATTGGCTAGGTTCTAGAACAAGTTATCGAATATTTTGGAGAAGGCTTACTTGTGTAATTTGATTCTTTTTCCACTTTTAATGTGTGCTAAATTGGAAAATATACACTGTACCGAAAAAATAGCCCCAGATTATAACTCGAGTCTTATAAAAATTATTGTCATTTAAATAATAACAAATGGAGTGGGAGTATGAAGGGTGTGCAGTGGGGCATATGTGGTAGGGGGTTGGATGGAATATAGAACTAGATGGAAGTAGAAAGCAACAAACGTGAAATTGCTTTGTTTCTGGCACCTCACCAACAAAGAGAGTGCCCGAAACTTTACCAGCAACCCATGTACCAGTTGATGAAAATCTTTTTAAATGTTTTTAAATTCTTGAGAGGGTTGTAATAAGCAGTAGTGAAGAAACTCAACCTCTGAGAGGTTTTTCAAAAAGTCTTTTGAGGTCTGATGGATGAAGTAGGCCTAATTTTTACCATTGTCCCTAATGAGGAAAGGAAAATGGAAGGCTCACTTGACTTTTTTGCCCCAGTTTTTCCCCAGTTACTTTTTGCCCTTCCCTACCTCCTTGAATTGGTAGTTATGATGGTGAAAGTTCTCTCCCAGAATGTGTCTCACAGATCTCTTTCACCTCTAACATCTTAGAGGTTAAAATCTCCTTCCCAGTTCAGGGCTTCTTCATCTCCTCACAGCTATACTCTACATCTCCACCTCCAGATATTTCCCTGGGTTTCAGGCCCTCATTTTTTTCTAACCAGAAATAAGCAACAAGCAAGATGGGCTTTGGGGTTGTTCTACCATCACTTCAGCTGAATATGTCCTAAACCCCTAACTCATCAACTTCTTCCACGGACTGCTTCCTTTTTCCTGGCTTCCCTATTTCTTTTAATAATGTGATTATTCGTCTCATGATCTAGGTTTGACATTCTAGTCATTGTAACTCCTTTCTTTTTCTTGAATCTAATAAAAAATTAGGTGAAAAGATCTAATTAGCGGAAGTCTAAAATTAGTTGAAAAATCCCACTGACTTGGCTTCTGAGGTGCTTTAGCATCAGCCTGTCATGGATGGCACCCTTGGCCATTGCCTTGCCACAATCCCTGTCACCTCCCTGGACTTGCCTTTTTGCCACCATCACCCCAGGTGGCCTGCTTTCAAACTGTTCATGGCTCCCTCTTATACATAGCATGAGGCCAAACTTCCAAGAGTCAGGGTGTTCCAAGACTGGGTCTACACAATATTTGCAAGTTCCCCCCTTTTCACATGTAGTAAATGCCATCCAAATTAAGTGACTATGCTTTTCCTGCTTCTGTCTTTATTTTTGTTGTTTCCTTTAGCCTTTTTCCTCTTCCTCCCTCTCCCCTTCCTGATTTTCTTTGTCCAAGTTCCACCCATTCCTTAACTTTCAAATGGGTGCCAAACTCCCTCCCTTGCTACCAGCCAACTGTAACTGCTATGATTTCCATACTCTTGTGCAGAGCTTTTTACTTCCCCGTGATGCTTTACAGTTTTGAGTTATAATAAAGCTTTTCTTTTTTTTTTTTTTTTTTTTTTACTTTTCTGTTGTGTCATTTTTCTTGTTAAGTTTATGCTTTAAGGAGTTGATGCCTTGCGTATAGTTTTGGTAGTCAACTTTTAATGTATCACCTGCTTCTTAGAAAGCTTTGCACACTGTGGGCACTCGATAGTTATTTGAGGAGCATGTTATGACTATGACTTAAGATTTGACTATGCCTTTTTCAGTGGTTCTCAATCGTGGCTGCACCCCAGACCAATAAAATCAGTATCTCTTTGGGAAGGACCCGGGCATCAGTGTTTGTAAAGCTTTCAGGCAATTCCAGTATGCAGCCAAGGCATTGAGCCATTGGTGTATAGAGGGTTTAATGATATGTCAGAGTTGGGGTTACCTGCTTCTTATATTGAAATATTTAATGACTTGTGTAATTTGGAATCCACACGGACCAGAGGTTTATAGTAAAACAGGATCATGCTGGTGGATGTGCTTCATCTGGCACTTTTGTTAATAGCAGCTGCCCAAGTGTTGTTTCATCCTTCTTGCTTTGCTTTCCCTCACCCTAAAGTGTCTAAGGCAGTCTGTTTGGCTCACATTTCCTGTGACCCATCAGGAATTTGCTTAACCTGGTCAAATTCCATATTTGGAAACTTTGTGGTGTTGGGCTTTAAACTCCAGCCTTGCTGGGTTTCAAACAATTCATTCTCAGTAGGCCCTTGGCCATGATTTTCCACTCACCTCAGCCTGCTCCATGGTTTGAAAGGGCTGGATGCATGCATGTACATCTGTTGGATGATGCTGGAGAGGCATTAGGTAGCAGCTCTCCATTTTCTTACTGACCAACCACAGTGTTTGGAAGTAGACTCTGTTTATAAAGAATTTCAGAGGATCCATCTTTCTAGTAAGAGGAGCAAAAATAAACTGTGGAAGAATTGCTGCTGAGGACATTCCGGCAAGGAGGCTGCCTTCACACCCATAGAAGGCTTAGCTCCTGTGGTAATGACTGTGGGCGTGTGGTGATCTTCACAAAGAAGCCTTAGAAACGCCTCTTTTTCAAACTGTGATGTTTGCAAAATTGTATGTCCTGTAGCTACATCCTTTCATCTGTAAACTGTCTTTGATGGGGGTATGGTTGGCAAGAGAGAACATCAGGAGAGGAGCTCAGAGCTCAGGGTTGAAGGATGCCTTTTGGAAAGCTCAACCCAGCTGTGAAAACGGCAATTAGCCGTGGAGCAATTGCCCTGCAAGGGAGTGCCCACCTGCTCTTGACGCCGTTCTCACATTCACCTTCCAGAGCCGAGTTAGCAGGAATTCAATGGAGTGGTCATAACATTGGTGCTTATTTTTGGAGAGGCGGCAAATTTGCTCAGCATACAAAGGAGTGGAAATAGATTCTTTCCACCCCAACACCCCCTGCCTTTTGAGCTTTTAGCCTTTGTTCATATGGGCACTACAGACCATGTTAGTGAAGTGCAGCTTCTGACTATGGTGTTGAAGGATGTCTTCTGTGAGGCCCTATGCAGAACTGATTCCCCTGAGAGTGATGAGATGCTGCTTAAGGTCAGACCTGAGTCGACTTCATTTCTTCCAAGATTGTTCAGCCCTAATTTGTACATTCTCCTCCCCTTCTCAAGGTTCTTGCTTTTCTTTAATACGGATCAAGAGATGATTTCCTCTGTGATGGGTCTTTTTATGTTTGCATATGAGAATGTAACAAACATCTGTGTTGAGCCTTTGTTCTGAAGGGCTCAGGGTGTTTTGCTCCTGGTCTTTTGTCATTGGCACATTCTTTCTTTAACTAGGGAGCAGACAGATATTACAGAATTTCCCATTCAGGGGTGAGAAAATGGGGCACAGGAAGCTTAAGCAAGTTGTCTTACTGTGGCTGCAAAGCAAATGAGTTGCAAAAAACCATTGGTGGAATAAATTTTCTCTTCCCTCTTTCCACTTGGCTAATCTTCCTGTCATAAAAATAACCATCATAGTACTGTCTCATATGTATCAGACACTTCCTAAAGATGATCTCATTTGAGCACCTGTATCCATCATTTCAATGAATGCTCACAACAGCTCTATGAAATGCGTATTCTATTTATCCCCATTTTACAGATGGAAAAGCTGAGATTTGAGGTATTGAATGGCTTGCTTAAAATCATACAACTTGGAAGTATTTGAGCTGGGATCCAAGCCTCAGCAGGGCCCAGCACTCTTAATTGTTACATCTATACTGACTGCTCTTTAGGTAGGGGACATTAGGGCAGAAGCCAAAGGTCGTGACCTGGCAGTCAGTGGCCCAGTATGGATTCCAGTAGTTCATTGGTCTGTCTTCTTTCTGGGCTTTGGTTTTCTTATCTGTAAAAGGACTGGACTGTGCGAGGCACTTTTAAGGTCACAGTGTTTCATAGTAGACAAATTACATGAAGGATTTGAAATCAAGCAGAGGTGGAACCTTGAGAAAGTCACTTAACATCTCTGAGTCTTGTTTGTCATTTGTGGAGTTCTTAATTCCTGATAAGAATCAGCTCTCTGACCTAGTGTCTGGCACATAACATCCACTCAACAAATGCTCTTTCCTTCCCCATTTTCCTCTCAATAATAATACACAGAGGCACAATGCTCTTTCTCTCAGTGGTGTCTTTCGTGTCTTGAAGATCCCAGTGAGCCTGGAATGCCCAAGAGACAATAAATGATGGAAGGCAGGGGAAAGCGGAATGCTGGGCATTGGATATGGTATACCTTTTATCCATCCACAAGGGAAACTTTCATTAAGTAATTTGTGCTTGGAACTGGGGGAGGACTAGCAATACCCTTTGTGCCCGGAAACTGGGCCTAGTTTGACATCCTTGGAATTTGCTTGGCTTGTTCATGCAAATGTCCAATCTCTTCCCCTTTCTTTCTGTCCAGTCTGACTTATGACTTACGTATCTTATGTTTTTCTAGCATGCAGTTATTTTTTTTAAGAGCCAGAATTAGGCATATATAACATAATACAGTGCCGGTTACTACACCTGCCATTTCTGCCTTACCTGATGACTGAGCTTACTGCAGCTTATGAGAGTGAATCAGGTTTTATGAGATCTATAAATATCTCAGATCGGATTTTTATTTCATTTTCCCCCTTCAAATAAGACATAATGGAAGCACTCACATACATAAGGAATATTCTTTCTGTGATAAAGTAGGGTGTTTTTGAATTGGCCTCTGAAAAGCAATAATTTGATGTGGTTGTTCCTGTTGAGAGTTTTATGGGGGAGGGGAAGAATCATGCATATGCTGCTATAAAACTCAAAAGATTATATCTTCATATTTAAGGTTTAGCCTAGCACCTATGGAGAGATTTATTTCAGAGATGCCAGCCCTGTGTGAAGGCTGCATTCTCTCCTTCTGTAGATTATATATTTGTGTTTTCTTAGCTACAGAGAAACCAGGGAAGGAAAGTCCCATTGGCTAGCAGGAGGTGGGCTCCCCAAAGGAACTTTTCAGTTCTTTGTCTAGTCTCTTTCCAGCTGCCCCAAGGGAGGATGTTCTCATCTTTCTCTCTACTTCATGATTTTCCTGCAAAGATTTTCCACTACTTGATATATCTCACTGAGGTTTTTTTTTCCCCTGGAATTACACTTAAGAAAAAAAAAAAGATTCTTAATAGCCAATACCAGGAATGGAAGTTATTTTTCTCACTTTGCTCTTTGAGAAGCATCTAGAAGGAAACTTGAACACCTAACTTTAAAAAATATATTACAAAATAAACCATGACACAGCCATGGTAAGTGTCTCACTTTACCTCTCTGTAAAATCAGCTCTGTTTGCCATGTCTGACTCAGGGCAGTAAATTTAACTATAAATTTAACTATTGTTTTTGAGAAACAAAATGTCTGACTCTGAACCTTTCATTGTTGTTGTTTTTTCTTTTTTAGTACGACCTCCCTCTATTTCTTCCCCCAGTTCTCACTAGCTTTGTGTTTAACTAGATGATAATTTAATTTGTTCTTAAAAGAATAAACCATGTGAACTGAGTATACCTGAACCAAAGGTGTGCGGAGGACTTTGGGTTAATGTCATTTTTATTTTTGCTGTTGTTTAACATCATCTCGGTGTGTAACATAATCCTAGCACTTTGGCTTTGCTGTATACACTCGCTGCTCTGTGGTTATCATCAAATGATGTGACTTCTCTAGTCCTCAGTTTCCTCATGTGAACAGTGTAGGTAGATTTAGGAACAGTGAGATTATCAGACATACAAACAGTAAGCTCCTAGACTGAACTGGCTTGAAGATGTGTTTTATTTGGCCGGCATGCATATTTCAATTCCCTTTAATTTGAATGCTTTTAGACAGATCGTGCACTCTTCAATTAACCCTGTCCCCACTATTTCCACCTCGCTTAATTTCTGATCTCTGGCCCAGTGAGCATGCATTTGGGCTTGTGACTAGCATCTCTCTAAGGCACCTTCCGCTCCAAAATGTTCTGATTTGGGGACAAGCTTTATTTATCAATCACAGTCTCAAACTGGCTTGCTTTCTGCTCTCACCCAGAACCATTTTCATTTCCTTTTAGATTTCTCTGCCTTGTTGAGTGTCTTTGTTTGGGATTCTATTTTATAAAGCAATTTCCAAATCGCATCTCACTTTTTCCTAGTCATTCAGGTTCTGTTGTAGATCATCGAAATCTGGGATGGAAAAGACCATCTGGTTCACCCCTCCCCCTGCCTGGGCTTAGCAGTTGCTCTAGAGCATGTTCATTCCTTATTGGTATTTGTAACATTTTCCAATTTGGAAACTGACTGATTTTCCTGAGCATGCAGCCTCTTGGTCTAAGTGGGAGTAAAATGAGACAATACCAAACAATTTTTTTTTCCCATCAGACATCCCTCATTAACAAAAAAGCCTGCTATTGTCACAGTTTCTTTTGCCACTCCCAGAGACCCAGCTGGTCAGTTGTAGTAAAAACTCCGTGTGTGTGTGTGTGTGTGTGTGTGTGTGTGTGTGTGTAAGAAAAACATGTAACCAGTTCTTAGTTTTCTTAGTCTGACATAGAAGCATGTTGTAGAGAATTCCATTAACCGCTGTAACTGCTTATTTTTTTGTGGAAGTGGATTTTATATGACTTGTTTCACTGAGGAAGTGATGCTTTTTGTGTGAAAAAGTCCAGGGTATTATAATAAAGTACTTTCCTGAGAATCAAGTAATGTGTTTTCTTCCTACCCTTGGCACTCAAATACTGCCAGCAAGGCACTTGGCCTTCCTTTTCTAATGCTTTTAGGATGCTATTCTACATTAGGGGTGTTTTTAAAAAGTGTTTTCTTTTATATTGGCTTTCTTACATTACTAAGGATATCATTTAGGTTGACCAGATGGTGATTTTTAGGGTCATTCTTTTCCTGATTAAAAAAAGCCATTTAAAAAAATTACTTGCTGCTGGGTGTTCCTCCATTTTTCCAATCTCCGATTACTTTTTTTTCTTTTTAAAAAATTTTGAGTGCCAAATAAAGGCCCAAGATTATTACTATTTTGTGTGTGTGTGTGTGTGTGTGTGTGTGTAAAATTTTTCAAAACCAATGACTATTTGACTGTGTGAATTAGCTACTATTAAAATATTTCTGAAAAATATTTCTAAAAAGGAAGAGAGAGAAAAAGAAAGGGAAAGGCAGACATTATGTGGTCATAGAATGTCCTTGCACAGTTTTCCCTGCAAAAGAGAACCAGAATGCAAACCAGTTGTCCTCCTACCCAAGATGCGCCTGCCTTTTTCCTCCAGCTTTTGCACCCAGGAGCTCTTTTTTATGCCCCATATTTATAGAGACTAGGACTTCACAAATACCAGAACTTGAGGAGTATTAGACATCTCTTTCCGATCCCTCCCCCCTGCCCTCCTCAATTTGCGGATAACTGGCCTGAGCTTCAGAGATCATTATTTAAGCCCAAGCCAGTATTGGACCCTCAAGAATTGTGAGCCTCCTTGCAATATTTTAAACATATTCACATGTTAACACAAGGCATGGTGCAACATGGCTGAGGGAACTGCTTCTCGAAGGGTGGGCTGAGTTCCACAGGGCTTCATAAGCGCAGTGTTGATAACACAGAATTACCTCGGGAGGCAGTTTTATTCCCATTGCTGTTTTCTTTCAGTCCTTTTAACTCAAGGAGACAGTCAGCTTTGAGGTGCCATGTCTTTAACGCCTCTCTAAGGCTTGGTAAACTCTCCTCACCCCTCCTTTTCACCCTCCCTCCCTCCCTTCCTTTCTTCCTTTTTTTTTTTTTTTTTTTAATAAAGAGAACAGGTCTTACACTCAGAGCTTTTGACAGGCAAACCTCCAGTTGAAAGTTTGTAATATTGTTTTGATTTTGTTGTTTTTAATTTTATGATTATCTTCTATTAATGAACATTTGCAGGAAAAGAATTTAAAACACATGCAGCCTTAATATATAATGCCTTAGTGAGGCAAGTAAAAATGAAAACAATAGGGGAATGATTGTACAGATGGAATGCTGATTTGGTAAAAATCCGTGAAGGTGAAATGAAATTGAAGTTTGAAAAATACCGGTGTCGTGGAAAATTCAAGGGATTTGGCATCAGAAAACCTGGAATTTAGTCCTGACTTTATCAGTATAAAACAAAGCAAATTATTAAATTATATTTCCCATATGAAGTGCAGGGCTTATGATAGTAGGATTGCTCTAATCAAATGCTATATGGATGTGAGAGTGCTTTGTAAACTGTTACATGCTGTACGGTGTAATTGTTTTCTATTCTGCAGTGGGGGAGGCTTTTGTTTCAAGCCTTAAACTATCGCTTCTTGTTGGCTTTCTTCCTCTTTATGATTTCTATTCAGTTTTCCGAGCAGGAACTTAGTGACTTTTTATTTGTTCCAGTGGGGCTGTTACTTGAACCTTAATTGTGGTACTTTGAAAAATTTCCTACTGGTTGTCTAAATGGGGACGTAAAACTTTGTAATTTATTTCGTGTGTATTCATGTGTGTTTGCTTTAAGCTAAATTTTGCAAAGTAAACTTAGTCTGTGGAATACAGTATTGTATAACTATTGGATAGATATAATATGCTTCTCTTTAGTTTTTAAAATACATTCTTAACAATTGTATTTTACCACATTCATGAAACAATCATGTGCATTTGTATATGTCTGTATGTGTGTGTGGTTGTGGGGGAGGGTGGTAGTGGTATTCAGGGATGAAGGAAGTCTGGGTTTTGGGTAAAACTGAGAATTCTGGGGACTATTTGCTTCTGAAAGTAGACATCTGTGTGGCTACAGTGACTCATTAACAATACACTGTCACATGTTGTTAGATAATAAGAAGACGGGGACTTACCTGGATAGGAAGTCCTGGACTTACCTATATGTCTACGTCCATGGAAGCCTCCTAGTTTATGGCACACTG
The DNA here is from genome assembly GCF_000001405.40 of Homo sapiens. Lineage (NCBI taxonomy): Eukaryota > Metazoa > Chordata > Mammalia > Primates > Hominidae > Homo > Homo sapiens. Next base: position 207,149,867 of record NC_000002.12, on the reverse strand, counting down.
GGGTCAGAATGACAGAGCAGTATGTTGCTCTTGGAGATGCAGACTCTTGTCCTAGCCCAGGATAAAGTTGGTAGAAGGTTACTGCAGCTTGGAAGGAAGGTTGAACTCAGACCCGAGGACCACATTGACTGTGTTGGCCAAGCCCCTGTGAACTCTTCAAATGAATATGTTGAGATTTACATCCTGCTTAAGACAGGTGCCATACTGACAAGGATTGGGGAGCCCAGGTGTCAGGTACAAAGCTGCACTCTCATACTGCCTTACCTAGAGTACTGGTTGAAATGAAGGCATATCTGCAGCTCTGTCTGTGAGAGGCTCTCCCGATGTCTTCCTGTTGCCAAAACTGTGGCAGGAGTGCCTTATCAACAGTGGACAGCACCACCGCTGAGCAGAGTGTGAGCACAGGAGTCAGCCGGGATGGATCATCAGAGATTTCTTGGACTACTAACAGTGCTGCCAGTAGAGCAGATATGGGCAAGCCTGGGATATGGGCCCAGGAGGCCCCTTTCTCTATGTTAGTCTGGCACCCCTGCTGAACCTCAGCAGTGATAAGTGCTAGAAAAATGTATGGCTAGTCTAGAAGACAAAGGCAGAGCCTCCTGGAGAGAGAGTGACAGCGCTGAGTGGGGGTGTTGCTTTTAACAGATTTTTAATTTTTTCTCCTCAGAAAATTATTGAAGATCATCTCCAAAAAGAAAACACACCAGTTTCTTATTATTGACTATGAAATCAACATGACTGGGTGGGACTGGGGAAAAGACAGATTTATCAGTCCCTAAGAGCTGATGGAAACTGCATCCTTTAGGTGGAACACAGAGTTGGCTGTAAGGAGACATTCCTTTGTTTTTGTTGTCTTGAACAAAAGGAAGGACAGTAGATGACACAGGTAATGACTGGGTATATCATATATTAAGGGCACCAAGAATTTAGAGAATGGGGAATCAGGTGAGGGTGGAGGGGTGATAGGAGATCCCTGCCCCCAAAGCAGATGTTGGCAAAGGAAAAGTCAGAGAGCAGGAGTCATAAAGATGGCCCCGGGGAGTCAGCCTGGTAATGTCAGTGAGTGAGGAAGGCACAGTATAAGGCACTAGAGAGTGGTGGGAACTGTGGTGACATAGAAAGTATAGACCCTATCTGAAGGGGCAGTTGCCATTCATCTCCAGCCAAATACTGCTCAAGAGAGTTGCAGAACCTGTCGCCAGATCTTTTGGTTTTTCAAGAGAAGCTAGAAATCTGAATTTTTATTTGAAGTCCCCTGATTTTAAAAAAATATGGGCAAAATGAAAGTAGTATATATGTCAAAAAACCATTGTGGGCTGGATCTGATCACTAGGCTACCAGGATTTTTGCTCATTACTATCTTTTTGGGTTGAGTAGCTTTGTCTTTATACATCCATTCAAAGCAAAAGCTTGCATGTAGAATGACCATGGGAAGCAGTACCGCATGGTGGCTTGGGAGGAGCCTCTCTTGCTGTGCCTGACTGGGTAGACCCTAGGTCAAGTCGAGCGGGTCCCTGAAGCTCACAGCTTCCATTTGCCCTGGCCCCAGACTTCCATGAGTAAGTGAAGGTGAAGAGGGACAGGAATGTCAGCCTCTCAACCAACCTCTGTAGGGATTTGTTGGGACATACCTTTGGCTCAAACTTCCACATGAGAAATTAAATTCTGGGATCAGGAATGTGACAAAACACTTGAGTATGCAGCTGGATTTTTGCCACCAATTTGATTTACAGGGAAGTGTTGCCATAAAATGCTTGAGATCATGAATTGGACAGACTCCCCATCTGGAGAGCCATACCTTTCTCTGTGAAATTAAATATTTATGTACTTTTAAGGTTTAGTTTTGATTTTTAAAAAGCGGGTAGAAGCTTAACTATTAAAAAAAAAATGCTTCAGATCAAGTGGTAACATTCCAAGTTCACTGCAGTTAGCTTTATTGGAAAACATGGTTTTGTCTTTTAAAGAAAATCAAACGCTTCCTAAAACATTTCAAGAACTGGCTGATGTTACAACTTTGGCCAGCAGAACCCATCGAAGCCACCGAGGCGAGGGGCTGGTGTTAGTATCCGGCATATCGTGTTACACAGGAGCTTCGCCAGCTTCTCCCAATGGCGCCATCTCATGTAGCTATCCTAAGACGTATTTTATTTTGAGCCACTTTCTCAGAGGGAATTGGGTGGGTGTGGTCGTAAGAACACCTAGAAAATAGGGGTGAAACCTTTATGGGGCCAGGGGAGCCATGGCAGAGGGTGGAGTGGGGGATAGAAGCCTTCAGACTCCTCCGCCCCAGCCACTCTGCACCTGGGGCCTTTCAGCTGTTAAAATGAAAAGCCAATTATCTTCTGTAAATGAGGGAAAAAAAGAAGGAATAAAAGTGTCTATTATGTATGCTGATATGCATAACACTTCAAATAAAAGGATATATAAGCACTTGACAAATTGAGGGAGAAGGAGGGGAGAGTGCTGGGGGCAAAGAAAGTCAGATTTTTACTTTTTATACCTTTTCTGTTCTGTTTCAATGTTTTTGACCTTCATATATGATCATTGCTTTTAATTTTTTTAAGAGCAATTTAGGTGATGGAATGGTGGACCACTTATGTTATCCTGTGTTTCTGTTTTTTGAAATTTTATTTGTTAACTGAAAAAACAGCAGGCATCTTAAGAGGACCAATAATTTGGACCACTAACCACTGTCTATAATTACAGTACAATTGCTGTTCTTTTAATGGGAGCAACAAATTTGCCACACTTCACCCCTCTCTTAACCTATTTGAGAAGATAGGTATAGGAACCAGACAGAGGTCAAATATCAGCTTTATTATTAATGAAACTGGATTTATACCCAATTGGCAAGTGCAGTCTCAATTTAGCTTCCCCATACTTCCCTGTGCCCAACCCCTTCTAGCCCATGGGCTGACTTATACCATGGGAAAGTATATGTTGCATAGAATAGCAGGTTGCCAGGAATGTCCGTGCCCTACCTGTCCTATCTGGGCATCAGTGGGGCATTCATGTTCTGGCCCCAAGCTGCTTCCCCCATGGAAGAGGGCAGAGTAAAGCCCTCCAGGAAAGAGGCCGGATGAGAGACAAATGGGCCATGCACTGTTTTCTCTTTCTTCCGTTTTTCTGGTTTTTTTTTCTTCTTTTTGTTTTTTCTTCCAATGCTACCACTTTCTCTCTTGAGCAGGAATAAGTAAAAGGAAGAAAGGAAGTCCAGAAGCCTTACTTCCAGGATATCCTGGAAGATACTTACTTGTGGGAGTGGAGATCCCCAAGGGAAACACAGGACAACAGAAAGGGTCCCCTAAGGAGAAGGAAGACTGAGAGAAGGGAATATTCCAGAGGAGGTAAAGGGGAGGATCCCATAAAGCAAGGGAAAGGGGTCTGGTGCAGAAAGCAAGACGGGAAGCAGCAGTGACAGCTTTATATTGGTCTGACTCAGGGGAAGGGGGCAAATCCATATTGTTCCAGGCCTTGGTACTTGAAGAGCATAGGCCAGAAAGTGACTGGGAGTCCTCAGGGGAGGGGAGTGATCTAAGATATGCTTAATTCTAGTGTGTCTTGAATTCCCCCAAAGTAACCTGCAAGAGAAAATGGAGAGAATGTGGGGAATATACATGGTAGCTTCAATGGAAGGAAGGGTGATATGTATGAAGAGATGAGAACAGGAGAATCTCAAAAACACCCTGGCTGCATAGAGGGCTTTGTGCTTTATGTATTCACCTGTCCACTTGCCTGTTGGTCACTTTATATCAGAATGTTATTTACTTGTAGTCCTGCAGTTGACTGGCCCTTGCTGGAGCAGGGTCCATCACCCATCAGCAAGGGATGAAGACATTAGAATGGTCACACTCGTTCATAATAAACCATTGCAACTCTTGAGAAGGAAGTAGAGAATGCTCAATTTCATCGCTATAATTTATTTCTCTTTGGTGATTTTTTGGTTCTCTTTCTTTAGTTCATTCACTTAATTTCTCCACCCTTCTCCTTCCTTTCCTCATTCCTTATCTCTTTCTTCCTTTCCTGGGGTCCTTCTGTGTGCCCCACACTGTGCTAGGTGCTGAGGATGCAGTGGTGAACCTGACATTGCCCATGCTCTTGTGGAACTTAAAGTCTAGAGGTGGACCTGGAAGATAAATAGGCACAGAAGTTTAAATTGTGATTGGGAAATAAGGGAAAGATTAGGGTGCCAGGAAAGAATACTCCTTAGTGACATTCACAGTCACATCTGACATAATGAAGGAATATTTCTACTCATCTTCCCAAAAATATTCTTCTCAAAAACTTTTCCTGAAAGTTTACAGTTACCACTCAAAAGGAATCTAAAATGGAACAGACATTGAGAACACTTACAACTGACACCTGTATTTCATTTATGATTAGTCTCTTTTTGGGTTTGATAACTTCCCATCCATGTATCTACCTGTAATTTTCATCTTGCTAAGCAAAAAAGTTGTCATACTTTATATAGTAGGTATATTGCCAGTGTTGAATAGATGTATTATTGTTTAAAGGTTCATTAAAAGAAACTCTCAACTTCTTTCTTAGTGTATTTGTAGTATTTCTTCCATTGGAAAAAAATGAGTGAAGAATAGGAAAAGTTATTGGGTCTTTCCATGTTACATATTAAATCATGTCAAATAAGAGATTTTGACTGAGCCTGCCAGTAAGGTCTTAATGATACGTTACTGCACAGTATTTCCTAACAAAGTCTGTATACATGTAAGCAGCAGGTAGTTATGGTCATCAGTGGTGGCAATTCGTTTTTACAATATAGATACGAGAGTTCCATTCCTTAAGTTCTGCCCCAGAACGGACTGGTGAGTTGTCACTGTCCCTGTTGACAAATGTGAATAATAACTAAAAATACTTCAGGCTGCATTTGTCTGATTCTGGCTTGGTATGTGGCTAAAGGGGAAAAAAACCTTTCTGGGAAGTGTGATGCTTCTTTAACAGCAAATGGATTGAATTGATGCAAGTCTGATGTGCAACAGGGGGTACTTAACCTTCTATCTAGAATCAAACGCCAGAATTGGAGAAGCTGAAGCCAACCACGACTTCATAAAGATAAGACATTTACTTGATCTGCATGACTGGAGGAAGGATTTGGGGACTAAGATGTGTTTGAAAACTTAGTTGGTTTACTTTTAATGTCAGCAGATTTGCTGCCCTGAAATGACAGATATGGAAGCTGCTTGGGGATAGTGGCAGGATGACCGAAAGACCAGCACAGATCTTCAAAGAAAGGGGAAGACTGAGCCACCCTGTGTTCATTGGGTATCATGGGAGTTGGTGATAGAGGCAGTTGGCTTGGGTCATATGACCTATGAGAGGGAAACAGTGACCCAGCTGGGTGGGAGTCCTAGGCAAATCAGAAGGAACACAAGGATAGGGTTGGTGGTGTCATTTTCATGAAGTAGAGCTATTATTTCGTTCTGGTGAAAAAATGTATAAGTGTTCATTTGGGTACTTGTCGGTAACCCAAGAAAACAGAGTGAAAAATGATTGACAGTGGATGCTTTAAAATTTGTGACTGCAGATGAAGGAGCATCCCATTTGTATGACACATTTAAAACTTCTGCCTTAGGTTAGTCCCTTGACATGACTTTTCACTTGCTGGCATTTTGGAAGTCTATGCCAAATGACAGCTCTCTGCCACCCAGCCTTTGCTCAGTCTAGCTATGCTTTTTTTTTTTTTTCTCCCCCCCGCTGTGACGACTCCTAGACCAGGGCCAGGGTTTTTATGGGAGCCTCTCTACATTGCGTTCATCTGTTGCGCTTACACAAGCAGTTGCCTCCCTTGAGTTAAGACTCTAATGAAGCATGCTTTCCCCTGGAGCCAGCCTGCCCCTCCCCTGGCCTCTCTCTCTCCACCAAGGCAGAGAGCGAAGCCCTCTCTTATGATATTGCAGAGTTAATAATGCTGCTCTATTGGTTTTGTGAGCCTCTCAGTCACAGGGGGAATGTGTGGGGGATGGGCCCCAAGCTAGGAAGTGTGCCTCCTCTAACTCTCTTTCCGGCCCTGAAGCTTTTGTTTTGAATCTGGAAGCTTCAGACCAGGGCTGGATTTCCAAAGGTCAAATGTGCCTGCACATTTTGTCCTTAATGAGTGAGCCTTGCCCTGGAGCCCTCGCTGAAGGCGCCTGCGTTGAATCTGAGTAGTAGCCACAGAAGCAGTAGCTCCATAGCCAAATCCATTTGCCTGACATGCCACCCTTGAGAGAGCCTCCACGAGCCACTGAGGGTTACTGGCCAGGAGAATGTGGTCATAAATGCATGTCTACAGGAATGGGTGAGGTTTCCTTTTTGCTTAGAAAGCCAGAAAAACATCAACAGAGAGAGGCTACAAAGCAGAAAAACATACCCAGACTCCGAACCTTCAGTTCCCTCAACTGACAAAATACTTGAGGGTTTTAAATAGAAACAGTTTAACTTTTTTTTTTTTTTGGTAAATGGAGGGATTTTTTTTTTTCATGTCATTTCTTTTGTTCCTCTTCCTCATTTTCTTCTCCTCCTCCTCCTTTTACTTTAAACTTTACGTGTGAAGATCAACTGATCTCTGAGGAACTGACGTTTCTTTTATTTGATGATGAGAATTTCCTAACTCATTGTTGATCTTTTTGCTTCAGCTACCAGGCAAATCAGAGATGAGTTTAATTCTGTGCTTAATCCAGTGGCATTGTATTTTAGCTAAGATTTTTTTTGATAGTATTTATTTCCATCTTTTTGGGTTTTGTCCTCATTTTGATTTGTTATGTTTTTGTTGTTGTGTTGTTTTCTAAATTGGGAGTATCAGTCTGAAAAAGAAAATGCCTTGAATGATTTCTTTGACATTTAGGTTCAGGAATATCACTGGGCAACATTAATACGGCTACTGGGTTTCACTAATATCTTTTGAGCTCTTTAATCTTTCCCTGAGTTATCACTGAAGATCTAGAGAAACAGCTACTGCCTTTTAGAAGTGCGTTGGCAAAGCTTAACCCAGAGCAAACCACCAATGTAATTGTCAGCCAAAAATAGAAGACATTTTTTAGGCCCGAGGGCATGCATTTCTTGCTCCTCCGTAATGTGTACCCCATTCATCAGAATCCTAGACTGCTCATCCTTTTCCAGACACACAGTGGGGCTTTCACCTCTCTACACCCTTGCTCACACTGTGTGCACTTTTTAGAATGTCATTGTTCCCTTTCTCCACTTGGCAAAAGTTCACTCATTTGCCAAGGTCTGTTTCAAATGTGACTTCTTCACAAGGCCTTCACTGACCTCTGCAGGGAGAGTGAGTGGGTTCCTTCTCTGTGTTGCCATACCACTTCATTCAGCCTAGTGCTTAGTCGCATGTGCTGTGTTATCTTGAATTGCATGTATTTCTATCCCTCTCTTCCTGTGATACCATGAGCACCTTGTAGGCAGATATTGAGCTCTAGAATCGCTTGAAGTCTCCAGCACAATGTCCTATATAAAGTGGAAGCTCAGTAAATAACTGTTGAATTAATTTGAAAGAAGTACAAGATAACAGACCCTGCCCTGAAAGGCCATCAGAGTTCAAACAGGTGTCACCTGTTTATCTTAGCAGAGCTTTTTCTCCCCAGGCATTCATTATCTTATTGGGCAAAATCTACCAATCTCCCAGTCACCTCAGTGAAGAGCATGCAATGAAAAATAATAGTAGCTCCTAATCAAGATTTTTAAAAAATTCATTGAAGAAGTATTTATTGAGCAGCTATTGATTATGCCCAAAAGAAGTTTAAAGCTTGGTGCCAGACCTCAAGGCTCATTGGATTTGTCAGAGCTCTTGCCTCTTCCTGCTTGACATTTCATGGTGCCTTCTCTACAGATTTCTCATTCTTGTGACAAGATTCTTATTGAGAGCAGGGATTCCAGCCGAGTACTGCGGGGCAGGAGGAGCTGAGCAGGGCCGAATGAAAGTGCAGCTCATCATTATTTCCTTCAGCTGGGTCTCTCCTCAAATAAGGGATTTCTTAGGGAAACTGTGGGACGTGAGGCTTAAGGTTCTCCAGCTGATAACTACCCTAAGAGACAGTTATACCATAATTTGGATCCACAGGGAAGAAAGAACTGCCCAAATATGCCTCTGTTTTTTTCTTTTGCCTCTGCTTTCATTTGAAACAGAAGGCTCAGACTGGCAGCTGTGGGCCCTTTGCTTGTCTCACGCACTCTAACTTTTTAATACTCATTGCCAACATTGAAACAATTGGAGAGATTCCACATAAACCCCAAAAGATTTGGGCTTCCTTTAAAAACACTTGCCAACTCTGGACCTCTGTTTTCTACATGATATCGATGAGCTGGTGCTATGTACCAACTTCCCCTTTTAGATGGCATGTGCTATCCAGTTTACCACAGTCCCCACCCCTCATTATTGTCATATTCCTTGACTGTTTCACTAATGTATGTTATGCTCCTAGTCCCTGAATGTGTTTGAGTTTGATTCCTAACCTAGATTTATGGGAAGATGTGTTACCTTTTAGAGGAAAGCATCCTCAGAAATAGCATCTACCTACTGCAGCACCCTAAGGACAAGTATGTGGTCTTGTATCATGGGACCTTGTCTAGGAGACTGAGCAGAAACTGCAGTCCAGAGTCTGAAATTGAGATACCTGGAGCATGGCACTGCTATAAGCAGAGGGATCAGAGTAGGGAATTCCATTTTCCTCATACCCTGGTTCCCTAAGCAAACAAGATTTGGTCATGAGAAATTTATTATATTCACGGAGGATTTTCATACCATTGGGAAGGATATATATATAGTCCATTTTATATATCTCTATATATATACTAATACTTTTGGTTTCTTGATAAAGAAACCAGAGACTGAAGATGAGATGACTTGAGGAAACGCATAGAGCTAATTATGTAGAAGGAGCAGGCAGAAGTCATCCTGACTTTTGTCTGTGTTCTCTCCATGACTCCACATTGTCTTTTATTTTACATACTTACAAAAAGTCTCAAAGTTGAAGGATTTGGTGTCCAAGACGGATCAGGTACCCTTTACAATGAGATACTTAATTGCCTGCTTTTAACAGAGATGGTCTTCTACCAGCATACATTTCTGAATCACAATAGTCTTCCTCACCCACTGGCCCACCCTTCTTTTTAGTCTGTTACTAACAGGTGATTATAGACACAACTACTTTAATGTTTAGGCTCCATGTAGGGAGCAGGGCCAAGTGTAAATTGTGCCCTTGAGGTGATCTGCTTCCCAGAGTTTGATGATCCTCTTGGTTAGAGGTGTGTTACTGATGGGAGCAGCTACTGGCATCCAAGATTTTTATACAAGAATGAGATGCTTACTGTTCATCTGTTTTCCATTGCTCCTATTTTTACTCCTCTTGTTGCTTCTATTTCTTACATGCTTTTTTTTCCTCACTGCATTTTCTGTTTTGAACAAAAGGGATGGGTGATATATGATACTGGTGTTGGAAAATGCATTAGTCTCTAAGGACTGGGAGAAAAATGTTGACTTATTTAGTCCAATTTGTATTTTCATATTTATTAAAATTAGAAAATGTTTTTTAAAATGTTGGATAGCAGGTTCAAATCCCCCCTTTAAAAATTATATAAATTTGAGTTTCTATGTATTTGGTATTAATCAAATAACCAAAATAAGGTCTTCAATAAATTGTGTTTATAAGTTTTCTCAATTCAAATCTTAAAAAAACAGGCCAGGCCCAGTGGCTCATGCCTGTAATCCCAGCACTTTGGGAGGCCGAGGTGGGCGGACCACGAGGTCAAGAGATTGAGACCATCTTGGCCAACATGGTGAAACCCCATCTCTACTAAAAATACAAAAATTAGCTGGGTGTGATGGCGGGCACCTATAGTCCCAGCTATTCGGAAGGCTGAGGCAGGAGAATCGCTTGAACCTGGGAGGCAGAGGTTGCAGTGAACTGAGATTGCGCCACTGCACTCCAGCCTGGCGACTGTCTCAAAAAAGAAAGACTCTTGTCTCAGAAAAGAAAAAAAAGATCTTAAAAAATGATTCTAATTCTATCTGTTTTCCTCTCAATGACTACACTTGATGTTGACAGGTTGAAATGTCTGAAATCCCATTTGCTTTTAACAATTCAACCAAGACTTGCAATGACCAGAGAGAACTCGGAAATTGCATAATTAAGGGTGTTGTCAAAACCAAGACTATTTGCCCCAGTCTCACCAGGAGAGATTACGTAGAGAAATGTAGTTGAAAAGCTTATGAAATGAAGTTTGGGATCTGATGGTTTCCAACTTGAGAAGATCCAAAATCTTCATCAGGAATCCTTGTTTTTCCAAGGTACTAAGAGATAATGGTTTGTTGGATTTTTAGAATGTTTTGAGATCCTTGGTGGAAAGTTCAGGGTTGGACCAGAAAAAAAAAAACCTAATTGTTAGTGGCCAAGAAACTTTTCGTTCTGTTTCTGGTCTTTTTGGTAGTATGGTTACAGAACAGTGAAAAACTCAGTTTTCTTTACTAAGTTAGGTTCCCCATAAATAGGATGGGGATTTTAATCTTTGCTGCCTATTACAGTCTCACAGGGGGACTCCAAGGTTACAAGATTACCAGATAAGTATCGATAAGCATTTTCAGATGCTTTTCCCAAAAGAATTCTCTGTAAAAGAAAAAAGAAATGTATGTCATTTCATATGGAATGGATTGGAAAAATCCCAGTTTCACCTGGGAGTTAGAGCTGTTACAGCTTTGCTCCTGTTTCTGTCAGCCTGTTTTCTAGAGAAGATGGATGGTTTCTACAGGTCTCTGATTCAGTACCTCGTGGGCTGAAAGCTCAGGGCGTGCTTTCAAAAGAGTGAGGATAAAGCATCCCCTACCTTCGCAAAAAGGATCCTCTCATTCACATAGTTGTTAGCAAATCCTGATAGTGTAGGCGCCATTTTCATTTTCTTTTCCAAAAAAGCACACGCAAGGAAGAACTCAAGTTATTGAAGATCAAGCCAAATAAATGACCAAATTTCGTGGCAATCGCAGACACAGACACAAACATCGAAATATCTCCTTATTTAAGGCAGCAGCTCTGCTGGGGCCTACATTCCAGGATTCTCAGCAGAGAAAACATGTTTTCTTTATAGAGGAGTTTTATTAGCAGCAGTGTTCCGGTATGTGGTTCAGGTTAATTAATGATGTAGTCACACTGGTGTCTTGCCATGAGTTTTATTCTAGTAAGTAGGGCACTAGGAAATTGTATTGGCATATCTTGTCATGCCAAAAAAGAATTCTTAATTTGGACCACTAAAATACATTTCCATGGGATCTGTCAACAAGGTAGTTTAAGAATTCTTAATGTGGATACTGCCTTAGACTAAGAATGAACTCACCATTAACTATAAGTAGCAGATGCAGTGGTTTCAATGAATATATGCTGTTCTTAAATATTTTTTTGGCTGAGATGATTGAGACCTCAAAGACCCAGACCACCCACAAGCTCTGGTGGAGTTGACCTTCATTGTATGAGAAGATTTGTATCAAGGACCACCTTTTTCCCATGAGAGTGTTTATTAATTTTAAATCATGATGGTGTTTTAAAACTTAATTTGTGTTGTGCATATGTAGCAACCTTCCTTGGAGGTTGAAACAACAAAGCAACTGGATTGGAAATTAGATTTTCCCCCTTATGCTGCTAATGTAGTTCTTGCTCCACTGGGATTTCTCCTTTGCATGGGCTGATGATTTCTTTGAAACTATATGGAAATTGGTTCAGACAGGAACAAAGGGGAGAGGGGATGGCAGTGATGATTCAAATTAATGTCTCTTCCTCAATGAGAGTCTGGTGTGCCTGAAAGTGCATGTCATTCGGTATCAGTCAAGCCACCTAAGGTTAAGTGAGGTGCCAGAGCTACTGGAATCCAAACTTCAGGGTCTCAGCACTTGATTTTTTTCCCTGTCATGTTGGGTTGAATTGTTAATTTGAAATCTGCAACATTGCAATGGGGTTCAGAATTGGGCAAAGCACAATTTTACTTTTCTTTACATGATGGAACATCAACTCTTCCCCTCTCCCTCATCTTTCCCCAGCCAGGATGGGAAAGATTCCTATTGCCTGACATAATGAATAAGAGAAAGAACATCTTTGTGACTCTAGGGACAACGAAAGATTTAGAGAGAGAGGCATCCAAAATACATTAAAGAGAATCTACACTTCATTAACAGTGGCACACTATGCACATGTGAATGCACACACACACTCACACTCATAGGAACCCTGTACTGCTTATATTCCATATTTCCATCCTCCACTCTTGCCTAGTTCAAACTCCATACCCTCTTAATTGGATTTTGGCTCACTTCCAGGTTCAGTGTTCGAGGGTTCTGTATCTGTGAAATAATGATCCTGAAATAAATAGCACTTCTCAGTAGAGATACCTTTTCATGTAAAATTCTTAAAGGGAGTGGGAGGGAAGGAAAAGCTTCTGTGTTTAGGAATTTATGGCAAAGATACCAGGATGGGCCCACATAGGAATTTTAAAGGACCTCACCTGTGTAAGTGGTGTGTGGGGCTTACAGAAAACACGAGTCCTCGCCAACTGCTAGGTTTGAATGGACCTCTTCATTTAAGGACCTTTCATGTAAGGACTGATAGAAGTGGGGCTGCTAATGTCAGGGAATGAATTCCTGTGACCCTCAAGTGCTTCAGAGACTGGTGGCTGGAGTTGCCTTTCTCAGGGACATCCTGTTAGGTGACAGAAATGGGAATAAAGTGGGCTGAGCCTGTCTCTTTGATCTGTTCACCCAGGATACCAGTTAATAAGCAGTCATTATGCAGGTGAGGAGAGGGGAGGGGTGGGTTTTGTTCATGTTAGTGAATGCATGATGCAATATGGACTGCTGAGGAGAAAAGCCCTCTTTGTGTCTATTTGAAATGGGCAGCCACAAGCACCCACAACTGACCTCTCCACCTTGAAAAGAGGCTCCATTTGGCTTCTGTCTGATGAGTACGAAGCAGCAAGTGCCTTCTCAGTGTAAAAACTCGCACTGAGGAGAAATGATGAGGGAGCCTTTTGACCTAATAAGGTGAGCATTTTAGGATAGATTTTCTGACTGGAGACACCAGCTCACGTGTTCCCTGGAATTCCGGGATTGATTAGTGGCTTCATTGGTTCACTGATTGATTCAACTAGTATGTTTTGGATGTCTTTTCCAGGTACTGTGCTGGGTGCTGGGGATTCACTGGTACATACACTAAATCCCTGTTCTCCTGAAACTTCTATGTTAATAGGGAAAGATAAACGATAAACATGCAAGCAAATAATTTAGACCTTTCCAGGACTTGGTAAGTTCTAAAAAGCAAATAAAATGAGGTAGTATGATGAAGAATGAATGGGCTGTTTGGCCTAGTTTCTCTAGGCAGGTCAAAGAAGGATTCTCTGAGTAGGTGACAATGAAGCTAAGACATAATCGATGAAAAGGAAACAGATGTGCAGTGACCTGGGGAGTCTGCGTTCTGGGATGCGGACGGAGTTACTAGGGCTCTGAGAGAGGGATGAACTGGGGGCATTTATGCGAGAAGTGTCCTGTCTGAAGGGGAGAAGCAGAGGAGTAGAAAAGAGTAAGGTCAGATCATGTAGAGTCTGGTTTGCTGTGGTAAGGAACTGAGAGTGACAACAGGCCACTGAAGGATTATCAGCAAGAAGTTTGAGCCAGAAAGAGTCTTTGAGAGTGTGGTTCATCCATTTTTTTCAGGGAAGGAAGTGAATTCTCTACTCAGATTCAGTAGTTTGCTGGAAAGGGAAGGGGTGGTGTGGGAAAGGCAGGCGCTGAACCTGATTCCCAGGCCAGAGTTCTTTTCACCAATAAAAAATGACAGTTGAAAATAGCGTTTTGTTCACTCATCCTAATTGCTTCTCTTCCTGGTGGTTTCTGGAGGCCAGAGGAGAAAAGAGGAAGTGGCAGAGGGAGAGGGCATTCTCCAGGGCAAGGAGACAGCTTTTACTTCCAACACAGGTGCATACTCTCAGGGCTACCCCGTGAAGCTAAATTGGCCTCTCTGTTTAGAAATCCGGATCTGTCCCAGACAGTAAGCATTTAATTTTTTTTTTTTCCAAATGAAAAACGTTAGAGACAAGTAAATAACACCTATAGTTAAATCTGAAAATACTGACGTGTTCTACCAGAAATGTTGGTAATAAACACATGCACACTGCTTCTGATGTTCCTTTGGTGAAGAAGGAAGAATTTCTGGCTTTCATGATACTCTTGAATCTCTTCCTACCCAGGATTGTGATCACTGTTGACTTTCACTTTGATTGTTTGGGAGTTGATTCAATTACTCATTCATTCATTCATTCATTTGACAAATGCTTGAGGCAGGCTGCAAGTCAGGCACAGGTCTGGTATCTTTGAAGAGTCACATTCTTGTGAAGTTTACGTTTTAGATGTTGTGAGGCTTGTATCCATGGTGAAGCAGGAAATTAAACCTTCATAGCATCCTGTAAACATGGATTATTGAGTGTCTTAGGGCTTTTAATAAAGGCCTTGAGGTCCCTGTCAGAGGAGGGTTCAAAGACCACTTTCTTCCAGGTTCTCCAAACCCTTTTTTTTTTTAACCACTCAATGACAGCAGAGCTATCTATCAGTTCCTCTGAACTTGTTCTGAATGAGCTTTTCTTACTGTTCAGTCTTCACTCTCCTATTACTGTTTTGCTTCCTCATAGAATTCCAGATTAGTGGGCCCCTGGAAGTTCAGCTGGTAGATGAGAAAACTGAGCCCATTGAAGTTAAAGTCACCCAGCTAGTCAGGGTTGATCTTCCCAACTCAGAGTCCCCTGCTTACTTAAACTTTTATATCCAACAGGTTTACTTCCCCTGGAAACTTATTTGGTATTTTTTATTTTCCATCTCCATGCCCTCGATAGGTTTCTTTATGTCTGTCTGGAAGTGTAATGAAAAATAACACTAGTTATTGAATAGCTACAACATACAGAGTGTGCATGCCCAGCCCTTCCAAGTACTTGGCATGTCAATTGATTGAACTCTCACAATGCTTCTGCGTTGTAGGTACTACTATTACCCCATTTTACAGGTGAGGAAACTGAGGCACAGAGGGGTTAACTTCTCCCAGGGGGATTGAGCTAGTGAGTAGTGTAACCTGATATTGGACCCAGGCAGTCTGGCTCCAGGGCCAATGCTTGGGTCCCTGTTCTTCTGCCTCTCAGTATGCGAATGGCCAGTCTGTTTCTTTAATTGGAGTGAGTGGCACTTGGCACACCCACACAGCCACCTTAAACATTGTGGGAAATCAAGTCCAAGTATCTCAAGTAACAGTACAACAATCCATATCAGGAAAAACAGCTTAGGGCTTGACTTCATTATGGTTTTGGCTGCCATTTTATGCATTCTGAGTAGAAGAAACATTCCTCCTAGCGCCCCCACCTTGTCTTTAACATTCCGCAGTGGAAGTTCCTCAAAGCTCTCCGTTTTGAAAGCATCCTCTATGATTACCAGCCACTAAATTGCATCTGCCACCGAGGGCCCAATGGGCTTTGAACCTGTTATTCTTGGGAAATTCAAGCTGCGAGGGAGAGAGAGAACGTTGTACACGTGTGCAGCTGTGCTTTGGAGTACAAGAAGTAATCGTATGTGTCTGTGTGTTTTTTATGGGGGTAGGGGAAGGGTATATTAATTAACCCAACTGAGAAGGAGATGACTGTGTTCCAGGAAGGAGCCAATGAAATGAGTTTGCTTTAAAAAAAAAAAAAAAAAAAAATCCCAGTAGCCCGAGTCAGCCTGTGCAAGTGATTTGGGAGAGGAAGGGGAGATGATGTAACTGGTTCGGCATGTTCCCGTCTTGGCCAGTGAGTGTAAAGGGGCCCAGGGAGTTTGAGGAGGGTGTGTGAGTGTGTGTGCAAAGTTAACAGGAGCGGGTGGGGGTGCATAAGAGCGGGCTGTAAAACAGGATTAATAATGCCTTGTCAGACCTTTCCCTGTTACTGTGTTTTTCAGTAATTTTGGTTTGAATGAGGGCTCTCTAGCCAATTAATGTTTATTTGTTTCCTTTGGCAAGATCCACTGGGGGGAGGAATGAGATTGGTGAGTTTAAAATTTTTGTTTTGTTGTTGCATTTTGGAAGAAGAGGCGAGTAATGTGAGTTTGGGTTTTCAATGATGGCTCCCCCCCTCCCCCTCTTAAGAGGCAGGAGGCAAGACATGGCCAGCTGGTGCCTTGAACTGACACAGGTGCAGAGGCTGTAGGGGGTGGGGAGCCAAGAATAATTACAGGTTTCTGAAGCATCAGGCCCTGCCTGACACAAGCGCTCGTCAAGAAAACTGCTCTTTATGGAAAATTAATGGGAAGCTGAAAAAGCGACAGGGCCATTGTTGTTCTTAGGAAGCCATCACTCCTCTGAAAAGAGGCCTCCTCCCACGTCCTTGGGCTCTTGACGAACTGCTTAGAGTCCTCTCCTTTTGGAGCAGGGACCGACTGGTTGCCATTGTCATGGGATGTGATGGGTTTTTCCCATTGGAGTGTCTCTCCTGCATTTTCTCATTCTTAAATCTCACTTTCAGTGCAGATCCAGCCCTTTGCACTTCCCAGTAGTATGGGTAGGATTATTTTTATTGACTCTTTAAGATGTGAATTTCATTTTGTCCGTGGAAGTGTAATGACCAAAGCAGGGCCATCTAATGGAACTTGCTTTCAATCTGTATGTAACAAGTGGGATTTCCACCAGTGAGTGCCAACCTGAATAGGGGCCTGGTTGGGAGATGAGGGCATAGGAGATGAGGGGATAGCATACAGGAGCATCTTCTAGGCCCCAGCTCTGCATAAGCAGTGTTGTCTCTTGACTATTCAGAAGCTGTAATTTAGTTATAGTCCAGTGGCCAAGTAATAGTGAGCAATTCTTCTTAAGGGCTCTCTGCAACTGTGGGTAGAGGCCAGGCCAACAGACTCCCAGTCAGTATGTCCTGCAGAGTAACATCTGGAAAAACAACTCTAAACCAAGTTAGAGAAGCCTCTCTGTGCATGGGCCATCATGTCCCTAATGGTCGCATTGAATTTTGAGGATCACAGACATAATGAATGAGGAAAATGCATTTCCAAGTTGTTGGAAGTGTAGGGGAACCCAGTGCCTTCCTTCAAGCGGTGTGAGGCCTGGGCCATAGCTACCAGCTCTGCCCAGGTTATGTGACTTTAAAGCTCACTTTGATGGTTAATTTAGATTTGAGTTGTTTTGGGAATTTCTTTTATGCACTGCAACTAAGGAATCCTTGGAAGATGAAAGGGGTATTTGAGGCTGCTTTGCATCATGTGCCTGGGGAAAGTAATTTCAAAGACATCACCCTCTCCCCAGGCCTTTAATCTTGTCTCCTTTCTCCCCCTCCAACATCCTCACCACCCACCTCCCCAAGGAAACATATGCAAACAAATATTTTCTTTGTTTGTTGAAAATAGGAGAAGAGAAACATGGAAGAGGTTTTGATAGAAATTTTTCAGCTTTCATGTTTGTTTAGATTTAAATTAGTTTTCACAGCATTGTCTCTCAAAATTTACAAATTACCAGAGGGAAATATATAACTTGGTTTCAGCTCTAGCAACCAGTAGATGTGAGAAACAGTGGAAAGCAATGCAGTCTTAACATTTGTTGTAGTCCCCTGGTTATTTCATGGAGTTCAGCAATCCTGACAGTAATGTGTAATGCTATTGTACCTCTGGGGTGTGCTATTGTTGTGGGTTTTCTTTTAACCTAATAGCTTAAAAAAAATGCAGTAAGATTTTCACTCATACTGTCTACTTGATTATCCACATTTTCTAGATGAAATTCTTTCTCTCCTAATATTTCCTGGTCATGAAAGGCAAGAAAAAGTGAACATATGCTTAATATCTTGTTAGGAATCACTCTCTAGGTCTCCCAAGGTGGATGCTTGCACTGGTTCATGCATCCTTTCTGCCACGAGGTAGATTCAGTGTTACCGTCTTCTTCCTCAAGCCTATTTATAATGTTGAAACCCAGGAAGGCAGGCAACAAGGTTCAGATGCTTGGCATCTGAGATTGTCTCATGGACTTCCTGAGTTTATTAAGCATAGTACATCTTTTTCCTCCTCCTCCAACTCCTGTCAAAAATGTACCAGATCTCCCTGGCCATGCTTCCCACATCTTTTCCTGTCTTTCAATTCTGACTTAATTTTGAAAGCCTAGGAATGTGTCAGAATCATTACATCATATTATTCTTTGAAGAGAAAGAGAGTCACAAAGTTCCCATCAGTATCAGTCTTTGCAATCCAGATTTTCAAGTTGGTTTCTGGAGTCAGAGAATCTGCCTTTTTTGCTAAAAAGTGATATGTAAACACGTCTAGTAAGTTAGAAAAGAATGAGTATTTTAGAGGGTGGCTTGAAGAAAGAAGGCCACACATTTCCCTCCTAACAGTAGCTTGTTTTGTGTCACTCTGAATTTCCATTCTGGGATGTTTGAAGATTTCAAAGCACAAAAAAGCTAATTAAACTTTGGGACCCTCCCAGGAGAAAGGCAAGGGGTTTGTTTCTCTCTTTCTTTACTTGAAACTCTTTGGGGACTGTGACACCATGGTTAATAGCATGTGACAAAAACCACACAATAAATGTCAGAAAGGGCTCCCATGGGCAGCCAAGTGCAGTTTACCTGCTTGTGCAATTACTTAGGTGAACATTCTTTCTGGGAACCAAAGTCTGTCCCTTCCTCGCCAGAAGCATCATCCTTCTCACCACCATCATCATCATCCTTCAGATCCAGATCTGATCTCAGAGGAAGCATGACTTTGCAAGTTTCCACATGGTGGAAAGCTGCACTTTCCCATGCTTTTATATCTACATTCTGTCCCCAATTTGTTTAATCTCTTTGTACTTTTAACTCTTGGCCCTTTTAGGCGAGATAGGTGGAATGACTGAGATTAAGGGCAGCTGGCTAAAGGACCACAAATGACTGAAAATTGATTAGAAACATTGAGTGTAGTTGGTGGCCTTTTATTTCGTTGACTCTGTACCAGAAAAAGTCATTAGAAAATTGCAATTTCTTTATTTCTTTAAATTTGTTTTTTTACTTACTAACTTGAGTATACATGGATCCAGAGACTCCCAATAATTACCCAAAGTGGCATAGTTATTGGGTAGTAGCAAAAATATTGCACCAATGGTTTTGTCTTATGTTCAAATTAAAAGACACAGAAATAAAAACTGAACCTTTTATGTTCCAGGTGATTTGTTTGAAAAGTGATGGTATTGAAGAGGCTGGACTACAGTCTGCCCCAACTAAACATGGTTGTAGTTATAGTGGTTGCAATGGATGGGAGTTGTGAGACGATTCTAGCTCATTTTTTCAGAAAGTTCTAGCTCTTCCAACTCTCCATCACTTCAAACACTTAGACATATCTGCCATATGAGAAAACAGAGGTACAGGTTTAGCTCTAATCACTTAACTTTACTGTTTAGGAACGTATGGTATAAGAAATATCATTGCTTTTAAAATCATGATCTTAATAAACCAGACATCCCACCAATCTGTGGACTCTAAGATTCATTTTGGAAATACCGTTTAATTGTCCAGGGTTGAAGAGGAGTGTCTTTCAACACTTGACAGTCAGCGTATTTTCTTGACTCCATCTTTTTCTAGGTTGGGCTCCCTGAAGGGGATAGACTTTATGTTGAACTTTGAATGAAAGAATGATGAGTGGGAGGGAAGGCGAAAGGAAGATTGTTTCGAGCATATGGGCATGGGAAAGTAAGGACAAGAAAAATAGGTGAAGGAAAGAAACCCTTTAGGTAAGGGTCGTAGGGGAAATAGTCAATGTGACAGGAGATGTGTGCAATCCTGACTGGCAAGTTCCACGTAATTGGTGATGAGATAAAGACAGGTTAAACAGAAGCCATTTGGTAACCTTGGCACCATGCCCATATATAACCAAATGTCTTATATTGTTCTCAAGGCTGTGAAAGTAACTACCTCTTGTCAGCAGCAGAGAGCTTTTGATAAACTTAATATGTGCCACAAAACTTGAATTATCCTGTTTTCTTTCAACTTCTGTCTCTGGAAAATTCTGCCTCTGAGCAACAAAAAATGAATAATGATAATAGTGGATTACAATCCATAGGATAAAATAAAAATGAATTCATACTGATACAAACAAATGATTGAATAAATAAACATGGAGAGGAAAAGTCAGGTCCTCCTTGTAGGAAAATTATCATAGATGTAGTAGGCAGTAATAGGTTTAAAGTCTATTATTTTTTAACTAGGTCTTGGATTATTACTTTTAATAAGTGTGTTGCAACAAGTGAGAATGCTATGAAAAGCATGAAGAGAGTATTAAAAAAGGTTTCAAGATGAGCAGTTCAATATGAATTTCAGGTGATATTTATTAGGAAGCTAGGAGAAGCCATGCATTTCAAAGTTGAGATATCAAGAGAATCTTCACAAAGCTCATCTGTGACTCATCAATATAGAGGAAAATCACTTTGCACTCGGGAATATTTTCTTCCCATTGCTGACTGTAATGAATTTTTTAGGGGTTGGGGGTTGATCCAGTGGCTCAAGCCTTAAGTTGTATGGTTAGGTCAGGCTGAGGGAAGCCTTGTACCTCCGAGGTGAGTGCCAGACAGGCATAATTTGTGTCATTAAACTGACATTCGCTGACTCCGATTTGGAGTTTGCTGGCAAGAGTATCATTTGAACAGAGAAAATCTCTGGTTCTAGTGGAAAAACATTTGAACTCTCTATCCAAATTTACAGTTTAGGGACACTTTTAGCCTGCTGATGGTCTTCGTCTCTCCCTGTTTTTTGAAGTTAGTTTAGACTTACAGAAATGTTGCAAAAACCATACATAGAGTTACCAAATATTGTTTGTCCAGCTTCCCCTAATGTTACGCAACCATAGTTCAATTATAAGAACCAGGAAATTATCATTGATATAATACCATTAACTAATCTAAACACTTCCTTTGAATTACATTATTTTTTTCCACCAGTCCTTTTACTGGTTCAGGACCCAGGCCAGGATCCATTGCATTTAGTTGCCATATCTCCTTATTCTTCTCCAGTCTGTGACAACTTCTCAGTCTTTCTTTGTTCTTTGTGACCCAGCACTTAAAGAATAACTGGCTATTTGCTTTGTAGAATAGTCCTCAATTTAAATTTGTCTGTTTTCTCATGATTAGATTGAGGTTAACCATTTTGACAGAAATATCATAGAATAATATTGTATCCTTGTCAGCTTATCATATCAGGGGTACATGTGATCAATATTACTTGTTCCTTGTGCTGCTAATTTTGATCATATGGCTAAGGTGGTTTCTTCCAGGTTTCTCCACTGTAGAGTTATTATATTTTATCTTCATAATTAACAAATAAATATTTTGTTCGGTGGATACTTTGAAACTAGGCAGATACCTTGTTTCTCATCATAGATCTTTCTACTAGTTTTAGCATCCATTGGTAATTCTTAACTTGTAATCATTATTACTTTGCTGTTTGCCTATGGTGATTTTCTATTTCCATCATTCCTTCTGTGTTTTTGAATCATAATTTTACTGTAATGAGGAGCTGACCCTTTCCTTCCATCTTTTAATTTATTCAGTCATTTATTTATATCAGTATGGATTCAGGGATATTTATTTTATGAATTATAACCTATTATTATTCATTTGGCCATTGACAGCTCCTTTAAGTTGGCTTCTGAGTCTTTCTGACATGACTTCATCACTTTATGAGCACTTCCTTATCTTTTGGTACCACAATGATATTCTAGGCTCAACTTTTATTTTCATTGTTCCAGCCCTTCCAACAACTATTTCTCTAGGGAGTCCTGGTTCCCTTTATTGGATAATGATATTTAGAAACCAAGATCCCTGGGCTAAGTGTGCTCATTGCTCCTGGGGTTATCTTTGCCTGTAGCTTCTTTCAGTGGATGGAGTTAGGAAATATATGTATGTATACTCACACATGGATATACACATTTATTTCTCTATGTATGTATGTGTGTGTATATTAAAATCCATGAGGAAATACTAATACCTCAGTTCCCATCAAACATCATAGGGATTTTTTTTTTTGACACAGAATCTTGCTCTGTCACCCAGGCTGGAGTGCAGTGGTGCAATCTTGGCTCACTGCAACCTCCACCTCCTGGGTTCAAGTGATTCTTCTGCCTCAGCCTCCCGAGTAGCTGGGATTACAGGTGCGCACCACCACACCTGGCTAATTTTTTGTATTTTTAGTAGAGATGGGGTTTCATCATATTGGCCAGGCTGGTTTCAAACTCCTGACCTCAATTGATCCATCTGCCTCAACCTCCCAAAGTGTTAGGATTACAGGCATGAGCCACTGCACCCGGCCTGTCATGGACATTTCTTATGAGAGTTCTCATAATCATTTACAAACAATGTTGGAAGTAAATGTTCTCATTGGCTTGGAAATAATCTAATATTAGAATCCTCCTCATCCTTAACATTTTAATCTCCATACTCCTGATGAGAAAAGTCTTTAACCCCCTCACTGGGGTTTCGAATTGACAAAATCTTCTCCTCTACCTTAACTTCATCTCCAGCAGATATAAGAAGTGTATTTCCTAAGACAGCAATCATTTCATAATGATTTGACAGGACTGTCCCAGCACATCCCGATGGGTACTTATGCTTCTTCAATTTTCAGGAGGAGTAAAAATGCCCTGTATTAGGATTGCAAATTATAGCCACTCTGAAATGGTCCAGATTTTTCCACATTTTAGTGATCAGATGTCTCTCATCTTTAGATCATAAATATGACTCATGTGCTCCTGCAGTTCACACCAGGGCATACTGCATAAGTTACTTAATCCTCCCAGAAGAGTGTGTAAATGTATTTAGAATATCTCAGCCCTGCATTCAGATCTCTTCTGAATATGAAGAGATCTGAGCCTTCTAATAATCACAATATCTTAGTGACTTTTCAGTCTTTGGGCTGGATAGTATGTAAATAAATGGCATACAAAAACTCTATTCACAGGCAGTGATGATTGAGTATGTGAAAGTCATTGTAGAGGAGGCAGAGAACTACCTCAAGGACATCTGATACCCCATGAGTCAGCTGATTTTTTTTTTTTTTTTTGGTAGAAACAGGGTCTCGCTGTCTTGCCCAGAGGGCTGGAGTGCAGTGGTACGACCATAGCTCACTGCAACCTTGAACTCCCGGGCTTAAGTGATTCTCCCGCCTCAGCCATCAGAGTAGCTGGGATAACAGGCACAAGCCACTGCGCCCGGCAAATTTTCTTTTAGTTTTTGTGGAGACAGGGTCTTGTGTTGCCCAGGCATACTGATTTTTACCTAAAACATATCTGTGTCTCAAAGATCTGGTACTGCTCTTTGGGCAAAGCTCAAGAAGCATTGCAATTGTATTCCCAGAGATATGTATTAGTGGTCATTTCCAAAATTGCCCCCTCAGCATGGTACAGGGTAGGGTTTCAAAGATGGCTATTGAAGAGTAGAAGAGGTAGAATGATCAAAGTAATAGTATAAAGTGGGCTTTGTCTTTGACAGACATTATGTACCTGTTAGGTGCCAGGCACTGTGCTTGGTAGGTGATGATTCAGAAAGGGAAGAAGAAATTTAAGGGAGGTTTCAGGAGTAGAATCTTATAATTCAGAAATCAATTGAATGGAGCCAAGACTGAGGGCTTCAATATTGGAGAGATGTAAGTGATAATTTCTAGCAATGAGATGGAATAAGGAAGGGGAAATTTTTGAGAAGTGGAGTTCAGAAAAGAAGCAAGTGAGGATAATTCATATTTCTAGACCTGAGAAGGTCATCATACTGGTTTCTAATGTAGAGTAGTGGGAAGCTACTGAGTCAGAGCTATTATTTAATCAATAAGTAAAACAGAATCAAAACTTACTTTTTCACTAAGCTTTCCTTGATTAATACTACATTAATAGAGTATAGAATTAGGTGTCCACTCAGCCCCTAAGAACTTATCAACACATTTTATACTATTTTTTGGTATCACATTTCTATGTGAGTTTATGTAATTTTTAGCTTGTGGTTGTTTATTCTATACCTGCATCATGTGGACCTACTGCTATATCTTCTCCATCTACCACATACAAAGCCTTGTACCTTGCTGTGAGCACAGTAGTTGCATGAACACTTGTGACATGAGTGTTGAATGAAGACTGGAACCATTCATTAGTTCTTACCATTGAAAATCAACAGTGAGACCCAAAGCTGATTCATAGTTAAAAATCTGATTTTCTTATTCAGTAATGCAGAGTTTTACCAGAAGTGTGATTAAAAACCAGTCTTTTGAAATGTCACCAAAATAAAATCCTTGACAGATACAACACTACTAGGTATATCATTAAAATATATTCTTAACAGAATAAATGCCTAGAATCAGAACATCAGTTGAAAACATAGGAGCTTTACGGGGGCAGTAAATTTGGAACTAGTCACATTTTAAATTTGCCATCAGTGGGTCTTTGTTGAATCCAGAAGATAGAGCAAATTGAGCTGATAGTGCAAGTTAGCAACATAGTTTTATACAAGATTCTGGAATTGTAGGATTTTTGAGTGAGGAGGGCTTTAGAACAAACTTCTTAAATATCGACTTTTGCCATAAAAGCACTCCCCCATCTTACAAAAACTTATGAGTGCCATGGATGAAGATTTGTTGAAACTAAACTTTTTTGTTCTTCTCCCCTGTTTCTTTATCGGGTGAAAATTTTATGTTGAAATATATTGGGTCCTATCTTTAAGTGGTCTAAATAGCTATGTTTGAATTTATTTTTATCATGTAGTCAGAGATGCTAAACCATTGAAATGGGATTTATGCCCCTTGCCACAAAGTAATATAGCATTGTATTTTAAATGACTTGCTATAAACAACAAGGGTTTTGTCTTGTGCCTCAAAAGTTTTATGGTAGACATTCTTTAGAACAGTATTCTTTCCTGCTGGTTATGGAATCCATCCCCAAGGCAGGGCTTGCTGTTGTTTGATTGTTACTGAGGTCACCTCTTAGTTTGAGTGAACATGGCTTGTTCTTCAGAGCAAGTGGGAAAACTGACTTACTTGTGTGATGTGCTCAAGTCTGTTTTGAATAATGAAGTTGGACTCTGGGAAGTCTTGTCTTAGTATGAAAACCTTATCTGTTTCTATTTGCTTCTTGCTTGCATGATAATTTCTAGAGGGGAAATTGGAGCATCTTACCTGCTGAATTGGATTGAGGGGCAAGAGATCATCATTTGATGTTCTCTGGAATCTCGAAGGTATGAGATAGTCCTTCTGGGGCTCTTGTTCTCCTTCAGCTAGAGTAATTGAAATCATCTGATGTGACCCTTATGAACCTTTCAGAGGTATTCAGAGAATAAATAACAAGGTCAGACCTTCTACTAAGGCATTTCTGATACAAGCCATGACACCATTCTCTCTGCACCTTCCCCCTCTGCCTGTCAACGTGTGGCCTCATGGTGTTCTGTGCCTCTGATGGCTGTTTCTCTCCCTCCTTCTTCCTCTTGCAGACATGCCTTGAATTGGAACGCTACCTACAGACGGAGCCCCGGAGGATCTCAGAGACCTTTGGTGAGGACTTGGACTGTTTCCTCCACGCTTCCCCTCCCCCGTGCATTGAGGAAAGCTTCCGTCGCTTAGACCCCCTGCTGCTCCCCGTGGAAGCGGCCATCTGTGAGAAGAGCTCGGCAGTGGACATCTTGCTCTCTCGGGACAAGTTGCTATCTGAGACCTGCCTCAGCCTCCAGCCGGCCAGCTCTTCTCTAGACAGCTACACAGCCGTCAACCAGGCCCAGCTCAACGCAGTGACCTCATTAACGCCCCCATCGTCCCCTGAGCTCAGCCGCCATCTGGTCAAAACCTCACAAACTCTCTCTGCCGTGGATGGCACGGTGACGTTGAAACTGGTGGCCAAGAAGGCTGCTCTCAGCTCCGTAAAGGTGGGAGGGGTCGCAACAGCTGCAGCAGCCGTGACGGCTGCGGGGGCCGTTAAGAGTGGACAGAGCGACAGTGACCAAGGAGGGCTGGGGGCTGAAGCATGTCCCGAAAACAAGAAGAGGGTTCACCGCTGTCAGTTTAACGGGTGCCGGAAAGTTTATACAAAAAGCTCCCACTTAAAGGCCCACCAGAGGACTCACACAGGTAGTGGTACAAGTTGGCCGCACGTGGTTTCTTCTTTCCCCTCCTGTAGCCTCGTCATGTGGGAGGGCTCCTCTTTGTTCTGAGGAGTGGCACCCCTGCTGATGAGGAGGTGATAGACAGGCGGGAGGCCCCAGGTAGGGACAAAGAATGACTCACTTGTTACCTTAAGATCTCAAGATGTCCCAAGCACAGACGGGTTTGTCCCTACAGTGCCAACCACAGCATAGAATCATACAATTCTGAGGATGGCTGAAGGGGGCCCTGGCAGTGACTCATAGCTGTTTGTGACACAGACACTTGTCGCTTTCCTGACACTTTGCATTGTTTTATGAGTGTAGCTCCACAGTTTTGATCAACACTGGGAGCTGAGGATGCATTTGAAAGCATTCACAGTTAAACAAGGTAGCTAGGGTGTCCCTATTCACTCTTTTCCCAGCATCCTGATTTTTCATCAAAGTCACCAACAGCAGGAGGGTTTCAGAGTTCATTAGATGTGATCATTCTATAATTAATTGGCATCTCCTCTTTTGCATTGTTCTCTGGCGCGTGCTTTATGGAGAGATGGCAGAATTGCTTTTTAATGAGCTTGTTACTGAGAAGTTGCTAAAGTGATTACATTGCTATGTGTGTGGCAAGAGCGGGTGGGGGAGGGATGGGGATTGTGTATTTTACTCAGGGCATCCTAGTAGCCCAGGAAGAGACACCATCCCTAAGTTCCAGTCATACTGATCTTTTGAGCAATGGGATAATTTGGAAAAGTGGGGTTTACACAGAAAAGCGTGAAACTCTTATTTTTCTTGGAACTGGTCTTTGTTCTCTGCTTTGAGATTGGAGCTTAGGGGTGGTGTCTCTTCCTGGGCTACTAGGATGCTAGTAGCAATTACTGTGATTGGTGGTTTTTAAGTGAGTCTCCAACAGTGTGCTACCTGTATGGTTTTTGCATACTGTTTGCACACTGCGAGCTGAATAGGGAAAATCCCCAAAGGTGTAAGTGGAAGTATAAAAGCATTCTTGGAGAGAAATCAGTGATAGCATATGAGCTAGGAAAAGTGTTTGGTGCTCTGGGGGGCCTTCTGGGCTGTGCCTCCAAAGAAGTGTGCAGGGGAGAGATTGCTGGCTGGAAAATCAGAACAACCTGGGCTTTAGTTCTAACTCTGCCACTATCCAGCTCTGTGACCTTGAGCCTGTTCCTTTACCTCACCAGGCCTCATTTTCCACATCTGTTGAACAATCTGGCTCTTAGGGCCCCTTTCAATTCTAGTGTTCTGGAGGTCCATGAACTGTTTTTGTGTAGTAGAGAAGAACTTTCCTGAAGTTCGAATATATAATATATGACAGAGGAAATCACTGTTATGAACCTTAGAGTTATTCCCATGGGAGGATGAAGACTGACATTGCTTCCTTGCACACCAGGACTTGGGCCTGTACTGCTCTAATTCTGAACTTAATTTCCTGTGTGGCTCTTGCTTGGTTCATGGGACGGTCTCCTAACATAATGTTTATATCCCGTGGCTCAGGCATAGAGACCCACTCATGGTTTCCCATCAGAATTTGGGTTCCAGTTCACCACTCCACATACACACACCAAGGCTAATGATTCATGCTATTGTCAGTTTTTGCTTCTTTGATATTGTTCTGAAGGTAGTTTTTATTGATACTTCTTTCTTTCTAAAGTCAATGAGTAAAGTTATGGCAAGACATTGGAAAGACATTGCAGTGCTCCCAGGCTGGAGTGCATGACTCATCTCCTGGCCCCTCCAGGAAACCGGAGAAGGCAGAAAAGGGCAAGAATGTTGTGTTGTCTTTGGGCTGTGGAGTTCATGATTATGGACACTTTCTGAATTATTGGCACTAAGGGCACATCCTGCTTAGCATGGAGGCTGGACAGCTCTGGGAAAGCAGAGATTCTTTTTAGGGAGTCCAGAGCATTTTTTTCTTCTTTCTTATCCCCTCTTTCCAATAGAGATGTCAGAAGGGTGACTGTTAGGGTTGATACATTATGTGGTGCTCTGTTTTTTTGAGCATTGTCTACTCAGAGTGATTACCAAGGTGGAGCTCATTATGTTACCTGGCACCTGCAACTACTTGCCTCATGTTGGACTAAAGTGGAAAGACTCCTATTGGGAATTCACTCAGGGAGGCACCAGGCATTGTTAGAAAAGCAGTATCGCAGAGCACTTAAGAGCTGAGCCTTGTGATCGGGTGGACTTGGGTTTATGTCCTCGCACTGTCGCTTCCTAGATTTATGACCTCAGTTTCCTCATTTCTAAAGTAGAGACAATTGTGTCTACCTCCTAGATTGTTTTGAATATTAAATGAGCAGATACTTGTAAAATACTTGTAAAAAAGATAAAACAAATACCTGATAGATAGTAAGAACTCATTACCGATAGTAGTGGGGTTGATTGTAGCTATTACTGTTGTTGTTGATATTAGTGATGACTGAGTGATAAAACAGCTTTGTAAACCAGAAACAAGCCAGTTAGCCAAAGTTAACTACCACAAAACAGCAAGAAGCTTTTTCCCTCTCGCTCCCAGTGGTTGATCAATGGGATGTGGGGTGATGACACCTGTGGATACAAGTTGTGGAGGATAAACCAGACATGCAAGCATTAGCCCATAGAAGTTGGCAATAAGGCAGAAAGATCATGGCTTTCCTCCCACAACATAGAAAGCAGTTACCTTGCATCCACAGAAGCATTTTGCCTGTAAAACCTTCCTCAGAGACATGCACGGAAAGTAGGTGCTACAAGAAAGAGAAACAGATAAAAGGGGAGGTAGAGACAGGGATGGAGGGTGGGGAGAATATGAATTAATTTGGATTAAATGGATGAGAATCAGAAGTATTTATTTGGAATTGGTGTGAATTGGAGCACATGGGGAACTGAAAACAAAGGTGATAATTTATGTGGTGTAGATGAACTAAGAATAATGAAAACAGCATGAAGGATGGAATCAAATTAAGTGCAAACATATAAAGGAAATGGACTGGTAAAAGCTCGAGGGCAAAGGTGTATGGAGATGGGAATTCAGGTTGGAAAGAGGCTGCTGATACAAGGACTGGAGTTGGGAGAGCTGCTGACCAAATGTGGAAATGAAGATTTTTTAAAAATGGGCGCTGGTTGGATTCAGGCAAGCTATTTTAACCCAGGACTCACTTTAATTCAGTCAAAATATTTCTTATCTTCCAGTTGGGGAGGTGTTTTGGGACAGGAAAAAAAGGGAGATAAGAATACCATCCCAGAGAAAGAAGAGAAGTATTTGCATTTTGTTCTCTAGAGTTGCAGATATATGCTGTATCTCTTCTATATGGTAATACATTGCAAAGGAGATACAGTGAAGAAATGAAGTAAAATAAAATGTGTGTGTCTTCCTCTCATATGCATAAAGGAAGACAATACATGTTGGTAACATGGATTTGCTTGCATTGAAGAATTTTTAAGGTGTTATTCATTTAATCTTTATATAGACAGAATTTACTGAGCTGAAAAAGATATGCATTTTTTTCCTTCTGTGGCTGTTTTTTGAGGATGCTGAATCCTTCAAAATTTTTGCCCTGGAGGATATTAGGCAATGAGGTGATTTTTTATTTATTATTTTTTAAGGTAGCAGATGTTCACATTGGTAGCTAGGGCACAAACGCAGGTTGCCCAAGGAAGTAAAGTTAGAGATGGGGGTACTGAGCTGGAGGTGCAGGATAACGAGGCGAGGAATGGGACAAAGGGAATATTATGAAGTAGCAGGATTTAGTGAAAGGAAGCATATAAAAATGGACATAAGGGCCAGGTGCGGTGGCTCACGCCCCTAATCCTAGCACTTTGGGAGGCCTAGGCAGGTGGATCACCTGAGGTCAGGAGTTCGAGACCAGCCTGACCAACACCCGTCTCTACTAAAAGTACAAAAATTAGCTGGGCGTGTGGCGCGTGCCTGTAGTCCCAGCTACTCAGGAGGCTGAGGCAGGAGAATCGCTTGACCCCAGGAGGCGGAGGTTGCAGTGCGCCGAGATTGCGTCACTGCACTCCAGCCTGGGTGACAGAGTGAGACACCGTCTCAAAAACAATAAAAATTAAAAAAAATGGACATATGGTTTATTCATTGGGAAGAGCACCTAGTGTTGGCATGAGTGTAAAAATGTTCTTAGCAGCCAAGTCATTGCAGACCTTTCTCTCCTACTCTGTGTTCTGGTCTTCATATATTTTTCTTTCTCACAAATTCTACCATTATGATCATAGTTGTATTCATCTTCTTGAGTCAGCTAAATAATCCTTATATTTTGATGAAAAGTAACCTTCACTTCCAATATTAAAAAAAAAACTATGCTCATTCTCAGCAAAAATCAATTTTTAAAAATCTTAATAGTTTCTATGTAAAAAAAGAAGGATTTTCTACATTTCTTCTTAATTACTTCTGAGAAGAGATAAAAAACCTTTCATTGAAATGGTGCTTTGTGCTAAGTAAACAGACTTTTCAAATTTGAAAATCCATATAAAGGTACGTCCACATTTATGTTATTATGAGTGAGTCATATTGGTGAAGTCAGGACAATGGCCTGTCATTAGATCTTTGATTCTTGTTTGCAGTGAAGGGAGATGTGAAGAAGCCATGTTCTCTGAACGTGCTGCTTGGAGGACTCTCTCTATAGACTGAAGTTGCTGTCACCTAAACCATGGGTGGTGATAAGCATTCTCTAGATTTTGTCCCGAACAATATAACAGGATACGTTTCAGGTGGAAAAGTAATACAAGTGTGCAATTTGCTTAGCATTTTACATTTTCTTTGGGGCCCATCTTATTGAATCAGAAAGTGGCACAATCTGTAAGTTTAATCAGAATTTAGGGAAATAGTTTATTTTCAAATGAAAAGGTGGCTAAAAATACTACAAACAAAAAGACCAGTGTAGCATTCAAAAGGCAAACAGAAGTGTTATGTCACACATGTAATGAAAGGCCTTTAAAGTTTGAAATACAGTTTATTTTACTTATTCAACAAATACATATAAAGCACTTGCTATGTCCCAGACATTGTTCTAAATGTTTTACAAATATTAACCCTTTTAATCCTTATACTAACCCAATGACATAGGTACCATCTTATTTTATAGATGAGGAAAATGAGACCCAGAGAAGTCAAGTAATTTGCCTGGCGTCACACAGCTCATCATAGATGGTTGGGCAAGGATTTGCACCAAACAGTATTGCTCCAGTGGGAGCTCTCTTAACTTCCAAGCTTACTAATAAAGGGGAAACAAGTCAAATGAATTTTTTAAAAGTAACCTGTTATTAAGAGGAAATTAAAGACGTATAGTTTAAATGCAAATGGACGATGAAAACTAAATATCCTCTCTAAATAGGTGAGAATTAGGAGGGTCCTTAAACATATTGCCTCATCAGGTGACTGAGAAGCAGTACAAGGAAATTACAAAGAAATGGTCTTCCATTTCCAGGCCTATTATCGTTACTGATAAAGCTACTATTTTATGGTTGTTACTATTTTCACTTTTTTTAATGTTAGTGTTAAAGAGAGACATGCCAGTCTCAGTTCACGCATTAAAATGACAAATGTTAATATTCTGTCCCTATCAAATAAGAAAGGTCAGTATTATCACAACATGGGAGAAACTGAGGAACCACAACAACAAAAAAGTAACTTGGTTCAGGCTATGCAAGTCCCTGTTGTTAGAAATTAAATTGGACCCATGTCTCCTGACCTATAGGCTTACATCCTACTCAGTAGATTGTTTTGCTTCTTATTTACTGTATGTGTTCTTCAGTCTTTCTGCGAACAGGTATTAAGTGCCCATAGATGTCAGGCACTGTACCATGGAGTGACCAGCAAAGGAGAACAGGGTGGTCCATTTGGGAAGGAGTGCTGAAGGGTGGTGATGGGGCAGTAAATGAAAGCAGGGGCTTGCAGCAGCAGTCAGAGGCAGCATGGAAGATTTGGAGATAACAAGTCGCTTCTCTCCTTCTGGACAGAGTGTTTATTGATGCTGTTCATCTTTTTAAATGATGTCAATGTGATAGTATAGTAATTTATATAAATAGAAGCCCTAATTCAAGGTCAGGCATATCAGCAGGATAAAATTTAATACCTCAGTGTGGAACTGTAGGGGGTTCATCAACCACTTTCAACCTGCTAGTGCCATAGATAAGAATTCTTTGAATTTATACAATAGCAACTGAAATGGGGCGATTTTAAGACATTAAAGGGCCTTTAATATGCCGAGACACATGGCTGCTAATGAAGTTTATCCATGTGTTGAGGCAGAAACTCATTAAACCCCGATTATGGGATGGAAACAAGAATAAGGGTTAAATGTTCAGTTCACAAGGTGGAGAGAGCTGAATAGGAGGGTTTGATAATTTGGATTTAGCATATTCAAGAGCTTAAGAGAAGTTTGAAAAGAAAGGGTATGAAATGAGGTGGTGAAAAACAATCGCTGGGAGAATTTTCTGATTCAGTAAAATCTTAAAACTTTACCACATGGTAATTTAGCAATATGATAACTCCTAACATTTATGAAGATAAATTAATGTAAACATATATTGGGAAGCATGGCCTAAACTCAGCATATACACAGCAAGCACATTTATTTTATCATTATACTATGATAATAAATATAGGCTTTGTGGGACGCCTATTCCAGATGTCCTTTTAATGGATAATTGATAGTCACAAAGCAAATAAGTATGTTAAAATAAGAATCGAGGAGAAAGAAAAGCATGAAATTAATGAGTATTTCATCATAAACAATATTTTCGAACACCCACTGTACATACACTAGTCCCTCTTTATTGCCGAGGACCTCGCTTTTTGACACAAAAGCCTGAAATATGGTTTCATAAAATCATTATATTTGGAACTTGATCTCAGAATATAGTTTGGATGGGGGATGTGGGGGAACTGGGAGGAAGGAGAAGAGAAAAGAGGAATCTCATTTCAGAAAAGGCAGTGAAAGTAATAGAATTTTATAAATTCAAAGGTTTCAAGGGTGGGCGAGTTCTGTTTGATAGAGAAGAAAAGAAGAGGGTCATGAGAAGTCTGTGTAAATGAAAAAATGACATTGAGAAGGCCAAGTGTAAACTTTTAGAAAAACTGTTCCTTTTAATAAATTGATAATGTACAGAGGCTGTTTCTATTATAATATGAGTGTTAATTACCGTCATGATCATGGTTATCCTGTACATATAATATAGGAAGGTTCAAGGAAAGCTATGTGGAGCTTTGTAAAGAGTGAAGGCTAAGATGACGTTATAAGAATTGATGGTAGGCAGGGATTTTCTATGTTTCCTGAAGTTGAAATAATAATGTAGTGATTGTGTTTGAATTAGAAAGAAATGGAGTTTAAGAAACTCACGTGTTAATTTTTTTAAACAAATTGGTTTTGAATGGTCCTCTTTTTAAAAAAATTAAAATATAAGGACAGATGAAAAATAATTGTAAGGTGACCTGTCTTTCTTTGAAAAATATTCAGCTTGAATGTAGTAGAAATTACAGTTGAAACCTTGATAACGGATCCTCAGGAAACAAACTTCATATAAGGAAATTAGTTCTGATGAGTAAATGCAGCTGTTTGGGAATCTGGTCCACCAGGGGCAGAATGTGTCAGATGACACTAAGCTCTGCTGCACGACTCCGGTACCGAATGGAGAACGCCTAACCCTTTCCAGGCAGGCAGTTTCTATTTGTCTTCACCCTGATGGAGGCAAACTGGATAGCCCTGGCCAAACTTGTTTTCTAAAATATGGGGTTTTTTTCTTCTGCATTCCCTACCTAAGTACCTAATATCTGATCCCTTCCTGTACTCTGTCACTTTCTGCCCTGCAGCTTTCCTCTATCCTTCACAGCAGAAAGGATCTGGTAGCAATACACTGTAGACTGTTGTGGTTGGTACACTGTAGACTGTTGTGGTCAGTGGATTATACGTCCATCCACCAGTGTATAACACTTTAATCTTCTATTATTAGTTTTTTAACCTTCAATTAGGGGAAACTTAATAGAATTTCAGTAGTCTGTAAACAGGTAGGGAGACATGATGGGGGAGTGTTGGGAACTGGGATGGCATTCCCCCACTTTACTCCAGCACCATCCCATCTACCCCTCCTCTGCTACTGGATTTTCTACATTTTCTAAAAGTGGCTTCCTTTCAACAATTTGTTAATGTATTGACATGACATTATTAAGCTAAATGTTGGTCGAGGCAAGATCACTTAAAATAA
Organism: Homo sapiens; assembly: GCF_000001405.40. Taxonomy (NCBI): domain Eukaryota; kingdom Metazoa; phylum Chordata; class Mammalia; order Primates; family Hominidae; genus Homo; species Homo sapiens. The sequence goes on along the minus strand of NC_000002.12, from coordinate 207,115,554 downwards.
TTAAAAGTTGGTGACTTTTTAATGTGCTGGTTATTCAGCCAACCACTGATGGAGTTACTTCTCACTCCTGCAGTGTCCCCATGTTCAGTCACCAATGGGTGGTGAAATAATGGAGGTGAAAGCACTTCAATTATTTAAGGATGTCTGCAATGAGAATAAGCTTAGCATGCTTTGTTCCATATTTCTGTTCACCCTACCTTCTCCTTCAACATGTATGTTTATGGAGCTAGGTGAGCTGGGGACTGACCCGGGATTGGACCCCATAATCTTGTAGGGGAGGAAAGATCAGAATGCCCCATTGCTGGTTCCTTATGGAGCCTCAGTCCAGCTTTGTCCTAAACCAAACTTCCTTGGCATACCCCCCCTTTTTTTTTTTGCAACTGACATCTTTTTTTTTCTTCCCTTCAAAAGTTATCTGCATTCATGTAAGACCCCTTTTATTTTGTTTGCAAAATAAAATACATTTACAGATTAAAACTCCTTTTATATTCTAAACTACTCATCTGGTATTATAAAACATATACTTAGGCTTATTTTGTTGTTTCTGCCTTTAAAATGTATCCGTTTCCATTACTATAACATGTATGGAATTCAGTAAAGTGGTACATATTGTTTTCAGGCAAATAATGTAAAAAGATGTTTTAATCCCAACTTTGTTGGGTCTGCATAGTTTTATCTGTTTCACTAGATGAGCTAAAAATGATAAAAGCTATCAATCATTTTGTTGCAGGCAGGAAACCAGAAGCCATCCTTAGCTGAGAAAGAACTTGACCTCCATGGTAGAGTATTGCCTAGTTAGGTGTCTTAGGGTATCTAATATCTTTCTCTGGAGACCTTGCTATTTTCCTAGCAGGGATGTTTTGTAATAAGGACTATAGTTTGCTCTAATATTGAAGCCAATGTTAAATGAGAGTGGTTCTAGGAGTCTAGCAGTTGCCCTAAAAAATGCAGGATTCTATCTGTGTCTTAATGAATAGAACCAAGAAAAAGCTTGACTCTGGTACATATTTGAGTGTAGAAGAGCACCAAGATATGGTAGGAAATATTTTAGAATAACTGTGCAGTAGTCCTGTTTAAAAGGTTTCTGTCTTCATTTCGTGTGTTTATGTAGTTTAATGTCATCTCATGGAATTCGTTGCTTGGTTATGAACTTATCACATGGTGTTTGGAATCCCCTTACTATGGGATATGCAACATCCTTCACCTGTACTGAACTTCTGTTGCAGAAAGGAAATAATGATCCCTCATATTGAATTCTCAATTGGTCATGAGCCTGTTGAAACTAGTATTGGTATTTTAAAAAGAGCAACAAAAGATACATCTTCCTTCCTTGATATAGGTAATAAGACATTTTATGTTCCTAGTGTTCGGGAGAGAATGTCAGAAAATCAATATGAATAAATTCAAGTACACAGAGGATTCACCCTATTTGAAAATGTAATGTGTGGCAAAATGACGGTATGTATTAAATTTTTTTGTTTCACTTGCACGTAAATATTAGCGTTTAGAAAAGGTATCATAGGCTACTTAAAAATTTAGGCAGAGGGCAATTTGCTGGCTTTTTGTTTTTTTCATTCTTTGTTGTTGTTTAGTGTCTCAAGGCTTACAACTAAACTGAATTTGAAACTAAATACTGTCATTACAGAAGATTTTTCCTGAGTTCCTCCAATTTCTCTGGGGATAAAATAATGGTCGCTGGAAGCAGTGGAGAAACAGTAATTAGGGCAAATAGTAATACTGTGCATGATTGAGGAAAATGTGAGAAGGGGAGGGGGAAAATGCAACAGACAGACTTGTACATCTTGTTACTAGGAAACCACATCAGCATTAAATACAGTGTGCTAATTGGCTATCCTGTTTCTTCCTGGGTACCAGCCTGGGCCTGCTACACAGCTGTTTCTGCTCTTTCTGGTTGCTAGGTAACTGCATCATTTCCCCCCCCCCCCCACCCCCCATTCCACTTTGTATTCTGGAGGGTAATTGGCTACTTCTGCTCCTGGTGTTGCTGCTGGGTACCAGTCTGGGCCTGCTGCTCTGCTGTTTTCCAGAGGGATTTAGTCAGTGGGGAGGGGAGGAAAAGGGAGAGGAAGATATGCTGGCAATTAATGGAGCATAAGTGCAAATTCTACACAATGTCTGGCACCTGCGGCCCCTCATCCTGCCTTCTCAACTAAATCCTTTAGCTATGGAAACACATTAAAGTCTTCAAATCTTTCTTTCTCGGCATACTTTATAAATATAGTTTAAAGGAAACAAGACATTTGAAGACATAACTCAAATGACAGCTTTGGTCTTCAGGAAAAAAAAACTGGCAAAATATTACATACCTATATTTTGATATGAGTAGTAATAGAATTTGTGCAGATATTAAAAATACTTTATAACAAGACAGCATCTTTAACATCTTAAGGATAGTGCCACCTTATTTCTTAAATGGACCAAATTATTGTGTAGCCATTCTTCTTGATATCAGAGTATAAAGTAGGAAATAGAATGGACTAAACGCATTATGGGATTTTCCCGATTGTTTTATTATGAAGGAGTAAAGGGAGGCTTGTAGACCCTTGACTTTCCTATTATGGGTTTTATTCCTTTGATGTGCACAGCACATGCCCTGGTGCTTTTCACTGGGACATAGCATTTACATGGCAATAACACATTTTGCACCATAGCTGCTTTCCTCATGGCAAATGAACAAATGTGATGCAAAATCTAAAATCAATTTTGTGATTTAAAAAACAGGTAAAAAGGTAATTACTTTATATATTGTTGTCCTCTCTTGTTGAAGTAGAAGTTTCCGTTTCATCATTATTGAAATTCTCACTGGAAGTGCGACAAGGAAGATTCTTTAGAAGTGAAGTGATGCTCCAAGGAGATTTCACTTTAAATGGTTGAGAAAGTGTATGTAAATTGGGGCCCCTTGAAGAGGCAGCTTTATTCCCCTGGGAAGGAGCTGTTTTATTGAGAAAACTCAGAGCATGTTGTGTGACTGTGCACAGAAATAGTTAGCAAAGGCAACTCTTATTTGACACTAATGGCTGTTACTGGTTTCCCATACTAATGAGATCCACCATACCCTATCACAATTGAAGCAGGAGGAGGCCTAGGCTGAGCTACAAGCCCTTCCACCATAAGATAAATTCAGGCTTTATGGAATCATTTCTACTTAAAGTACCCTTAGCATAGGCAGAAGGCCTCCAGCCAGGCTAGGTGATCGCGAGAAGATCGCAGTGTTAACACCTGTCTAAAGGAAACCAGCTAGCCGTTAGTAGTGCTCAAATTGCAAAAGAAAATCTTGTTATCAAAGAAAAACTTACAGAGAGGGTATAATATTATTTCTGCTATCTCTGTTAAAAGGACCAGTTGTTAATCACTCAAAAGCATTTGCCCATTAAATGAATTAGCCATTTACTTATGAAGAACCATCAGAAGTCAGAATATCCCTTTGTCACTTGACAAGTTTTATATTCTGACTTTGAGAGGGAGGTGGTTTTGTTTGAGTATTTCATCTTTGTTGACAGCAGACTGTCAGAATAACAACTTTGCAAGTATATTATGCATAGTCCCTATTTGACTTAAGCAGGATACAGATTGAAAAGTTCAAAGAAGTCTGGGGAGTTTGTCTTACCCAGCCCTCTTCACCGGTTGATTGGATGTGGTTATACGGCCTCACTGTGGTCTGGCAAGACCCTGGAAACCCAGGGCAGGGGTCTTTGAAGACTGAAGGTGGTCATGGTTATTAACCCAGTGATAAATGAACATCAGTGCATACTTCCGAGGCTTCCTCTCATCGTACTCTTCTTGGAGAGCAGATCTTTTTTCTTTTGATGTCTCCATGTTTAAAACAATAGTGAGAGTGCAGGCATACAAGCAAGCATGCTTTGGGGAATGAAGAAAGGAGGTATTCCATGGAGTTGCTTCAACCCCTGGTTCTCCTCAGTCCTGAAAACCTGCTTTGCTAATTCTCATGGCCACACAAAACTGCTAGCTTTGACATCAAGCAAACCGGTTGACAGAATTGGAAAGGACGAATCTGATGGCTGCTAGTCCCCCAGCAGGGCTGCTGCTAAGCCACAATATGCTTTTGTGTGAATTAGAAAAAGTACCCTTTGCGTGGGGCAGCTTCCCTGTGCTTGAGGAGCAGAGCCAGATTCAGCCCCTCTCAGCCTGTAGCTGGACACCCTGTGCTCAAAACCTTATGTGGCCTGTGCGCACTGGGAGAGCATTCCACACAGATGGGCCTTCCCTGAACTTTTAAGAACTTCTGAGGCTAAGAAGGGCATAGCAGGAATGGGAGAGTCACACAATGGTTCAAGGAGGGTATCGGGACATCCTGTCAATGTCTGAAGAGGCCATTATGTGTGACAGCAAATCTTTTGGTCCAGCCACTCTCCCAAAATGTGAGATCATTAGTTGCCTAATGTGGTGGTTCTCAACCAGGGGAGATTTTTTCCCTCAGGGAACATTTAGCAATGTCTGGAGACATTTTTCATGGTCATATGTGGGGTTGGGGGTATGCTACTGGCATCTGGGAAGTAGAGGGCAGGGATACTGCTAAGTATCCTACAATGCCCAGGACAACTTCCACAGCAAAGGATCATGTGGGCCCAAGGGTCAACAGTGCCAAGGTTGAGAAACCCTGGCCTAATGCAACCTTAGCTGTCTTCTTCTCTGTAGGTTGCTCTGATCCACTTGCAAAACGTTTCCTAATCCTTTTAAGATGACCTACCCACCAGGTCTTGCCTTCTTCCCTTTTATGATCTTTAACAATATTGACTAAATGGAAATATTGCATTATTTATTATTTCTGTCAGGATTTAGATGATGTGCCGCTTTTCCCCTTATGGTAAGAAAGAAATCTCCCTACCTCCACTAAATGCTTAACCTTCTAGATTGAAGATTCGTGATTGTGACTCTTCCTGAGCCTCATGCCCTCCCCTTTTGCAGAAGGCTCCTGACCTGTAATAATTTGAGATTTTGCTGAGGCAGAGGTCTGATCACATCAGCTGCCAGGCTGGTACGTGGGAGGGAGGTGCTTTGCCAGGAAATGGGCCTAGCTGACCACGCACTGAAGAGCCACACCATCATATGGTATTGTCATTCTCCCCCTGGGTACAGTGGCCTTGCTGAAATGTAACAGTTGCTTCCTCGTTACCAAAAAGAAGATTAACTGTTAGTGAAGAAATAAGAGTGACGTGCTTTCCGTGGGAAAATAAAACTTTTATTGGTAAAACTGTATATTGCGCTGGCATTTGCTGCCTCAGTACATTTCCTACTATTCACTGTTCTGGTTCGCACCAGCACCATGAGGAGCATACTGGAAGCTTTCTGAGTTCTTAGGGAGAAAGGTGCTATTTCAGGTAAAAGGATTTAAATTGCCTTATCTAATGGACACATACTTTATGTCTGCATTTTGTCAGGAGCTGTGAATTATGCATTGGCCCTTTCAGCTACATTCACGTGCATAGAAAATAACATTGTCAGACGTGTCATCCCCAGATACAATGGACAATATGCTATTATAATCGTATGGCATTGTCCTTGCTGTTTGGAGATAATACTGCTGACTTTATTCCTCTCATACATGTGAATGTGGCTGTAGGGAGCACGTGACATCTGTGGCTTTTACATGTATTAGCTTATCCCTTGCCACTTGAAGAGATTGCCATTAGTGAGCTGGCCTTGTGGGGTCATGCTAAGTGCCATGTTTTGGATCACAGTTGTTATCGGACCTTAGTTTTAGATCCAGTAGGGAATTAGTAATATTATCTTGATGGCCTGAAGATGCAGTGGGTTACTTAGTCAGCTTCCCAGAGCAGATGTGCTAAAGAAAGGGTAAGCTGAGGCGTTCCTACTCAGATCAGCTTTGGGAGTAAGAAGGCAATTGGGTACCAAGCCTGGGAATGGCTGCTTCTATGTTAGTGCATTACCCAAGTAAGCAATAATAATATCACTTGTATTGATCTTTACAGTTGCCAAGTGTTTCACATACATCCTTCCATTTAACCTTCACTTACCGATGAGGTAAGTCTTCTCATTATACCCATTGTACAAATAAGGGAACTGAGGCTGAAAGAATCATTTTTCAAAGATTTCACTGCTGAACCATCACAGAGCCTGCCCTACTCTGTTTTTCCTTTAGAGATCAGTTATTTCTTTTGGGGGCCTAAGTTGAAACAATATAAATGAATTCAGTTTTGTTTATGGTTCAGAAAAATAAATGGCTATTTGTTGTTATTTTACTTGTTCAGTATAACTACTAATTCAGAATAGCTAAGAAAACTGAGTGATTATCTTGTATATTCCTACATTCTGTCTATTTTGGTTGAACTTAAGAATCCTTGATCTTAGTTGGTTTTCCCCTATTTTAAGAAAGAAAGCTGGTTTTGAAGATGCAAACAAACGCAAGGTATTGATTCTTGAAGTGGTATCTCAGTACTACTGCATTTGCATATTTTAGATAATTCTTGATGAGAAATAGCAAATAGAAACTTTTCTCTGAACCCCTTGAAAGAATGCATCTTAGCAATCCTCTTTATTACTAAGCTGGAAAACCCAAATGGAGATGCCTTAAAGAATTCAAAGGAATCTATGGATGGGTGGATCTTGGTGTATGAGTTGTATGCTCCTCTCAGTTACACCAGAGCTTTGCTAGGTGAGGTTGAAGAAATGATTTATGTGCCTTTATTTTTGTTTGTATGATAAGTGTGGAATTCAGGATAATTTTATTTTATCTTTGTTTTTGCCCAGTTGAGGATATTTATAATGGGTTAGAAGTCGTAAGAATAAAAACCCTTGGTAAATACAGGAATTGTAAATCTATTCATTGGCAAAGATCCCAAACTCAGGTTATGATTTTGCTTGTTATGTGCAGCAGTCTCTCCTCTGAATTCAGAAAAGCACACAGTGAAGAAGAATAGCTGCTTTCTAGCATTCTGCCAAAAGGATCTACAGGAACCTCAGAGTGATGGGCATTTATATTATATCCAGAGATCTGAGGAAAGAAAAGGTATTAACACCAAAAGACAAATTCCTGGAAGGCTGAAGGAATAACACACATTACCCCTGAGGGCTCCACTCTTTTGAGGATTGTTTGTCTGTAGATATTTTTGTGTGTGATCCTGTGTTCCTGTACATCTTTGTATTTTCAAACTTCCCCTTTTTATTTCATTCTACCTGCCGTGGAAATAATCTTAATAAGTCGTTAGAATTGGCGGGGCCCCCAACCCAATTTGATAATAGCCTTTTCCTTGCTGATAATTGGCTACTAAGCATTTAGAATGCTTTCAAATCCACCTGTGTATCTTTCTCCCCCCTCTCATGGTTAGATGTTAAAGTTTTTGTTTTTGTTTTTATTTTTGTTTTTGTGGTTTTCCTGGTGTGCACCTTATCCAAAAAGAATAGTTAATGAGCAAAGCCAGAAAGAATCCTTTGCAGCCAGGGAAAACTTTTCATACATCCTTCCCACTCCTGTCATTGTATGAGCTACAAGGACCATAGGTACAAAGCTTGTGGGATCAATTACCACAAGCTCACCGTTAAGCATTTTTTTAAAAATCTGTTGCGAGAAGAGTAAAGCAATAATTAAAATTAACTGAACAGCTTTTGCTCTATTGAGGCGTTAAATCTTTGTGTAAACACAATCACGTTGTGCAAACATAGGTCTTTTTAGTTGGGTGATTTAGACAGCGAACCCACTGAAGTTTTGAGGTCTCTGGGTCAAGGGTCCGTTTTGACACGGTTTGAGAGGTCACCTGCTCATTTGTGTCTGTGTTCTGCTGCAGAGAGAACTGTGAGCTGGTATGGTTCCTTGCCCACCGCAGCACAAAGAAGAGCCGGCTGGCATTTGGCAGATAGCGGTCTGTGACGAGGGGGAAGGAAATTGCACACAAAGCAAGACGGCTGCACACAGGAGCCGGTGGGGAGTGCTTAGGAACCTCTGGGGCCCAGGCAATGATGCGGCTTGAAGGTGGAGAAAACAGCAGTTATAAAATATAAATGTGTTTATTATTACACTGGGCCTATGCTATATAATTTTACACACACTCATATTTGTGATTTACGGCCGCAGCTCCATATGGAGGAGAAGCTTGCTAATTTACCCAAATTGATAGGGATGCCGCTGAAGATCATCAGATTGGTAGGAGCAGTAGCTGAGAAAAAGTGGCTCCTAAAACAAAAAAGATTGGGGTGGGGGAACTGCTGTGTCAGAGGCGTCCTTTGTTCATTTATTTTGATAAGCAGAGCTTGGCTTTAATTATTCATGATAATGCTTGCCCTGGAAGGAGCAGGCCTCCGATGCCACAGCAGCTGTGGGGTGCTGTTTGGTTCTCTGTGCAGTTAACACCAAAACAACCCACCTAGTCTTTCTTGAGATTTGTCATGCTTTCACCTGTGAGAGGTGAGATGCCCTGAAGTTTTGTTTACACCCGATATCCCTTCCTACGGGGCAGGTATTGACGTGGCTGGAGTGGAAGAGAAAGCCTGAATGATAACAGCCATTTCGTGAAATCCTTACAAGGTAGGTGGTGATTTTCCCATCTTAGGCATGAGAACGTGGAAGCCTAGAAGATCCCAAGAGTAGACATGCCCAGCTTATAAGTGACCAAGCTGGCTTTTGAGTCTGGGTCTGACTCCAAAGCCTGTCCCCTGCAGCATTATGCTGGCATTTCCTAGAGAAAAGGCCAAGAAAGGGACAGTGGAGCAGACCCCACCCTTCTTCCACCCCACTCCATCCCACTCTCTGTGCTTTCAGCCTATTTCCGGGTCTTAGCATCCATTACCATCATTTCCGACAGCTTTCCAAAGTGTTTCTTGACTTGGCAAAATCTTGAGGCACTTCTTCTGGGAGCTCTTCAGAAGGAAAGCACTTTGGAACAGCATGCACGAGTTCCAAAGTCCCCAGAGCATGTATGATTCACGCTTCTTGCAGGGGAACTTCATGGAGAAAGGCTGTTGTGACCCTAGGATACTTGATTGACCATTTTTTTTCGTAGATGCATAAATACCAGACGATGAATGCTGAATGGCCCATCCACTCAGCTCATAGCAAAACCCTGGGAGGCATCTGTGATAGATGTCCTTTCAATCAATTTTTTTTCATCTCATGGGCACTGCTTTCTAAATATGTTTTACATTTGTTTGCTTTTCTCCATCTCTGCTGCAATAAGCAGAGTCATTTGTGTTTCAGGCACTATCTTCTTTCTCCTTGGCAGTTGTAGAACCTCGTAGAAGTTGTAGAACTCTCCCCACATTGGCTCATTGCCTTTGGCAGCCCATTCTCCATTTTGTAGCTAGAGTAATGTTTTAAAGTTCAATTCTGATCATGTTATGCCCCCGTTTAAAAGCTCACAATGGCTGCCATTGTTCTTAAAGTACAAATTCTTGAACATGATCTCTTAAGACCACTTTCCAATAGAAATGTAATGTGAGCCACATATATAATTTTATATTTTCTAGCATGCACATTTAAAAAGTAATTAATCATACTAATTAGTTCTAATACTGTATTTTATTTAGCTCAAAATATCCAAAACATTCTCATTTCAACATGTAAATAATTGATAAACAATTATTAATGAGCTGTTTTACATTTCCTTATCTCTTTCTTCTATTGGAAAGCCTTCAAAATCTGGTGCGTATTTTACACTTAGAGCACATTCAGTTCAGAGTGCTCACATTTTGGGTACTCAGTAGCCACCTGTGCTAGGGTCTAGGAGACTGGATCGTGCAGGTCTGTTTAAGTCCTTTCACAGTCTGGCCACTGCCTGTTCTCTCAGTCCCTGCAGAGCACACAAACTGATACTCCTCTTTGATCAGCTTCTTGGTGAGGTGTGGGAGAGAATGTAGCAGAGGGATGAGAGGACCTCACCCCTGCTAATGAATTGGAGGAAACAGCCCAACATGGAGCCATCCACATTCTACCCTTCTTCAGGGCTTTCTGGCACAGCAAATAGGATGGACTGTGATGGAAGAAGGGTGGGGTCTTTTGCTTCTGTGTCCCTTTCTTGGCTTCTAGAAAACCCCAGCATGATGCTGCAGGAGAACAGGCTTTGGAGTCAGACCCAGACTTAAAAAGTCATCTCAGCCACTTATTAGCTGGGTGTCTATCCCTGGGCTTCCATGTTCCCCTCCCTAAGATGGAAACATCACCACCTACCTTGCAAGCCTTCTGTGAAATAGCACAGGTAAAGCACCATCGGGCTGCCTGATACATAAAGAACATGCCAGGAACAGTGATGTTATCACCTGGTGTTTCTCCTTCACTCCAGCCCAGTCAGTACCTACCCTTCAGAAAGGGGCGGCAGGTAGAAATGAAGCTTCAGCTCATCTCACACTGAGGTGCGGGTTAAGAATGAAATCCTTGCTTTGCTGTTGGCCTTCGGGGTTTCCATTTTTGGTTTATGTAGAACTTGTTAAGTGACACCGATTTTTTTGAGAAGGTGACGGAATGAAATGAAAATGCTGGTAAAGTTGTTAATATGAGGTATTCTCTGAAAAAAAATTTTTCTACCCACACTAAGTTCTAGTAGTCAGTAGTACCATTCTGTGAGCTGAAAATGAGACCATGGGTTCTAGGGGAGGGTAGATGAGTTGTAGTTCGCACTCCTGGCTTCCTGTCTCAGTAGATTCGATTCCTTTGCTTATTCCTTTTTAAAGAGTTAGAACAGCTATTATATAGGTGCATCTAAATAGTTCTGACATTCTTTCCAGTTGAAACATTTGTTTTATCAGAAAATATTTCCAAAGGGAATATGAGCATTGATTCCACTTTAATTGTTGCTGCTTATATGAAAGGCAGAGTGAGGTAGTGGTTAAGCATGTGAATTCTGAAGGTAAGATGGCCTGAGTTTCAATCTTGACTGTACCACATATAAGTTGGGTGAACTTGGGGAACAGCTTTATTTCTCCAACCCTCTATTTCCTCATCTAGAAAATGGGGAGGGATAATAGCATTAGGGCTATTGAGAGAATTAGAGGACAGAATATACATAAAGCCCTTAGGTTCTGTAGTGCCCAGCATATAGTGAGGGCCCAGTAAATACTAGCCAACAGCTAATTTTACTTGGATTTAAAAAACCCTATCACCCATTGAAGGTGGGTGGAATTGGACCACAAGTCTTGGCTGATGTTGATGATTTGAGGTGTTTTCTCCACAGAGATGCATGTATTGTCTAGTTTGTTTACGTATAACATTTTGTACCTTTCCCCTACACTTAGTTTTCTGCTATATGTGTATCTACACGAGGAAGGAAAATATAGACATTTCATCAGAGATTGATTCTGCCACTCGTATATTCATACATCTAATAGAAAAAGCCACATATATCACAGCAGATGAGATATGAGATGTAGTAAGATATGCACCATATTTTAGTAGTATATGGGCTCTGGGCAGTTTCTCTCCATGTGGTATTGGGTTTGTACTGTTTGGGTAAAACCCTTTGACTTTCTAATCAATGCCACATTTAAGTTGAGGAGTTGGGGCTTGACGTCTTTGATGGTTGAATGAAACACCAGCCTCTGGAGGTGGTCTGCTCCTAACATCTCAAACTGATCTCTAACCATCTTAGCTAGAATCAGGTGATTGCAGGCTCTTTATTCACCAGAAAGGTATATTCAGGTACTGGGTGTTAATAAGACCCACGTTGCATAAAGAAGGATTTTGGGATAAAATGTTTTAATAATTACGCTGCCTGTGTGGTGCTTTGCAGCATATGAAGCATCTGCACAGAAAGCATCTCTCTTCACATTTCACGATAATCCTGCGAGGGCTGTGCTGAAGAAGGGATTAGCTCTATTTTGCAGAGGAGGAAAGTGAGACTTAAAGAGTAGGTAACTTTCCTGAGGGCACATCATAAGTGGTAACAGCTAGGACTAGAGCACAGGTCTCCTGATGGTGAGTTGTGTGTGTGTGTCTGTTTTCCCGTAAACTGTACTTGTACACATGGGGCAACATCTCCAGAACTCTGACAACCTTTCTGGAGAAAAGAAGCGAGATTTCCTTTGTTCATGTATGTTAAGCTTTGAATTAATTAGATCCTAAATGAAGCTTTTGTGACAAAGACCCAAGCTAACAGGAGCTTAAAGATGTAAGATTTCTTTTTTCTCTTTAATATAAAGTCTGCACTGAGAACTGTCAGAAGCCCAAACTCCTTTTGTTCTGTTGGTCACCTATCCCTAGGATTTCCATTCCTGAGGTATTGCTCAGGTCCCTGCAATTCAAGATGGCTGCCACCAGGCCTGCTTTCCAGGAATCTAGTTTTCATGCAGATATTTCGAAAGTGAAAAGGGGAGGGGATGTCCCTACCTTTAAAAGTACAGCTTGATTGGCCGTGATGGCTCACACCTGTAATCCCAGCAGTTTGGGAGGCCAAGACAGGTGGATCACCTGAGGTCAGGAGTTTGAGACCAGCCTGGTCAACATAGTGAAACCCTGTCTCTACTAAAAATACAAAAATTAGCTGGGTGTGGTGGCGGGCACCTGTAATCCCAGCTACTCAGGAGGCTGAGGCAGGAGAATCACTTGAACCAGGGAGGGGAGGTTGCGGTGAGCTAAGATCACGCCACTGCACTCCAACCTGGGTGACAGAGCGAGACTCTGTCTCAAAAATAAATAAATAAAAGTACAGCTTGACATTGCACTTGCCACTGCCACTTACGTCTCATCAGCCAGAACTTGGTCATATGTCAACAAGCAATTGCAAAGGAGATTGGAAATACAGTCTTTGTTCTGGGTGGCCATAAGCTCAACAAAAACCAAGGGATACTCTTACCTAGGGATAAGGGGAGAATGAATATAGAGGACAACTGGCGGTTGCTGCTATGCTTTTAGTCTTAATAATTCTTTTTAAAAAGCCTTTAATGCAGACATTTTAACAGAAAACTTGAGTTCTGAAATTCTAAATGTATGAAATGGTAAGGGTAACATCCTAGTACATTGTAGTTTGTGGCATATTGCAAGATCAAAATAATTGCATGAAAACTAGGTTTCTGTGGAATGGCTTAAGTTCTGAATGGAAACATAATTTACATTTTGCATTTCATGAGAACATTACATTACTGGAGTAATATGAAGTGACTGGGAAATTAATAACTTAAGCACAAAAGCATATGGAGTCAAATTAACTGCATCTTAATATTTCTTGCACCTCTTTTTCCCCCTTCCAAAGTATAAAGTCACATTACATTGACATTTTCCTCCCAGAATGCCTTCATTCTTCAGTAGAAGAATGAAGAGAAATTATTTTGTAGCTGTGAGTTCAGTACAGACAAAAATTAAGGCTGTTTGAGGTTAGAGGTATATAGGATGACAGATTGTGTGGGGGTGTTTCTACATATGTGGGTGTCAATATGTTTGTGCTGAGTTGTTTGCAGATTGGGGGGGAGGGCAGGGTGTGTGTGTGTGTGTGTGTGTGTGTGTGTGTGAATGTGAATGTAGCTTTCACGGGTGGTTTCAGTCATTGTGTTTTCTTCCCAATGATTCCTATTAGGGAGCAGCAGAAAGAAGATGTAGGAAGATCTAGGTAACTGCTTAAAGGAAGGTATGGAGATGGACCAATAGTATATGGGTATGTTCATTCAGCCAGGTTAATTGAGGGTCTTTGACATGTGTCCAGCATTCTAAGTCTTGGGAATACTAAGGTGAATAAGCCTGGCCTCTGCCCTTAAAGGGACCATTTGGTTTTGTGGAGCTACATAGAATGTAAACAATTTACTCAAACAATATGATAGTCTCTTCTAGAGGAAGTTAGGCGAGCAGAAGAAAGGAGTGCCCAACTCTATCAGAGTCCATCTAGAGCCACTTCCCACAGGACATGCTTTGGAAGTACTAGGACCACACATTGTGCCAGGCCCTGAGGACACAACTATGCACAGATGTGGGGTCTGGCCTCAAGGGAGTCAGTCTCTTGAGGGGATAGTTTGTCATCAAGGTTCCTCAGGGTTTGGCATTACCACCTCTTCAGTCCATTCTTAAGGGTCCTCCTCACATACTTACCCTTGACCTCAGGATGATAAACCACTGTCTCTTATCTCTGGGCCTTTGTGCATGCTGTTCCTTCTCCAGGAAATACTTCTTGCCCTTGTCCTTAGTGTCCTTCAAGTTTCAGGGGGGCTGATCATCTCTGGGACACCTGCTCTAATAGTCTTACCAAGTCTTAGGGATTTTCTGTTTCACATGTCCACATTACACACATCTATCAAACATATTGAGTCTCATGTTCTTTGTATGTATGCATGGTGCTTTCCTAACTGGGAGCTGAGCTCTAACGTGAAGAGCCTTTCCATTTAGCTTTAATCTCTAGCAGTGTCATTGGTTGGCATATATTTGAACCAACAATTAATGCTGGTTGAATCTAACTTGTCACACTGAAGAGACTATTTCTTTCATTGCCGGTGAGTTAGACCAGAAGTCTAAGCATTTGACTTTTCCTGTTTACCCATGGACAGAGATGAAGTGTTTCGGAGATAATGCATGTTAGGGTTTATGAATCTGGAAGGTAAGGTGGTAACAAAACTTTTCGTGCTGTTGGATTTTGATGGTCTGATGTCTCAGTTAGCAAACATTGTATTCAGTGCATGTTACAGTGTGTCTGAGCCTGTGCTAGACTTTGTGCGTGATTACAAAGAGGCCAATGAGAAAGCATCTAGCCCAGTGCCTGGACATACACTAGATATTTAATCAGCATTTATTCCACTGGGGGTATAAGGTGTCCTTGTTTTAAAAGCACTTTTCATTTAATGTGTGTGGGGAGAAGCAGGGCAAGGGATCAAGGCATAAAAAGATAAATATCTACAGGAAATAGTAAATAACTGGCCAAAGAGTGAAAACTTAGATAAGGGTATAGTTTTCTGAGGAGGAGAAATCCTTGCGGATGGGGTGACATGTGGAGAATAGGCACATTCTGAGCAGGGGACATCCCAGCGAGTGAGAAAGGCTTGGGCGGGAGTTGGGGAGCGGGGGCTGTCTAGGGATGTTGGAGACTAGAGGGTTATGTAAGAAGTGATGGGTGATAAGGTAGAAAAATAAGTGACATGGCTTTGTGTACATCTTTTCCTGAGTACATAGGCAGTGGTATGTGAAGAGCGTCTATCCTAGATTATTATGTGTCAAAACAACAAACAAATGAAAATTTTCTTTTGGGGTTACTCTTAGACTTTATATTTGAGTAAGGTACATATTTGGGTTGCTTTAGCTAATGGGGAAATTTAGTCTCTAAAAAAATGTTTAATCATCTTGGAAGAGAATTATGTAGACATATTGATGTTTTAAATCTTCACTGATTTGAAATTTGCCTCTAAAAAGCTCTAAAAAACGGATTAATATCTATTCAACATGAATGGTAGCTGGCCCAGGGAGGGCCCTTCTCTCCATGATCTGGATATAAATTATCTAATTTGGGCTCTTCTTTTTTTTGAGACATGGTCTCGCTCTGTCACCCAGGCTAGAGTGCAGTGGTGCAACCACAGCTTACTGCTTACTGCAGCCTCAGCCTCCCCTGCTCAAGTGATCCTCTCACCTCAGTCTCCCAAGTAGCTGGGACTACAGGCGTGCACCACCATGCCCAGCTAATTTTTTAATTTTTTGTAGAGACAGGGACCTACCACATTGCCTGGGCTGGTCTCAAACTCCTGGGCTCAGGTGATCTGCCTGCTATGGCCTCCCAAAGTGCTGGGATTACAGGTGTGAGCCACCACATCTGATCTCATTTGGGCTTCTTGAAGATTGATAACATTGCCTTTATTTTTTTAAGTTTAGAGAAAATTACCATATGAACTAGTGATATGCTTAAGCTACTTCTCTACCATCTGTATTTATATCATCAAGGAATATCAATTTTTGTTATCATTAGCTTAATTAAAACAAATTTAGGATGCTGAAGCCACTTACTTTATAGCTTCCAGAAGCAGATCTTAGGTGGTTTTTGGATTATCCTTTCTTATGGTTTTTTTTTTAATACCATTGATCTATCTCTTTTCATATATATATATATATATATATCGCATATGTAGCAGAAAGTTAACTTTTATCCAAATAATAAATGGTTTAGGTGTATATTTTCTAAATTTTTGGTTAGCAAAAAAGCAAAATTTAGTGTATCCAGGAAAGTAAATTAGACATTGTCAACTAATGTGATACGTACCAATGGGTGACCACCATGGGTCCCTGATCTGATAAGGCCTAGTTTAGTCTCCCCTCCCCACCTGTCCTGGCCCTCCATGTCTCTGCATTTTCTGTGGTTCACAGACACACAGTCCTCTCACCTGCCCTCAGGCTTTCCAAAAGCCTCCCCAGTAGGGTGTCATGCAGACCTACCCTCCCTCAAAGCTGTGTGCTCTCTGATTATCTTTTTCTTAGTACCACCCTCCTTGCAAGAAAAATGAATTCCTTGGCTATACTCACTAGGAGTTGTACACCTTTTGCCAACCTCTGGAATTGACTGCATTTTTAGGGGAAGTTTCCTTTTCTCTGTTGGTTTACTTCTACAGGGTATACTTCTGATTTAGTGGTATCACTTTCAGAGTGATGCCTTGATATTACCCATGCTTGGAACGTGTTGTTTGGAGTAAAAGTGATTTTTTTTCTCTTCATTCTGAAAATCTTTTAAGGTGATTCAAAAATTAATAGTTTGGGAATAGACACAGTGGCTCATATCTGTAATCTTAGTGCTTTGGGAGGCTGAGGTCGGGGGATCACTTCAGGCCAGGAGTTCAAGACCGGCCTGTGCAGCATTGGGAGGCATCGTCTCTACAAAAAAAAAAAAAAAAAAAAAATTAGCCAAGTGTGGTGGCACCAGAGCCTGTAGTCCCAGCTACTTTGGGAGGCTGAACTCAGGAGTTCAAAGTTGCAGTGAGTTGTGATTGCACCCCTGCACTCCAGTCTGGGCAACAGAGTGAGACTCTGTCTCTAAGGAAAATAATAATAATAATAATAGCTTGGTCATTGTAGTAAGAGTCTGTTCCTGTATACGTTCTCTGCTGTATGGTGATCTTTACATTTGAAAACAAAAAGCAAAGGTTGACCAAAGGTGAGTTTAAAATTGACGTTTTTTAATAATCAAATTTCTATTTAATACATCAAATTGAATTGTGAGAACTTGACTTACAGAGTGATAACATTGCTGCTAAATGGAAAGAAAATGTTCTACAAATGAGTTTCAAACAGATTCACTTGGTGTAGTTGTCATCTTGAAAGGGAAAGATTAATGTTTTAATAACATTTTTCTTCAAATTTAGTATATACCTAGCTTTTAACTTTATTGTAACTGGTAATCACCAAAATATATTTAAATTTCCAAGATGACATTAAGTTTTATTTGGATTTAACTCCAAAAAAGCTGATAAAAATAATTTTTGAAGTTAACCTTGAAAAACAAAAAGAACAAAAACAAAGTAAAATGGACAAAAAAGGCAAGCAAATTAAACTTGTTGCTTAAAAAAAATAATAAATATAGTTTCCCCAAATGATCATGCTTACCTGTTTCAAAACTTGAGAACATACAGCTTCAGGTATAAGTGTTGTTGAGGTCTAAATTCTTAAGTGAGTTTACAGTCTTTTGAAAATTATAGTAATACCTAAACAGTTATGAGTTTTTGTTTTGCCTTGTGTCGGGGTGGTGGGGAGCAGTGGTGTTTGTTGGCTAAACCTCACTCAGCCCACTAGAAACTACTAGAAGACTGCATACATTTTTAATTAAATAAAAAATAATTTTATGGCATTCCTTGGGTTATGAGAAACATGGTACAGTATTTGAAAACACATGTATTGGAATAACAAATTACACATTACAAAAATTCTTTAATTTTCAACAGCTAAATTTGTTTCAGCATCTGGGTTGGTAAGTAATTTTCATGACCAACACAGTCTTCCTCCAACATTTCAAACAAATTCACCAAGAATCTAACACTTTGTCTCAAAAGAAACATTTTAGAAAAAGTTAACAGTTGTTAAAAATGGCACATGACCCCAAAGGATTTCTTTAGTCCCGTGTATTTCCATGGCTGTGCTCCACGGGGCAGGCTGGGCTCCAGTTTGAGTCTTATAGAGAAGCCCTGTGCCTTTGCCCTGGACATACAGGTGACAAAGTTCTCTGTTTCCACATCTCTCTCTGGCTTCCTGTGTGTCTGTAAACTCCCTGTTGATATCACCACTATGAATAGCAACTTTAATAACAAACACCGTTAATAACACTTTTTATTCATTTGGGACTTTGTAACTGACCAGTCACTTTCAGGTACTAGGTTCCATCGAATCTTCATGAGTATAGGGAAGTGGGACAGTTTTTTTTTTTTAATTCCTTCCCCACACAGTTAAGAGCCATAAGTCCCCAAAGAAGTTATTAAATACCTTTACAAGGCCACATTGCTATTATGTGGCAGAGCCAGAACTAGAATAATCTATTTTTTGATGCTGAGTTCATTTTATTTCCCCACTACAGCAATGGTTCTTGAGGTATGGTCTCTGGAGCAGCAGCATCAGCATCAGCTGGGAATTTGTTAGAAATGCAGATTCTTGGGCCCTCCCCTTGTGAATCAGACCTACTGAATCAGAACTTCTCAGGGTGGGGTTCACTAACCTGTGTTTTAAACAAGCCCTTTAGGGAATTCTAATAAGTTTGAGAACCACTGTTGCTAGAGGACTGCTTATGGAAAGAGAGATGGATATAGGGGATGAGAACAATTTAAAGAGAAATATTATTTTGTGTTTCTTAATGGCACTTTTATGGGTCCTATATGTAAATAAGTGTATTATCTGAGCATCTACTGTGTATAACGTTTGTGCTAGCCACTGTGGATAAAGTGGCGAACAAGTCAAATGTGGCCCCTGCCCTCACAAAATTCACATCCTGGCCAGTGAGAGAGGCTCCAAACGTTCTATTAAGTTTGGGGGTGGGGTGGGGATCAGAGAAGAAGGCTTCTTTGAGCCTTTTGGTTTTATGACTGTTTCTGAAAAGCACCAAGCTGCTTCTGCTCCCAGGGCCTTGGTATGTGCTGCTTTTTAAATCTGCAGAGCTTTCTTCCCACTGCACCTGGTTAACTCCTCCTTCGTATCTCAGCTTAAATGTCATTTCTTCAGATTCCTGAACCCATAAACAGAGATGCTAAAAACAG
Organism: Homo sapiens; assembly: GCF_000001405.40. Taxonomy (NCBI): domain Eukaryota; kingdom Metazoa; phylum Chordata; class Mammalia; order Primates; family Hominidae; genus Homo; species Homo sapiens. Next base: position 207,096,441 of record NC_000002.12, on the reverse strand, counting down.
ATTCTGATACGCAAGGTCTGAGATGGGAACTCGGAATCTGCATTTTTAATAAGTGCCTCAGGTGATCCTGATGCGATGCAGCAACAGGGAGGAGATCCCTCGAAACAGAGAAGGGCTGCTGTTGGTTGCATTTGGTGAAGCATTCAGGGTCTTGTACACGACAAGGTTGGTAGTAATGAGAATAAAAGCCAGGGGTGGGGAGGAGAGATTCCACAAAGGTGGAGTACTTGGACTTGTTTACTGAGTCCTTCCTCCCCTAGCTTTCTCACAGTTAAAAATAACTCTAAGATTTTGAGCCTGGGAGAGTGCTTCTACCACGGGTTGGAATGTAAAAATGGGAACACTGGGATTCTAGGCTATGGGCTGGACATGGAGAAAAATACGGGAAGGATGAGCTTTTAAGCTTGAGTCGATGGGGTTTCTACGTAGAAAATATATTTTAAGCCAGTGCTGTCCAAAATAGAAATATATGCAAACCACATATGTAACTTTAAATTTTCTAGTAATCTCATTTTTAAAAAAGTTAAATAAAAGGTAAAATTAATTTTAATATGTTTTACCTAAATTAATATATCTAAAATATAATCATTTCAACATAAAATCAATATTTAAACAGTTATTAGTGAGAAATATTTTACATTCTTTTTTAATACTAATTCCTTGAGATCCAGTGTGTATTGTATGTTTCCAGGGTATCTCATGCTAAATTTTCAATGGTGAAAGTTAAATGCAGTTCTACCAAAATAAGAGTGTGAAATATTTTTACACTGCTTCAATTTTTTAATCTGAATTTTAATCAAGGTTAAATTAAAAGTTCAGTTTTTTAGTTACCTCAGCAACATTTCAAGCGCTCGTTGCTATGTGTGGCTACTGGCTACTATATTGAACACAAACACAATTGTTGTCAGCAGTTGCAGTATTCAGTCAAAATCTTTTCTCACCTCTCTCCGTATTCTGAAGTAGGAGCTGTACCTCATTGAGGATATGGTTTAAATTTTGGATTACAGATTTTTGAACAAACATTTTAAGGTGGTGAGGAGTAAACCTAACCCAGGACCAGTTATTGTTTTTTAGTTGTTTTAAGAACAAAAACAGGCCGGGCGTGGTGGCTCACGCCTGTAATCCCAGCACTTTGGGAGGCCGAGGCGGGCGGATCACGAGGTCAGGAGATCAAGACCATCCTGGCTACCACGGTGAAACCCTGTCTCCACTAAAATTACAAAAAAATTAGCTGGACGTGGTGGCTGGAGCCTGTAGTCCCAGCTACTCGGTACTTGGGAGGCTGAGGCAGGAGAATGGCGTGAACCCAGGAGGCGGAGCTTGCAGTGAGCCGAGATCGCGCCACTGCACTCCAGCCTGGGCAACAGAGCGAGACTCCGTCTCAGAAAAAAAAAAAAAAAAAAAAAAAAAGAATAAAAACAAATAGGGCAAATGTTTGCATGCTCTGTAAAGTGACTGGTGCACTGTGTAAACTCAGGTACTTGGACCTCGTTTGAGTAAGCAAGTAATGGATGAATGAAAAAGCCACATGGATCATCAATGAGTACATTTTAATTTATGTAGTAGTTATTATAAATGTTTTGGGAATTCTATAAAAGAATTTTTATTTTCCATCAATCAGATACGCAAAAAACCTTGAAAAAAAATATTTAAGACCCAGCTGGAATCTAAGAGGGGCTCTGAGACAATTTTCCAAAGCAGATACAGTGACTTAGCATAGGTATTTTTTAGTTGCATCACCTACAGGTTGAGAAGACATTGACAAGCTATGGAGTGAAATTCACCGGTTACTCTGTTTCCATTGCTGAGAAAGCTTAGTGACACTTTCTCTACAATGTCTTTATTCTCCAGCTTGCTTAAATTCTCTAGTGCGACTGAGTGTGATGTGAAAGCAATTGATGGGTCTTTGCTGATTTCTTCGAGATGTATTAGGCAGCAGTATTAACTCATTGCAAAGTATTCCTCTTTTCCAGTTTTCTTTTCCATTTCCTGATCTGCAGAGTTTCCAAATTCTTAATCCAAGTCCTCAAGAGACTAGGACCTTGACATACCTAAATGTCTAGAACCACATTAAAAAAATAAATAAATAAAAGGAAACAGGTAAAATTAGTCTTAACAGAAATCTAGGCAGGTCAAAATCCTAATCTCTTTAGAACTTGCATTAAGAATTTGAAATTTTGCAGATCAGGAAATGAATGCAGAACATTTGTATTAGTGAGTTTATTTTCAACAGATTTTAAACCTTGAGTGCAAGATTCTGCCACGTGTTCATATTTTATGCTACACTCTCTATCTTAAAGGCAAATTTATAGCACAGTACATTTGACATATCACTTATGCTGTCTCAAATACATCTTCAGAGATAAACATTACAAATGAGTTTCATAAAATGACGCACTTTGCTTCCCAGAGGGGATATTGCTCAGGAGGATAGGTTCCTATGTGTGAGATTAAGTTACAGGAAGTTTTCAGGATCCTCGTCTTTTAGGCTGTGGAAGATAGGGAAGAAGTAGAAGTGATATTTAATGGTAAAGGAAAACTTACCACATTTTAGTCCTTGTCAAAGAAGGATATCAGATTTAAGCAACCAAGCAAACATTTCCCCTCGTAAACCAGTTTAATACCTAGAAAGTGAGGGACTGGAAATCACACAGGCTGTTCTGCCCCTCTAGGTGTATTCAGGTTTTTGTTGCAAATCAGGATGCTTTGTTAAATTCACCTAATGTATCGGACGGGATTGAGCCAAGCACTGCTTTAGTGCTGTTGGTATCACAGTGAACAAAATGGATGTCTGCATGAAGCTTATGCTCTGGTGAGGGAAACAGACTATAATACACTCAAACAATGTGCAACTGCATTTCAAAGTAATTAAGTGCTATGGAGAAAGTGACAGAATCTGCTGTTTTACAGAGGATAGTGAAGGAAGTTCTCTAAGAGGAGGAGACATTCAGGCAGAGACCGGAATGAAGTGAGGGAGCAAGAGTGTTCCAGGCAGAGCGAGGAGCCAGTGCAAAGGCCTCGAGGTGGGAGCCTGCAGGCAGGGCAGCAATGTGGTGAATCGGGGAGGGGAGCGTAGGAGATGATATTGGAGAGGTAGCCAGGAGCCAGATCATGCAGGCTGTACTGTAGAGCCTTGCCTGGCTTTTGACTTTTTTTCTGAGAACGATAGAAAACCATTGGAACTTTTACACTTTAATTTCATCTTAACCTTTTTTTGGGTGAATGTCTTTGGCAGTCTGGCAAAACCTGTGGAACCCTTTGCAGAATAATGTTTTTAAATGCATAAAATCCAGTGGATGTCAAAGAGACCATTTATATGGAAATATATAGACTAAGGCCCCCTGTAAGAGTCACTTATGCTCTGATTTACATTTTCAAAGGATTGCTTTGACTGTTATAAGTAGAATAGACTGTAGGAGCCATGAATGGAAGGCCTAAGACCAGTGAGATGGTGGGGCTGAGAGCAAAGCTATTTTTATTTATCCTACAGGGCAGTGGCCAGAAGTAGGGTTGTGCAACACAGTCTTTTTGAAGGCAAGAAGAAATATGTATGACTTCTATTTATATTTAATTTATTCTCATTTTTAATTGGTCTATTGAATATATATTTTATAATATCCTAATAGAACATTAGTACATCTGTATGGTTCATGAATAAGCCTACATATATCATAGATGCATGCTCAAAAAGTATTTATGGCAGTGTTTTTTGATCAGTCAATTCTGATGATCACGATATAGGGAGAGTGACCCTGTAAGAAACTAACAAAATGCCACACTGGTTTAGACCACATTTCATTTCAGATGAATTTTGTGGGAGAACGCGAGTTCTTGACGTGATTTAACCTCTCTAAATGTCAGTCCTGTTTCTCAAGCACCCTTACCTCTCCTTACGAGCCCTCATCTGGCTATAAGTCTGTTTTCACCTCATGAGACTTACTCTCACTTCTGAGGTGGCATATACTACTCCCCCAGGGAAACAAGTATCCTAGGGTTGTTGCCAGACAGAGAAAGTGGTTCTTGATATTCACCCTGACATTTAGGAGGTCCTGAGGGTGTCCTCTGCCTCCAGCATTGTGAGCTGTGGGGGCACAGCCTCACTGCCTCACCCACCCTCTGGGTGGTGTCCTTGCCTTCACTCACATGCCCTTCCTGGACTGGAGTCCTGGGTTTTTAAGTCTCTCTTCCATCTACCTGTCTCACATAGACCACTCTTGAGCATTTTTGTTCACTCTAGAGGTGCAGTGAGCTGAACAGTGTGCATCATTCCAAGTGCGATACAGCATAGTGTTGTGCAAGGCCATGACAGTTTCTGTTTTATACCCAGGAGAAGTATCTGGAGTGGAGGAAGGAGAGAAGGGAAAGTGAAAGAAGGGAGAGTGAAAGAGAAGAGCTGATTTTGCATGAAACCTGCTCTGGTACCACTGACGTGCAGTTTTCCTCTCTCTCATAAAGAAAGCCTTTCTTTTTTTCTTTTATAAAGAAAGAAATTCAGCCTTTGATGAAATGAGCAGAAATCTTCAGGTAGGCTTTTAAGGATGAAAACAAATGTATCATGGCTACAGATATGTCCACCCTCCAAGATCAAGCTGTGGCTGTTGGTGTTTAGGGAGATGCAGTCTTGGCCATGCTGAAAATACTGACAGAAGAATTTCCCTGACCTGCCTTTCCAGTAGGAATTGGTTTATAGAGGTGGGTATAGAACCTGGAAACAAGGCCAGTCTAACTCCACAATTCCTGTGCCCTAAATATAAAGTCATATTCCCAATTCTTTATATATATTTTTTCTGCTTCTCTGATTTCTGAGTTCTGCCTTCAGGCACTGCTCCTTCATTGGGCATTCTTGATTATTTTAAATTTTTTATTAGTATTTGCAGGAATGGCAACTTGTCAGTAAACTAGCCAGATGGTGGAAAAATAGCTTGATAAATCACTATAATAGTAACATGGCTAAAATATCAGGGCACAAAGGAGCCTGTCCTCAGTATTATTCTGAGTAGTGTTTGCCGCAAGCAGGAAACAATGTCAGGTGATAAGATTCAGAGCTAAGTCAAGCTATCTGCAGTTTCTCAATAGTGGACACAGCCACGAGGACACTGAAATAGCTCCTGGGTTGGAGAGTTGGTTTGTACTGGGAAGTAACTAAGAGTCTTATCATTTTCTGGAAAAGAACTATATCCTTGATATTATTTGTCAAAATGAAACTAGTTAAAGGAATTCAGCAAGGGGAAAAGCAAACAGTTTGAAATGGGAAAAAATATCCAAAGACGTCCACTTCAGTCTTCTTCATTTTATCTGCCCTTCCTGTGTCCTTCAGAATGTGGTTGCCTGTGATAGACAAGTCAGTTCGATTTTGGGATTGATTCTGGGAACTAGATGTCTCTGCTTGTTGCTGTAGAATTTCATGGAATTTCCTAGGTGCCTCATTGCATTGGAAGTGTGTTTGGTCCCCAAGGTTCCAGGAACCTCCAGTTTTAACTACATTCGAAGGCCTTCATGGGTGGAGGGCGTTTTGAATTTCCAAAGTCTTAGGTGCCTCATTCTCCTTTTTTTGTTTGTGCCAGATTTCCCCTTGAGATAACAGAGCCTAGTGGGTGATCAGCAGCATTAAATACATGATGCTAACATGTCTCTCCTGCAGGGTGCTGGGATCTCTTACTTCCCTTTGTGTGTCCTACTCATTCAGAGCAGTCCTAAAGAACACTCCCTGTTTTGGATTCATTCTCCATCAATATGCTGAGAAAATACTTAAAAGACTCTCTGTTTCTAATATTTCAGATACCCAGCATGTCTGTAGACTTGGCTTTCTGGAGCCATGAGCTCTGAAGGATTTTATTGACAGCGATTTCAGGGCCTGTCTTCCTAGTAACCTCTGTGAACACAGGCAGAGGAAAGGGAGTTGAGACAGGAACTGAATACTGACTGCATGCAAGGCTGAACAAACGTTTCTTACGCACAACTGATTGAAACCTCACTATAAACATGGATTTATTAATAAGCTCACCCTCGTTTAACAGACAAATACACTGAGTTCTAGAGTCTGGAATGAACGCAGCAAGATCCCAAGTAGGCTGACTCCAAAGGTTATGTGGCACCTCCACTTGGCTACCTTTTCTTCAGCCAGCACATCTTTTCTAAACTTTTGGCTTAAAGGAGCCAGAAGGTGAACTTTTAACACTGCTCAGTGATTCATCCTCTTTTTTTCCTGGTTTCCAAAACTGAATGGGTTTCCTCCTGTGCCTCCAGCCCTCCTTCATGTCCTCTTGGTTCCCTTTAAAAGAAATGCCCGTGTTTCTCGTTCCCCTTCTCTGTGGGTCTTACAGAGCAGTGGCTCACTAGGGCACCAATTTAATGAAATAAAATTTTCAAGCATGTTTGGTTTGATTCTAGGTGATACAAATAAAGAATTGTGAATGCTTTGTAGTCAGGTTTAAAGGGAAGGGGAAAGGTGGAAAGAAGAAAGTAGGTCAAGTATAGTACCTGGGTAATGTCTCCTTCAGGGCTGCCTAGTAAAGATTTAGCTTTTAAAACTGGGGAAATAATGGGATGCCATAGTACTTTGGCACCTAGGTATCCTGAAACTTTGAGTTTGGCGGTTTTTAATGTTTATTAGTTATGTGACTCTTACATATGCCAGGCATTGTTCTAATTAATATATAATATGCATGTGTATTGATTTATCTTCTCTAAACCCTTTGAGGTACCTATTATTATTATCTCTAAGAAAACAGAGACACACAGAGGTTTGTTAACCTGCCCAAGGTCAGACAATTAAGGACAGAACTAGAAGCTGATCCCAAGAAGTTTGGCTTCAAAGCTCTTAACCACATACTAACCTGCCTCTCAGTGACGGGGCTCAGTAACTCAGCTTCATGATTTCACAGGTTTCCAAAGATTATTTTTCTTTTTAATTAGAACCAGTCCACCATACAGTTGGAAGGGTAAATATTTGTCATGTTTGGTGACAGACATGATGAGTTAAAAAAAAGGTCTAAGGCAAAGTCATGTACTTGCTCTTACATATCCTTCCATCTGTATTTACTGTGTGAAAAGGTCACTTGAGCACAAGTGTTTGAATTTCATGCTTATAAGCAGCTTCCCTGTGGCTAAAACCTTGCTCTCCAAATTGATTTTGAAAATATTTTACAATAATGTATATTATTCTCTAATAAGAACACTCTGCAGTTGTTAAGCTATGAGCTTCCTAACTCAGACTTTTGTGATAGTATTTTCCATAAATGCCAGGGATTGTCAAGTGATTTTTGTTTTACTCTGAAATTGTAGACCTTTCTCCTCATTGTCCATCCATCACATTTACTGGAAGGAACGGTGGCTCTGGGAGACCTAAGCTGTTTGCTTTGTCAGTCAGCTACCTGGCTGCAGCTTGTGGTAGGAGGGAAGGGGAGGGAGAAGACTAAAAAGCCTGAAATGGCAAATGAGTGTAGGTTCTGGAGAAAAATAGAATTAGAAGCATTTGTGGTTCAGATGAAAATAGCACATTTCCTTTCTGCCTGGACTGTGGGGGTGAAAGTGCTCCGGGGAATCGAAAATAAATAAAAATTGATCCTTCACCAGTCAGAGGAAATGCTCTGACTCTGGGAACTAAAATGACAGCTCCAGATTTGAGGATCTGGTGAAACCACTTTTGAAGGTTAACAAAAAAGAAAACAAAAAACAAAACACCAGGAGATTTGGAAAAAAAACCCAAAAGACAGTGGTATACTATGTTAGGAAATCTAGTCTTTCAGGAATGAGTTAAACAGCCCTTTCCCAAGCCTGACCAGCAGGCAGCACAGGCTGGTTGGGTGTAATCCCTTTTGTTCCTGCTGCTGACCACGGTCCTTCCATCTCTTCTTGCAGGTGAGAAGCCTTATAAGTGCTCATGGGAGGGATGTGAGTGGCGTTTTGCACGAAGCGATGAGCTCACGAGGCACTACAGGAAACACACAGGTGCAAAGCCCTTCAAATGCAACCACTGCGACAGGTAAAGAGAAGTAGAAGTTGATGGGCTAGGGAGGAGAGATGGGGAAGTGGGTTGGAGGGTGAGCAGCACCCGTGTGCTTGGACTTATCACAGGTCTGACTCACAGACACTTGGACCTGGGAATGCCTTTTCTCCATGGAGAGGACCAGTGAGAAGAGGGGGTGCCCTCTTGCATGAAATCAAGAGGTGGTGTGAATTCTTGGTTCAGTTACACAAGCATTTACAGAACACTAGCTTTGAGCCAGAAATGGTGTTAATCACTCGGTATCAACAAGATGTGACAGATAACTTTAGTATAATATGAAAAGTAGTGAGACAGAGAATGGTCATCTGTAGGGACTTCTGATCTTTGTATCAATGTCAGTACCACTTTCCCTCATCTATAGTAATAAGAAAGAGTAGAAAGCTTGCTTAATGGAAGGAAGGTTAGGGTTCCTATCACTATAAGGCTTTTCTCTGAACCCATTATTGGAAATGAATTGTACTGAACAGAGTTCCCATTCTTTGGGGGCCCAGATCATTCTTTCTTCCTTGAAAATAGGTACAAGGGTGCAAAAAATGACAAGGTTTTGAGAACTCCTCCTGTAATTCAATTTTAAGCCTTCTGCATTCAATAGTAGAAGAAAGAGCACGTAGCAACAGATACTACCCAAGTAATAGTATCTGACAGCCCTGGCATTATCAACCAATAAACCCCAAAATGGAGACTCTGCAGGCCAAGGTGAAGGCAGGATTAGGTTTAGACATAATCAAATAATGGGCTTGCATCTGAGCGTGTTATCCTTCTAATCCTATTTCTGTGTTTAAAAGGAAGCTTAAGAAAATTAACCATCTTTTTAATGCAATACTAAAGGTCTCGGTTATGATGAGAAAAATGCTTCTAATACGATAAAAGCCCCTGAAAGCCTCAGGGTTCCCCAGCTTGCAGGATGGCAGCAGGGGCCTGGCTTTTCTTGGGAGGAAATGGGATCGCTTTTGCATCCTGTCTCCCCCAGTCCCTGTGTCCCACACCTCCCCCTCACCAGGGCTTCCTCTGTAGTAGTGTTTGGTGAATAGGGAAGGGGTGTCCAGACTGGTCACGTTGGCTTAGTGCTCCCTTAGGATGCTTATAAAGGAGCAGTTATGTTTTTCTTCCTTTTTTTTTCCTTCTTCCTGGGAAGCTATTTTCCTCTTATCTTCATTCTCTAAGTACTAAATAAAGACCCCATGCGTCCTGGAGCCCAGAGATAACCTCCCACTCCAGGGCTGAGGAAGTGTACTTTATGCAGTTATTGTCTCCCATTCCCTTGGAACTCTGTTCTGCTACCCAAGAATACAAGTTATTATTACATTTCCATCCATTACCTAGAAGTCCTCCTGTATTTACATGAATCAGCAGCTGTCTTCTACAGAGTATGCTCCAGGAGAGTTTCTCCTTATTCCCCATCTTCCTTCTATTTCCATCTCAAGTTTCTCTGCTTTGTGCCTCTCTCACTCTGGCTAATAAAGAAGCCCTGCAGATGGTGACTCTCTGTCCATAGTCTTTTGAAGGAGAGTGTTCTGTTACATCAACTGGGACCAAGGTGAATTCTTTGTGAGTGGTCAGAGTGTGATGGTAGCGTGTACACACAAGTTGCCCAGCTCTGAAGGGTGTGGAGGCTGTTACTTGGAGATTGTGAGCATTATGGGTAGCCGTAATTATTGGATGTGGACAAAGAGTTCTTATGGGGAAATTGCCAAAGTTAGTATTCCACTCTTCAAATCAACTGACTTATTGATTTACAACCTTCCAGCAGTTGATGTATTTGGATTTAATCTGGTCTTTTGTATGATTTACGTGGAGAAATGTTCCAAACCGATTGGTTATTTCACTGAAAGAGATGTCAGAGATGGGTGATTTGGTTAGTCTTTTGCTTTGTTTTCTTCTTTAAAATACACTACAGTTTCTGGAGCTAGAAATTTGCTGAGCAGATGGTACAAATTCTGCAACATGGTATTTGTGGGAGATTGAGTAGATCAGCGTCCCGCGACACAGGCCAATAGTGCATTTTCGACAGCATCATAAATGAGAGTTTGTATTCCCATTAGTGTCTCATGACAGGCAGCACCTTGGCGTTTCAATTACGGTGACTGTGCTAAGAATAGCCAGGCCTGGGAGGCAACATGGGGAACTGGAGTGGTCCCAAAGCAGATGAAAGGAAAGCCTGGAGTGACCGGGAGTTGGCATTCCTTAGAAGATGTTTACCTTCAGAAACAGAGGGCATCTGTAGCCCTTGGCAGGACATGGCATCCTGTTGGTACCGCAGTATATATGAGTGCACCACCTCTTGTCTCTTAAAATTTGAACAATTACACTGCCCTATTTAGAAGTTAAGTAGGGTTTAGACTTCCTTTCCTTAAGCATGTACCAAGTCTAACGTATGCTTTTATTTTGCCTATAGGGTAGTTTTAAAAAATTCATGACGTTTTTGGTTTGGTTTTTTTTTTTTTTTTGGCCAACATTTAAAATCGTTAAATGTCACACAAAAAAGTTTGTATTTCTGGCTTTGTCTGGAAAAATCAGATCTGGCCACAGTGGGCTCACATTCCCATGTGGCTGTAATTGGATGTAGCTGAAGAGCAATCATTACCCATTTGCCATAGCCATGTGATGACTATGTTTCCACTGTTCCCATCACTCCCTGTGGCTCCACAACTCAAAGGCAAGCCATTGGTTGCCAAGTATTGTCCCGCTTTCTGTTGTTTCTTCTTACAAGAAGAGCTATACTTCTTTGTATCCATGCCTTATCGGAAGTGGAAACAGATAGCCCAAGAGTGCTGTGTTTCTTACACTTGACCCACGGCACATACTTTATCTGCCTGGCCTTGCAGACACTGGGTTTTGTGACTTCTGGCTTCATGTTTGGGTTAGGAAAGAAAGCACAGTAGTAGTGCCATTTCTTCACCATCTGACTGGACAGTGCAGCCCCCCTGAGTGACCAGTGGCTAGAGGGATAAGTGGTTTTTCAACCCACAGAGTTGGAGGCTGCTGATGGTGGTAGATAGGGCTCAGTTTCCATCAGTGGTAACATGCAGGCCCTCATTCTACCGACTGACTCAGTGCAGTTATAATCCAGGGAGACAGCTACTAGCATAGTACATTCCAGTTCTTGGGCAGTTTAGAGGGTGCATTTTGATCTTTATGTCAGCCCACTTATAAGTGGTAAGAAATACCAGCCCGTATCTTAGCCTCTTGGTCACCTAGGAGATTGCTGTTGACTTAATCCCTATGTGACGTTAGTGTGCCTTTTTTTTTTTTTTTTTTTTTTTTTTTTTCATTTGAGACAGTCTGGCTTTGTTGCCCAGGCTGGAGTGCAGTGGTGCGATCTCGGCTCACTGCAACCTCTGCCTCCGGGGTTCAGGCGATTCTCCTGCCTCAGCCTCCTAAGAAGCTGGGATTACAGGTACCTGCCACCATGCCTGGCTAATTTTGTAGTTTTAGTAAAGACAGAGTTTTGCCATGTTGGTCAGGCTGGTCTTGAACTCCTGACCTCAAGTGATCCACCCACCTCAGCCTCCCAAAGTGCTGGGATTACAGGCGCGAGCCACGACGCCTGGCCTAGTGTGCCTTTTTCATAAACGAGAGAAATGACTGTGGGGTTGACTAGTTCTCCATTATGTACAAATTTCAGTAATTAAGGACCTTCTTATTTAAGGTCACCTGGCTGCTGTAAAGTTATAAATACCCTCTAGGGGTATATTACTCTTAAAATTATTTGATTCTGCACTTCTAGATGCCAAGTTTATCTATTACCTTTTACTATTCCTATGTGGAATTCAGTAAGTATAAATTAATAAGTATAAGTTAATCATGACTAAGTACCTTGCTGGGGTATTGAATTTAAATAAAAACCTCAATAGTAAGGGACCTGGTCTAATCCTGAGCATCATACATTTTTTTTTTGGAATTTGAACAAATAATGATGCTCATTTGATTCAGTAGGGGTGCAGTTACATTTCCTACCATGTTAAAGGTTTGGTTTACTTTTTTCCACTTTTTTTTCCCTGAATTTGAAGGATAAAGGGAGATGCTTATACATATATTGCTAAATACCCAGTAATTGGTAAAGGCAGATATAAAGCCGAACACATATATTACTGAATGGTTCTTTCAAATAAAGTTCTGTATCAAGAATACTCATTTCCCGAGAGTTCCCAGGATATAGAAAGGAAAGGAAAGGGGTTTCCCACTGCCAGGCCCTCTCTTCACTCCTTACCATCTCAAATCCCAGCATTCCTCTTGGACAGGCAGGCTTCTGGGTGTCTGCGTTGTTGCTTCTCACAGGTACATCCTCCTCAGGCCTGACCAGCCTAACCTCAGGATTAATTTTCTAGTTGCTGCCTTGACCACTTGCCACAAATTTAGTATCATGTTTATATACTTTTCAAGTTTATGGTCTTACAGTTCTGTAGGTTAGAAACTTCTAGGTTAGAAGTCCAACACAAGTCTCACTGGGCTAAACTCAAGGTTTTGGCAGAGCTGCATTTTTGTTCTGGAGGCTCTAGGGGAATATCCATTTCCTTTCCTTTTCCAGCTTCTAGAAGCTGCCCACATTCCTTGGCTCATGATGCTATTCCTCCATCATTAAAGCTGTTGAGTCCTTCTCATGCTGACATCTCTCTGGTTCTATCAATTCCTTCTCCCACTTTTAAGAACCGTTGTGATGGCATTGAGCCCAACCAGACAATCCAGAATAATCTCCCTGTTTAATGTCAGCTGATTCATAAGTTAATTCCATCCACAACTTTAATTCTTTATCATGTAACCAAACATAGTCCTAGTGTCTGGGCATGAAGTGTAGACATTTTGGAGGGAGCATTATTCTGCCTACCAGAAGCTCCTTAAATTGACAGCCCAGTTCTCTCTTCTCCTCAATGTGGTTAAGCAGATGTGACTAAGAGTGTGGGCTCTGGCGTCAGACTGCCTGTGTTCAAATCCTCTTTCTGATGAATGTTTCATCTGGTAGTGGGAATAAGAATGGTACCTTCTTTATAGGGATCTTATAAGGATGTTACATTTAAAAAAGAAATACCTACAAACAGAATGTCCCAACTTGGATCTTCTTTCTCCAGGTTGTTGGGATAAAAGAAGGAGGGAAAGAGAGAAAAAGAAGGAAGAAAGAAGGCAGGGAGAAAGAGAGGGAGAGAGGGAAAGAGAACAGGCAGTGGGCAATACTGAGTTGTACCCTCAGGACATGAATTATGCCAGTTAGACGCTAAATTCCCTGCGGGCTGTATTGATTTTTCTGTGTACCAGTGACATGGAGTACTAGTTTTTAAAGAAAACTTAGTGACACTGTTTTATTGCAAACCAAACCCCCTTTAGAGGCATCGCTAAGGGATTATCTAAATATCTTCCTCATACAAAGTCAGGGCTGGAAGTAAGTGGGTATAATTGGAATTGTTATTATGCAGCATGTTATTGGATTAGATTGTTTTCAGTTGTACTTTTCGCATTTTTATGTGGTTTTCGTTTTACTCTTGTCCCATTTCACTTCATTCCCTTGGAGTTCTATCCTACACATGTGCCTATTTAAGGAATGGACACAAACAGGGGGTGTGGAGAATGTTGCGGTCAAGGGAAAGGGTGGATATTTTTTGTTTGTTTTAAGAATGAACAAACATAGGGAAATCCTGCCCTGAACAGGAAACCCTGCTAACCTGAACAGTGTAGCTTGCTAACATTCTGACAGGAGTTTTGGACTGTAGGGGTGTCTCAGGCTTCAGGGAGCCTGGGAACTTTCTCATAGGTTAGAAAGCAGCTAGTTTCAGGCGAATGATCCAGGGGGAGAGCATACACTCAGAGCTCAGAATGACTGCTGTCATGTAGGCTGACTTCACTGGGATTTCATTCAGAACCTGAGATTGAAGCCTGCAGGGATTTGGAAACACCCATACTGTCAGGTTTCTGTATGTTATAGACTGCAGTTAGCCTCCAAGGGTATTTATGCGCTCAGGTAACTAAGAAGAACAGAATTAGATTTGTCTTTAGGCTTCGTTGGATCCAGCTTCTCTGATATTATCATCTGGACTCTTTCTATCCCCCAGAACCCCTTTTTCTCTGTTGACTTCATTCTCCAGCCAACTCTTTACCACAAGGGCAGTATAGACACCAGTCACTCCAGGATCCCAGTGGAAAGAGAGCTTCTCTCTTCCAATAATTTCAGCAGATGTCCCAGGGCTGGTTCTCATTGGCCTTTACAGGTCACATGGCTGTTGTTTAGCAGAGTACTGTGGCCACAACTTCAGCCTCACACAAATGAGAATGCAGAAGGGTTGGTACCCAAGAGAATATCAAATAGCTGGTGTTAGAGGAAAGAGGAAAGAAGATGACCACTGGATCCACTCTGACATGAAGAAGGCACTCAGTTATGGGCCTTAGGTTCCAAGAAACACCTTAGCCTCAGTTTCCTTCACCCCCCTCCTTTCTGCCCCCAACACACACACACACAAAGCGTGAGAATACTTACCATGGAGGGTTGGTGAGGATGGCGTGATATTGGGAAAACCCTTAGCATAGTGCCTACATATCGTAACATACTCAATAACTGTGAGCACCCTTCTTCATCCTTTTTTTTTTTTTTTTTTGACTTGAATATAGAGTGTCTGATAAGCCTGTAAGTAGTATCACAAGCAGTATTTCTAGGCTTTCATTGTAAAGTTTAGGGTTGAAATCTGGGTGTTGAAATTTCAAAGTTCCACCCTTTGATGATATAGACTAATTATTCTTTATTATATTTACAGTATGCAGGCATGACACAGGTTTCAAAAGCACTTTCCCATTCTTCTTTAATAATCACAATTATGATCATAACAGTTAACATGCACTGAGATCCTACGATGTGCCAGTCCGTATTCTAAGTACCTTGCATAGATCATCTCATTTAATCCTCACAACCCACCTATGAGGTAAATGCTATAATTATCCCCACTCTACTGAGGAGGAATTAAAGTACAGACAGGTTAATGTGCTCCGAGTCACACAGCTATTGGAAGAGATAGGATTTAAACCCAAACATTTTGTCCCTTAAACTTACCTTCCCAACACATGGCCCTGTTTCTCAATGCATGTGCACTGTCTCTGTTTAAAGTAAGGGAAATCATTTCCTAAGGAGTGATGCAAGTCAAGCTGTTTGCTGGGAGTTCTCTAATATCCTTGTTGTTTATATCTCCTAGGTGTTTTTCCAGGTCTGACCATCTTGCCCTCCACATGAAGAGACATATCTAAAAAACCGAAAGGCCAGAGTTGCCATGGCATCGGCTAGTGTCTAAAGGAAACGCCATGAGGCAGGGGGCTGGACTTCAGGCGGGGACCCATTGCCTCGCAGAAGAAAGTTCTCACTTATAAACCTCTGTACACACACACACACACACACACATATACACACACTCACAGACCCACACACATACACACTGTCATGCACTCAACTATATTTAAAATATATACGTCTATTCTTTATGCCTTGCCCTAGCCAGATGGAAGAAGATGAAGAAGGAAACCAGGTGAACTCAGCAAGGCAGACTGGCTGCTTACTTCAGCACTATTGGAATTATTTCCCGCTGTTGCCAATGGAAATCAAAGAAAATGGATGTGACGTCTGTGCAGGTGGACGGCAGTCCGAGGGGCTTATTTCACTTGCTTCTCAGTGCAACTTGATAGGAGAATCCAGCATCTTAAAGTTGCATATGTGTAGCACTAATGTTTCTTTTTAAATAGTTGGGGGAAAATGACCTAGAAAACCAAATTGCAGTTTGGTAGCCAAAATTAACTCTTGGTTTATTTGTCCTTTGTGTGTGAAAAGTCCTACTATTCCGTGCGTCAGACTTCCTCACAGAACTGTTGACTGGTTTTGGTTCTTAGTACTATTGAGATCTTTCGCGTCGATCCCAACGGCCTTAGCGGCGGCAGACTGGAATAACACCTTACACCTTTCTGGCCTGCATTTCTGTAGACTTCACTCTCAAGGGAGGAGTTTTCTTTTCTTACGTTTTGACTTTTGCACACCATATGCACTAGGGATTCTGGAAACTTCTAGCATGACTGCAAAGTGGCCAAGAGAATAAAGTCCTTGATGATAAATCACAGTATATCCCTTGAGCCTCACCTTATTGCCAGTGCTAGATTTTTTCTTTTTAATCTCTCCGTTTTTGCTAACGAAAACTTGAAAAGCTTATTTGGAAGCTTAAATGTTTTATCTTTTCTCCATGGACTAAACCTCTCCAGGACTCTCTCGGCACCTGGATGTCCAGCTCTCGAAGCAGCCAGTCAGATGGGACATCACAGTTCTCTCATCCTCCTTGAGGCATGATGACCTCAGCTCATAGTGATCAACCGTTGTGCTGTGTGTCATTGCTACCCCATAACCAGTTACAGCATAGATGTCGCTAGTCTCAGAGGGCAGCTGCGTATTTAATTTAACTCTGGTTTATGACCTGACAAAAAGCCAAAAATATCACTCTTTCCAGGAGTGGGGAAAACTGAGGATGCCTCCCAAGTCTAGTGGCTTCACAAAAGATCATCCTGTCTTCTCTGTCATGCCCACTGAGCTCCTATTCCCCTACGTGTTACAATACACAATTTAAAACGCCATTGTGGGAGTGAAGGGTTGACATTTAAGGAAAAGGTTGAGGTGTTTCTCTCATGGGCTGTCTAAAAGGAGAGACACGTTTCTTTCTTTCCTTTTTTTTTTGGCTAGGCCCACCATGACTTGTGACCTAGAACCCCCAGGATTAACAGAGGCCTCACATTTACTCTGCAAGCTGACTCCAAAGGAGTCTACAGTCCTTACTTGTCATGCCACACTCACACATCCAGTAGTGGTCTCTATCTACCCGCATTCCTAGCTAGCTGGCACTGGCCTCAACTCCAAAGACTGCCTTTAGGACCATCAAATGGCCTATGCAAGCAAGCGGGGTGGTTATTAGGACAGATTGTATATTTTGTATATTCTGGGACCATCCCTTCAAGACACGTCTATAAAACAAAAATGGCGCTTGGTCCACACACGGTTGCTGCTCCCTCCTACCAGCTGGCTCCCCTCCTGTCCTCCTTTGACTGTTTGACTCATTGACTGTTAAAATGCCACCCCATACATATTTGGGATGCAAAACTGAAGTCAAAAGGAAATAATATAAGAAACACAAACACATATATGACAGCAACCTTCAAGATCTGGGTTTTCAGCTTTCTGCAACCTTTGTTTTCACTGAAATGTTGAAACTACTCGTCTGAGGGCAAAGGAACCTCCTCACAAATGCTATAGCTGCCAATTGGACACTTGGGGCATTTCGAGGTCTGGCCCTAAGAATTTACTTTCTCCTTTTCCTTTTTTCTATTTAGACCAAAAAAAACAAAAACAAAAACAAAAAAAAAAACAAAATAATACAAAACGAAAAAAAAAGAAAGAACACCCGTTAACACACACGCGCACACACACACAAAATCTGTCCATTTGCCGGAGGCAATTGTATGTATGTTAGTTGGAGGGTATTAAAAATCAGTTTTATTCCAAAGATTTAAAACTAGACATGACTTAAAAACAATTTCTGGAGCACTGCTTGCTGACAATCTCGTAGTTCTCTGCTGCATTTGAGTGCATTTTGTGGCCAGTCCATCAGGGCGTACCATGGGATTATATTTGAATGTGTGGTGCATCCTTCCTGGATGAAGGATGTGTGAGGGACCTTGAACCTCAGCTGTATTAAACTGTAGCGCCTCCAGTCAGTGCACTAGATGAAACTTTTAGACACCCTGAATTCTGTTGGTTCCTTTCTTTTCCTTTATGTAGCAGCCTCCAGCATGAATGCACGCACACGCCAGTGATGGCATTAAGCCATGGCCACCACGATTTGCAAATGTTCTCTCCCAAGCTGGAGCTGCTCTTGCCTCTCGAATGCTATTATTAAGGGTTTATAATACTTAATTTAATTTTCGAACTGACCAATGCAAGGCTCTATTAAAAAGAAAGTTTAAAAAATGCAAAAGAGTAATCATTGCTTGTTTGCTCCCTATTTTCATCTGTGGTCTCATTTGAATGTGGCAGAACAAAGGCCCTTTGGTCCTCATCAGTGTCTGAAATGTTCAGTAATTTCTCTCTCTTTTGTATCAGTGAGGTCCTTTGTAATCTGCTCCTGACCTTTCTTGGAGCAGGGTGCATTGAAACTCAATGGTGGTGCTTGCTTGCTTCAGAGTCATTTGTTGACTGTGAGAATTGGCCTAAGAATTTGGTGGGTGCTAAGTGGATGGCTTTGAAACTGTTCTTCTTTAGCCGAGTTGACACCTGTGAATGATGACCAGTCCTGATCATTTTGGAAATGGATTTGTAATAAAACGTCCATCACCTCTGCAGTGGCAGAGATGGTTACTAAGAGCCGCTAGAGCGAGCAGGTTTTCCAAGAAGTAACCTGAAGACATTTTGCTCCCAAGAGGACTGGTTATTTAAAACAGTGCATTAATGGACATTTGAAACACATTAAACCCCTTTCTCATTTCAGTTGTTACCTCCTAACCCTCCAGGGGATCCCAAATTTGAAAGGAAAAACCCGGCCTGGTGTTTCTGGTGGTGTCCTAACAAGCACGCTTTTATCCAGGGTTCAGATTTGTTCATGTAGAAAAAGAGTTTCTAAGCCACTGACAATTTTTTTTTTTTGTAATTTCAAATTATACTTCTTTCTCCTGCCACATGACTGTAAGTCATAGACATGGAAACCTGAAATTATAATGCTGCTCCTAGCTACTGGCCTCCTGCCCCACCCATGGTTAATGGCTCAGCTCAATGCCTGGTGGTAATGAGTATTATGTCCAGAAAAAGAGATGTTCAGATTCCATGACAAAGCTGCATTTTTGTAAAAATATTGGAGACCCCAAAATGAACTTCATGCTGACCATTTCCTCCTCTCTGTGTGCTTTCCCTTGCAAAGCCCTTCAAATATCCTCTTCTCTCGACGCCATCTCCTCTCCACCTGCACCTCTTGTGCCCTTTGTACATCTTTGATTGCCTGATGATAACAGGGTAAAAGGACAGCCAACCTCATGCCTGATTAGCAGAACTGAATCCTAGTTTTAAAAAATCTTCTCTGGCTTCAGAGAAGATTTTATAAGGACTTTTGTTTGGGATAAGCTTTCCAGATTATCCATGTCTATTTGCATCAAAGGGGAAAGAAATGGGGCTTTTGGATGGCTCTTCCAGTGCATTCGGAACATTGCCTCTTGCCTTTATTCCTGCATTTTATGGCAAAGCCAAAAGAAACTCAAGTTGCAAGAACAAAACCCAGTGACTCGTTTTGATGGTTCAAAATGGTTTCCTTTATGGAAGTCACTTCATAAAATGTTAAGTAAAAAGTGGGAAGTGCTTCTGTCTTCTCTTTTGCATGAGTTGCTTTTAGGAGCAGGAAGAAGGTAGGCAAAGTAAGATAAAGATGCAACACATTTAACTACAAAAATCAGGTTCATTTTTTAGTTTATTAGAATTTTTTTGAAATCTTAAGAGGGCCAGCATTTCTGGCTACAATTTTGCACCCAGAACATTGCCAAAATGAACATTCAGTAAATAGAACCTGATTGAAATTTACTCCTGGAAGCTTTCCTTTGCATTTTCGGGAAGTGGCCACCTGCCAAGCGCAAGAGTTGGGGGGCAGGAGGGGAGGACTCAAATTCAGGGTGTCTGGATTAAATTTCGGTGAACATGGTGATATCTCAGTTTGAAAACTAGAGGGCCTATCCTGAGTATACATCAATGTCTCTTTGATGGCCTACTTTCCTCAGTGAGGATCTTTGGGAATACTTGAGATGGAACAACAGAAATGTGTGAAAGGAAGCAGAAACTTCTTGTAAATAACGTGACCTCCCACGACGAACTGCCTGAGGCTTCAGGGTTTTTTCTTGCTTTTAACACTCTTAAATCTCCTCTGTTGGTTCCTAATAGATCCCAGAAAAGGGAAAAATAAAGCTGCAGTTAACTTTCTTATGTGCATCCTTCCAATAGAGTACTGTATTTTTCAGGTGTTTTGCATTTAACATAAAAGTCCTCGGGAAACAGGTGTCAAAAACAGAGAGAGAAATCCTGGGCCATCACTTCACAAATATCCCAAACAAGATATTCTTTTCAAACAGGGCTCCCTCTCAGTGGTCATGAGGGAAGGTTGATAATGTTCTTTGTTGGGGACTGTTTATACAATTTTTTTTCAACTGTGAGCTTTGGAATCGTAACTTGCTGTGAGTCCAGCTTCTGTCTACTGCCATAAGATGGACCCCACGTCAGCATAATGAGGGTGGTATATATGCTCGCACCTAGACATGCGCATATGTACCTGTCGTACCTTCACGGAAGGAAAACAGGCTACTGACGTTTCGGAGGAGTAGCCACCAGTGCCTAATATCTTTTGGGGGGGATG
Organism: Homo sapiens; assembly: GCF_000001405.40. Lineage (NCBI taxonomy): Eukaryota > Metazoa > Chordata > Mammalia > Primates > Hominidae > Homo > Homo sapiens. Next base: position 207,076,047 of record NC_000002.12, on the reverse strand, counting down.
GATGCTTATAATTGCCAGTATATCGAAACCACACTGGGAGTTCCACATAGCGGGGAGGGGTTGGGGGTGGGCAGAGGGGACATTTTAAACCTAGGCCTTTGGACTGGAGGCAGAACGATTTCTGCAAACCTAGGTCCTGAAGGCTTTGGGGCTTATTGGCTGGTTCTCAACCTTTTTGTTTTTTCTTCCCAGCATGCATTTCCTATCTAAACCCAGACTTAGTTTAATTTCCTTATCTTTCACTTCTGCTTCATTCCAGGGAGGAAAAATACACCTGTTAATGGCCAAGATCTCCTTGCTAACACAGAGGCAAAAATAAATGTCTAATGTTTTTGAAGCCTCCCCTTCCTTTCCACAAGCCCCCACCCGCCCCCGCGTCAAGCTCCTTCTCCCACTTCCTACTCCCACACAACTTCCCAGCCACTGAAACTTTTCTTTCAAATCTCTATTATCCTCTTAACAGTTGCTTGAATAAATTTATTTTTGCACTATACATTTTCTTTTTGCCAGATGTGTCTAACAAGTGTGTTTGGAGAGACCTACTCCCAGCCCCGTCTCCTTCCCCGCCTCCCCCCGTCACATTCTCTCAGGCCTTCTCTGGTATTTATAATATATCACAGAAGTACCCAGTCTTATAGCCCTCGGTTATGCCTTTTTTTGACATTTTATTTTTTTTAAGCTTTTTATATATATATATATATAAATATATTACTTTGTCAAGTTTTTTTGCTGTACAAAAGTCTTAAGATTTAAAACTATTATTTGTATTATATGATGGTGGTATGTTAATGTTACAAAATTATTAATGAAGAAAAAATTTATTTTTGTTACTGGTCTGTTTCATAATTCTTTTTTAAATTGGTATATTGTAAGATATCTATGCAAAAAATGTTATGTGACGCATTTTTATTTAAGAATGTAATATGTGTAATAAACAGTAGAATGTGTTTGGCCTTGGAATACTTTACTGTATTTCTCCTTAGCTTGTTTCACTGGGGAAAAAAATCTTCGAAAGACGCAAGTGGGTACTTACATACTTCGTGAAAGTTTTCTTTCTTGGAGAAAGGGAAAGCAAAAGGTTGTATTAGGTTATCTTCGTTTGGGAAGTTGTGTGTGTGTGTGCGTATGTGTGTATTTTATAGTTTCATTGAGGCAGCTCAATGCCCAAATAAGGGTCACTGAGTTTATTTCTTCAAGGGGAAAAAGGGAGCCAATTGTTGGAGATTATGAAAAGCAATATTTTAGAATGATAGAGATTACAAGATGTTATTTGTTTAGGGGGTTGGGAGAGGCTTATTGAAAGCGGTTTATTTGGCGAGAGAAGGAGGCAGTTTGTTCTGGGATGGTGTTTAATAGGAACCTATTGGGAAAGGATCTTTGAAGCAGTCTGTGAAGGAGGAAGGGTAAAGATCAGAGGGAATAATTTAGGTGAGGGGTAGGGGGCAGTAAAATGACAGGAGGTGGTTGGAGTGGGGAGGAAATGGGTAACCGGAAGCCAGGAAATCCAGCTGGCTGTGGAGAGTACAAAAAACTAGATGGAAATACAAGCAGCTTCAGACCCAGAGAAGAGAGGGAGATGAAAGCCCCAGGGAAAATTCTCAGAACTGAAAAGAAAAGTACTAAAATCTCTGCCACACACGACTTCCAGGAAAGAGCATCACCAGTAAGGAGGAAGGTAGAGAACCCAGCTGGTGGTGTCGCCTCAGCATCCCGAGCTCAGCGATTCCCCGAGAGAAGTGGTGTCATTCACAGGAAACAGCAGTAAAACACATTTGTCACATGGGACACAGCAGTAGTCAAGCTTTCTTTGCATTCTTTGGACTTACAGAAGTGGATACGGTGGTGAATAACCTCTATCCCTAATCAAATGAATCTGACAAGAAACTTTCCAATAAATGTTTACTTTAGAAACCGTGGCTAGTGTGACTGAATTTGCTGCATGGACACAGACATTTCTCATGTCCCTGAACAGGAAACAGGTGTCAGGAGTGTAACAGCGGGTTTGGAAGGGAAGCTGAGTGATCAAGTTCTTGCTCTCATAAAACTCAAGGTGAAGAGAACAGTAGGTGCTGCAGGGGCCGGGAAAATGGTTTTGAAGTGTTAAGCATCAGCTGCCACATCTCCCGAACAGGCAAGTGAGCTGGGCAACACGGCAGCTCAAAGCTGACTGAGAAGAAACCACATGTGTAGTGGGGAAAACACAGCCCCTGGAGTCTGAAGACCTGCCTCCTACTCCCTGTGTCTTCAGTAGCTCTGGGACTAGATGAGTAATTTCATTCTGATAACCAAAATCATTTACCTGGAAATTTCTCTGAGTGAGGAAGGATAAGATAGCTTGGCAATATTACCTAGAAGAAGGCTCATTATTCCACTCCCTGACTTACAAAAAGATATCACATTGAACATTTTAGGTGAAGGACAAATTGCACTGTACTGAAATGTTCAGACAAGAGGGTGGTAAGTCTAATCTATCTGCCATAAGGAAATGAGATGGTTTACATAAGTGAATATGCTAAAAGACTTAAGCTTACATATTTAGAAATGAAATTTTTGCTTAAGACTGGTCTAAATATATATATTGCCCACTTTACAACCTTTTTGAGCATCCATTTTTACAATATAATATAAATTCAGGGATGACTCCAGACTGCCGGGTTGCTTGCCCTGGCACAAAATGACTCTATACTTTATATTGGGTGATTCTACTTTCTCTTCTGTGTTCTCCCTATTTAGAAGTTGCAAGTTCTTTGTGTGTCATCTTCTAGAAATATTTATCTCCTAGTCAACTAGACGATCAACTAGGCAAGCTTGGTAACAAGAATTCTTAAGTGCAAAAACAACTATAATTTGAATCCAACAGGCAGTAGTCTGAAAGTGTAACCTGCATGTCCTAGGGGGAAGAAGGTGCGTACCAGCTATAATCTGTGGTTGTATATGGAGTTGGGAATGCTGGGGTAATGGAAAGAAGTCTCATAAAAAGCAGAGTTCAGTGGAATTGATAAATAATTTATTATTTGTAGCTCATTTTCCACTTACAGGTTTAGAAGAGGAGATGGTTAAAACTTTTAGCTAAAATAAGATTTTGAGGTCACTGGCAGGTGATGGTTTTCTGTTTTATCCATGAGCCAATTCCTAATTCCTTCTCCAACATTAAATATTTTATCTGAGAGTTTAAAAACTATCAACAGTTACTGGCTTGAACTTAACCTATTAACTTTTTTGCCTGATCATGATATAGCTATACATACAACAACACTATATTTAAAAATGAGGAAGTGATGACAAAGTTACAGGAGGGTGGAAGAACAAAATTTATGTTTGTTTTATAAACATTTACTTATGTTTCTGAAATTTTTCATTTTACGTACACTGCATTTGAGTAGTCCAATAAGACTGCATACACTGAATAGGTATTATTCATCACCATGACCATTTGCTCTCACAAATGGTAAAACTGGGGGCACAGAAAGACAAATATTGCATTATCTCACTTATATGCAGAATCTAAAAAAGTTGAACTCATAGAGAGTAGAATCGTGGTTACCAGGGGCTTTGAAGTGAGGAGGGGTTGGGGAGATGTTGGTCAAAGGATGTAAAATTTCAGTTCTACAGGAGGAATACAAGGATCTATTGTACTACATGGTCACTATAATCACTGGAAATGTATTTGTGCAAAAATCACTAAGAGAATAAATTTTAAATGTTCTCACCACAAAAATGGTAAGTATATGAGGTAATGCATATGTTAATTATGGCTTGACTGAGCCATTCCACAATGTATACACATTTTAAAACAGGTTGTTTACAATAAATATATATGATTTTTATTTGTCAATTAAAAACATAATTCAAAAAACAAGTAGAGAAACTGGGCTTCAAAGAGAGTAAGTGACTTGATCAAGGCCCAGGGAACACAGTAAGTGGCAGACTTTTCTCTATACCTCACTGCTTCAGGGTGAGGAGGAGTCAACTTGATGCTTATGTACATGATGTCTCCAGACATAGTATCACGATTGACATCATTTCCCCATTTCCACCTCACTAGACACAGAAGGTAACCTGTAATATCAATAGCATCACCACATGCTACCATGGGAGGCGATCTTGGCAATCTCCTTCAATGTCACCGTTCTACTTCAGTCAACTGAGGTTCAGAGAGGTTCCAACTTGTCCAGGGTCATATAGTACGTCCTTTGCACAACAGGAGTAAATCCAGGGCTATTGATATGCGGTGATGCTCTCCTGGACTTGGCAGTGTTTCTTAAACTGCAGTTACTTGAGCACAGCCTTCAAGATTCTTTTATTATCCTTGCACTATTTATTACTTCTTCAATCGTTTTTTAAATTGACACACTTTTTAAAACCCAAATACCTGTTTTAGCTTTGTTCTCAGCAAAAATATCCCCAAAACTACTGGTCTGATAAGCCATTTTTTCCTTTAAATAAAAATGAAAATAAATAACTCAAAATAAAAGTACACATCTTTGTGTTACATAAAAGCCCTCAGTTACTACTGGTGGTATTTAAGAGGCACTGTTCTGTGCCATTCTCTAAAATCTATGCTGTACCATTTCTCTTTAGCTAATTATTTAGTCCATATGATGCTCCTCGGAGCACATTTCAAATTGAATCGAAAACTAAGTGCATGTGAAAATTTAATAAAGACTGATTTGATGACTGGGAAGTTACTTAAGGATGCAGAGATCCCCTAAGAGGAAAAAGATAATGTGGCCTGTGAGTGGAGTGAACGCACATACTCTGCCTCGTTTTCCCCTGCTTGGAACACCCATTCCCTCAGGTACAGGCGCTTTCGGTGGGTGGGCTCGTGGCCACGTCCTGCCATTGTTCTGGGGTTGGAGCCCTGAGCATTAGATCTTGACTGTGCCTTTCCCCAGGTTTCCCAATCAACAGTCAATGCCCAGAAACTAATGCATGCTGTGAGGCACAGCTTCAAAATGTGCTCACCTTCGTGGCACAGTTCTGAGATGCCCAGGCCACTGCCTATACATGCACATGAACACACAACTCAGCCCCCAAAATATTTTTCCAACCAGCTCCCAAACACTTGATATTCTACTATTAAATGTTTATTGTTTTAGCCTAAGAGTTTCCTTATTTTTAAATTACAACTAATCAGGAACACATCATTCTTTATGCCCTATCTATCATATGGACCTTAAAGTTAATGCGTTTATTCCATCCGTTCATATGAAAAGTTTTTAAGTGCAAGGAGGATGAGAGGTAGGGAGATAATGGATAGAAAAAAAATAGAAGCAAGTGCCCAATTTGGGGATTCAGGAGGTGGGAAGTGTAAGTAATCAGGCAGGCAGTTTTTTGCCCATCACTGCAGAACTCCAGGATAGTCATGCCATTTCATAAAGGAACTGAAGCAATATTCTCTGGCAGGCAAAGTCTCCTACATGACCAAAATGAGAGTCTACAGGAACCTGGGTCTGCAGGGCAGACCCAAGAAGCAAGTGGGCAGCTTCTTGTCAGATAATAATGGCAATTACACATCCCTACTTGCTGGCCTTGCTTCTGTTCTTTAAATCAACAACTTTCAGCATCCTTATTTTGCTGTGAGCAGAAAGTCAACAGTCCTTCATAAAAACGAGGATGTGTTTGAGTCACTGGGGGGTATATTTAAAGGACATCATTTGTGAACTCTAACATCAGAACCTAAGCAATGATGACACCCTTTTTGCAGCTCGACAACATTCTGTTCTTGGGGTTAAGTTTGCAGCAGACTGTTCTGAGAAGTACATGAACTAGGATTATAGGATTGCTAGTCAAAGCACCCAGACTATTAGAAAATTTAAAACTCTGATCTTATTTACATGGTTTGCTGAACTCATGGAAACAAAAACCAAAAGATTTACCACTGGAAACCTTAAATGAACTGATGCTGTCTCAAACTTGTAAAAAATTATTTTCTCTCTTTCCTTAGAAATATCTAACTATACTCCAATGCACATATAGTACATGATGACAATATTAATGAATGGCCAAAATGTAAATCTTGTCTTTGATGCTGAGAGCTGGTAACGCCTTTCTGTTCCCAATCTTGGTTTCTTTGTTTTCATTTTTCTTCCCATTTATTCTCTTTTCCCGTTTTGCCTTTCTCTCGCCTCTCTACCTTCTGATAGCTGCAAAAAAAAAAAAAAAAAAAAAAAAAAAAAAAAAAAATCACAATGATAAACCATCTCCCAAACCCACATTGGGCTTCCTTCTCTAGTGTCACCCCAATGACATGGCCCCATCTCCCCTAGGTCATCCTTCTTCCTCCTCCCCTCTTCCTCTGTACCTTTATAAAGTCATTATCTCCCAGTTGGAGGGTGTTCATTTTTCAGCCTAATTTAGAATGGTGCTACTGAGAGAATGATTTGGGTTGTTTTGCTGATCCCCCTAGGGAGAATTAGAAACAGGAAACTGCAGGCTAACATGGAGGATTCCAACACATGTCTATTTGTTAAACACTGTGATATGCCAGACAGTAGGTCAGCATAGGAATGCATGTTGTATAAGGTGTGTTAATCACATACTTACAAATTTGAATGTTTCTTAACAAGACGCATGAGCAATAAAAAATTATAATAATAAAATAGCTATCTTATGAATCTTAGAGAGTTAGGATTGTAAAATACCAAATATAAACCTTCTCCCTTAGTTCCAGTCTTTTCCATTACAATAAAGGTGGGCTTCGAGTTACACAACATAATAATTTTCCAAACAGAAATGGACTTCTGTTTAAATGCATGCAGAAACCCACTATGTGCAATGTTTCTTAATGTGTGGGCCAAGACCACCTGCATCAGAATCATCAAGGGTGTTTTTAAAAAAATTCAGTTTTCTGAGTTTCACCCCAAACCTGAATCATACCCTCTGCAGGGTGGGGCTTGGACATCTGCATTTTAACAGGCTCTCTCAGGGTCATCCCAGACCACCTCAGTCTCAGAAACACTTTGGGAGAAGGATCATTCTGTGAAGCAAAGCAAAGCAACATTTTTACAAAGAAAATAAGCCTTCTCTAGTTTTCTGAAAAATATGGATTTTTAAACATCTGTACTTATGATTTGCTTAAAGTATGGTATGTCTGTTCATTGCACTGCATATGTTTGGGATCTGTCACAAAGAAAACTGCGCTACCACCAGTCACTATGGGGTGACTTCCAAGAAGGCAGCTGTTCAGGTAAAGTTCCAGGAACCCACTCTTGAAAATGTACTGAAATCGACTATCCCTGGGTCTTTTCCCAGAAAAGACATCTATGGTGGTAACTCTTTGGGGATAGTAGTTTGTATTTGGTTGGGTTTGATTCAGTCCTCTTATATGGACTTGGCATCTCACGCCCTTTGCTGAGATAATCTCTGGCCCAGGCCCCAAACCGAGCATAGAAATATCTGTTACTGGCCAGGCGCAGTGGCTCATGTCTGTAATCCCAGTAATTTGGGAGGCCAAGGCGGGCGGATCACTTGAGACCAGGAGTTCGAGACCAGCCTGTCCAGCATGGCAAAACCCCATCTCTATGAAAAATATACAAATTAACTGGGTGTGGTAGCGCACGCCTGTAATCCCAGCTACTCAGGAGGCTGAGGCAGGAGAATCGCTTGAACCTGGGAGGCAGAAGTTGCAGTGAGCCAAGATCGCACCACTGTACTCTAGCCTGGGAGACAGAGCGAGTTCCTGTCTAAAAAAAAAAAAAAGAAAAGATAAAAGAAAAGGAAAAGAAAAGAAAAAGAAGAGAAATACCTGTTACCAAGACTGAAGAACTTGCCTGCTTTAAGATGTAAGACTATACAGTCTGTGTCTTACCCTTGGCTTCTCAGAAGCCATGGGCACCGTCTACGTTGCAAGTCCTCTTCGTTTTTTAAAATTTTGCCTTCTTCCTCACTGCCATTTTTTGCCACTGAAGCTCAGCTTTTAAGCAGAAGCTCCCTGGGACTAAGAGCTTGAGGACCCCGAGAGAGAGAGAGAGAGAGAGAGAGAGAGAGAGAGAGAGAGAGAGAGAGAGAGCTTGAAGACCCCATATGAGTCTGTTGTCTGTCAACAAAGCATTTTGAGCTAAGCCCAGTTGTATGTCCAGATTTTTTTAATCAACAAAATTGGAGGAAGGAATATATGTCACAGTTTGCAAAAATGGGCTTTTGTGTATTCTGAGAAAGTTATTCTAAGAATAGGCCTGTGGAAGACCTAGCAGGGAAAAATATGAGCAAAAGAGGAATTCTCAAAACGCCTGTGAAATCTCTTCCTGAGAATGCTCAGAGACAGATCCCTGCTTATCTCCTTCCTCTGACCTGCAGCACCCCAGAGAGGATGTGGTTGGCTCTTGGAACAGGAAGGGAATTGCCATAAATCTGAGCTAATTTGGAAAGGGAAGGATGGAGCAGATACGCAGCAATCAATAGAACGATGTCTTGTTTTGTGGTAAATGTTTACTGGCTCTGTTGCTGGAATGTAATCCTGCTGCATCAGAACATGGGCTATTAGAGGTGAAATGAGTTCACGTAACATCCTCCCTGTATAGTTGGTATACATCATTCCTCTGAGTACCAGAGTCCATGGTCTCATGATTCCGACTAGAGAAAAGGTTTTGGATGATTCTCTACATCATCTTTACTTTTATTATTTCATGATTCCTAAGAAAGAGAAAAATGACCAATTTCTCCTTCCTTAGCCCACATTTGCAGGATGGGCTGTATAAATGCCACTTAACATTTCCTTCCACTCCTGAAAGTGCAAACAAGGAGAGAAAACCACAATGAGAACAGCAACTAAATTGTTCCTTTACTGACTAAGCTAGAGGAGGGATCCATTGCTCAGCTGCTGAGGGGAGAAGGAGGCGAAGCATGTGTCTCCTTGTCATGGAAAGGAGAGGGTATTAAAAATGCTTTGACTGAAAAGCAAGTGCACTAATTGATTGTTAATGACTGCACAGCCCTAAATGTCTGGAATTTGGTTTAGATTCAATGTAATTTGACATTTGCCAACCATTATTAAATCCCTTTGATGCTTTCCCTGTGCTGTGCTGATGAGCAGCTGATTGGCTCTTGGGGACAGAAAATGTGAATGGTTGGGCACCAAGTCAACGGGGTGTCTGGAAGACAGCCAATTCACCCACACCCCTCAGCCTCCCCAGGCTCATTGCTGTGGCATTCTCCATGCCTCGTTCTTCTTGGGTCCCCTTTCCTGTTTCTGCCAGCTCTATTCTCTTCTATCCTCATTCTCAAAATTGCATTCCTTTTCCAGCAGCAGTTCACTTTAAAAGCAAAATGTATCCTCTGCTCTATTGGCTGCTCCAACTCAGACGTCAACATCTCCTTGCAAAGAACAAAAATGTACTACAATTGTATCAAGGTAAAAAGATTAATAAAAAAGATGTAGAGGGATTAGATGAAACCCTGTTGGAAAAATCATCGCTGTGGGAATTTGAGAGTTATCAGGCCTCTCCCTCTCTCTCATTTCATTTCTCCTTTTCTTTATATATTTTCTCTTCCTTCCACAAACGAACTTCCTTGCCTCCTCACCCATTGCATATGGCCTAATGTCACTTCTATCATAGCTGCCTCTAAACTTCCTTAGTCCCAGGCTCTACAGAACCTGTTACCTGGCTCCCCACTGACACGGTCTCTGGGTCCCCATTCCAATTTCCCATGAGAAAGAATTTAATTGGCCAGGCTCCCAGGTGGCTGAATTGGCTGTTGCTCTGGGACAAGGCCAAGGCACATGTGTTTATCCTTCCAGAACCAAGGCTGAACCATAGGCAAGAAGGAAAAGATGGGCAGCTCAGGTGTGCTTCCTCAGTGCAATGCAAGAGGCTTCCTATTTATTTTGGGGTCAACTCCCTCAGAATATTCAACACAGCCTTGCAAATAGTTCTATTTTGTGTGTTTATAATTTACAGTGTACGCCAACTCTTGCATTGACCCACTCACTTTTCCAGAACTACCAATTGTTCCTCATCCATACTTCTGCTGCATCTTCTTGCAAAAGTCTTAAGGGGTAAAAAAATTCAGAGCACTTTTCAAGACAGTGAATCAAGAGAGAATCAAGAGGAGAACTAAGAGGAAAATCAAGAGGAAAGCTGCATAATGAAGAAAAAACCCCACATTATTCCATTACAGTGAGGACAAAGATGAGTTTTCTTATTGCCAGGTGTGAGGCAACATGGTGTACAGGCAGAAATGATGGTGGATGAGGAGTCAGGAAGCATTGTCCTAGCTCTAGCTGTGCCTCTGGTGAGCTTTGTGACCTGAGGCACATTGCTTAGCCTTTCTGGGCCCCATTCTTTCTTTCCTAAAACATAAAAAGAATGGATTAACTGAATTTTAAAGTTCTATTCATAAATTCTGTGATAATATAATTTCCAGAAATATTTGACATAAAAATTATAGAACAGCAAAATAATTTGAATGGTCCCAGAGAACTGTTTATCTTTTCCATCGTTCTTTTCATTCATTCAACAAATATTTATTAGGACTGTTTTACATGCTGGCAATCTCTGTGCTAGGCTCTGAGTACACAAATGACAACAGATACAATCTTCCACAGAATGCACAATTGAGCACATGAAGGAAAATCTTTATCATCTACATTGTAGTATCTCCGGGGTAAGCCTTCGTTTTACATTTAATGCTGCTTTCTCCTACAAAACTGATGACATGTGGCTTCTCTTTTTCTTGCCCTAAGTGACTGCAGACTTCAGTCTCCTGGGGAAGCCCTTGGAAACCCTAACACCCTAACTGCTGCAGAGAAACATGGACATGGCTGGAGAGAGACACTGGGCCTCTTTTCCATATCCTTCTGTGTCAGATCTTTCCAACAGGACTTCCTCTTCTGGTTTAGAATAACTTCCAAAAACATCAGAAGCCCTATATTGCAAGATAAATGTAAAAACATGGTGAAGCACAACCAGACACTAATTATGAATTATCCGCCATGTTTTCCATCCAAGCTGTATTAATTAGCTCCTGGAGATGATTTTAAGAATTACACGATTTGATTCATGGACAATGAGGGAAGTCAGGCCTGGCACATGTAACATGCTTGATAAGTGCTGGCTGTCATTATCTTTACTAACAGAAATTCTCATCATTCTGGGGCGGGGGCGGGGTGTTTCTGGATCTGAAGGTAATCATGGTTCTTGGAGAAATGCGCACACTGCTCACGCTCAGCCCGAAGCTTGGACTGTGGCCTCAGCTTTGGGGTTCAGGACAAGAAAGACAATGGTGGGGATCTCCATTTGTGGCACTTGGCCTCTCTCTTTCCCTTCCTCTTCTGCAGCCCCCCAAGTGCCGTGTCCCCCACTCCACACAGAGCCAAGATGCCCCTTAACAGGGGGATCCTCAGCGAGCCTGGGGCAGGTGTTTCCCAGGTTCCATCCTGCTCTTTGTCCGGAGACTTCATCCTTGAAAAGCTAATCAATGCACTCTCAGAAAACAGAACCCCGGTGGGAATGTTTGCCATTTTCTTTGCTAAGTGTTAGTTTTTCCATATTAGAGGTCTGATTTCCTGCAATTCTTGGAGAGCACTGGGAGGAAGAAGGGTGAGGAAATTGGGCCAGCGGCGCAGTGATTAAGCGCCCGCTCATTTCTGTCCCCTTTCCTTCCCAACAGCAACAAAGACCATTTAGGCCTCCCTGCCTCAGTTATTTTGGTATAGAGAGAACAATGGCATTGTTCATGTATTCTAGATGGTCTGAGCAGAAGATTCAGCTCTTTCCCCTCGGTTCTGTCACTCACCAGCCGTGTGACTTTCCGGGGGCATCGCCTCCCTGGGCCAGTTTCTTCAGCCGTTTAAAGGAGACAACACTTGCTTGTTCAATGACTTGGATTTCCTTCAAAATAAAATATCAGGAAAGTCTAACATACTATTATTATAATAAAAGACTTCTGTCTTGGGAAATAGCACTCAGTGAGAGTTGAAGAAAAGAGAGAGAAGCTGAGAGAAAAGGGAAAGGTACCGAAGAGTGTTTCAGCAGAATATTCTGAGCCATTCTTCCACCCGTCCCCCATCTCTCTCTAAGGGGACCTTTATATTGGTTGTCACAAACCAATCACGGGTGGTAGTACTTCTAGTACTATAATAGTAAAGCTGATTGGGTTGATTTGACTTGGTTATTTAGATTTTTAATAACAGCTCTAACAGGCATAAAATAAAGAGAAAACAATTTATCAAAGTAATTACTAGCAAAGCTAGGACAATAATGGTGAACTATTAATAGTGAAAGCTATACCCATTTTGGTTGTTATGTTACAGCTCTCCAAGATCTTTAACATCTTACCTCATTTAAGAGTCATAATAAATCTGTGAGGTCAGGAGGGTAGATTTTCTCTAAGCCCAACTCCCTATCTTATCTGTTCTTTGTTTTTTGAGTGAGGAAACTGAAGCCCAGGGAGGTTCAGTCCCAGCAGTCCTAAGCTATAAGGCTAAGGTCAAAACATCACTCTCCTGTCCATTCTCTTTCTCACCCACTGTGTGCTACCAGCATTTCATTAAGCAATTTTTACCCTACTGTAATGGGATGTCCAAATATTCGGTTCACTTAATAGATGCTTATATTTATAATTGAGTTATAAATATCCTGAAGGTTTTTTCAGAGGGTAAGTTGAAATATATTTTTAAGTCCATTTTTAAAGCTAAAAACACAACTACATTTTTGTGTTTGGTCACTTATAAGGTCAGGCATTTCTGTTTAGTATTGTAAAAACTGTATGACACAGGAATTGGGATTAGGATTAATTAATTTACTAATTTAACTAGTGAGTAGACAATGAGCTAAAGATTGTGCCAAACGCTAGGGATTCCAAAGATGCACAAGGCAAATTCTATTAGTTAGAACTGAACATTTATGTTTACTTATTTATTTTTGGTGGTGACAAAAACTCGAAGTGGTCTATGCACAATGGGGAGTTCATTATAAGGACTCTAGGGTATAATTTATTATAGGGATACTAGGGTGTCTTTGTGCAAACCCTAGCAGTGAAACATGACTTCTAGAATGGGGGGTTCAAGAGCTCAGGACCCTCCATCTGAGCTCTGTTCCCCTCAGTTCATTTATTTCATTCTTCTATTTCTAAAGACTTCCATTGATTTTGCCCTTATTGTCAGAAAACAGGGCTACCAATTGCTCTGAAATTTCTTGCTTCAAAACCAGAGAGACTGAATTCCTTTTCTCAGTTCCAATTCCAGAATTCCCGAGGAAAGCCACTGATTAGCCCTGGACCAGGAGCTCACCAGATAACTCTGCCCTGTGGGGTGGGATTCTCTGCTTCTGTCAGGTGCCTACCTCCAACCCATCAGCAGGGGCAAGGTGTGGGGTCACACTGGACTAGGATGGTGGACCCTATGATAACCACATGGGTGTAGGTGAACAGGAGCTGTTACTGGAAGGTGGAGGTGAGGAAGACAATCCCATGAACACTGGACAGTCCCTACCCTCCTGAAGCTCCCAATCTAGTGATCTATAAACAGATGACACTATAATGTTAACATAAGCTAGATTTGAGAAGTAGATCACAATATTCAAAAAACACAGAAAAAGGAACAATTACTCTGCTTAGAGGGAGGAGTCAGGGAGGCTGTATAGGGAAAGTGAGGTTCAACCTGAGTCTTGAAATAGAACAAGAAAATCATCAGTGAGGAAAGGGCATGGCGGGCAGAAGAAACTGTGTGTCTGGAAGCTCAGAGGCATGGAATCCCAGCATGAATGAGTGAAAGAATAAGGCTGGGAAAGAAAACAGAGCTCTCTATCCCTTTGTACCTGTGACCCATCCACTTTCCCCATCCTTTAAGGAGCAAACGAGGTCCTAAAATAACAGAAACATGTTTCATGGAACCATTGGCTTTTCAGAGCATTTTTATGAATTCATTAGTTTCACACAATTTTGTCTTATGATGTGGAATTCCTGATTCCCTATGATGTAGGTAGTAAGCACTCTTTTTTTTTTTTTTCATTTCATTGATGAGAAAAGAAATTTTTAAAAGGTTGTGACTTGGCTGTCATTAGTTTAGTGTTAGAACTGGAACTAGAACCCAGGTTTTTTGTTTTGTTTTTGAGATGGAGTCTCGCTCTGTTGCCCAGGCTGGAGTGCAGTGGTGCGATATCGGCTCACTGCAGCCTCTGTCTCCCAAGTTCAAGCAATTCTTCTGCCTCAGCCTCTCGAGTAGCTGGGACTACAGGCACACTCCACCATGCCCAGCTAATTTTTGTATTTTTAGTAGAAATGGGGTTTCACCATATTGGCCAGGCTGGTCTTGAACTCCTCACCTCGTGATGTGCCTGCCTTGGCCTCCCAAAGTGTTGGGATTACAGGCGTGAGCCACTGTGCCCTTCTGAACCCAGGTTTTTAATATACAACTCACTTCTTTCAGCTCCCTCCTCCAGGTTTTCCTTTAATGCCAATTTAAGGGATCACATCTGTGTCACTAATAATTCGGTCTGTTATGAAAAACCACTTGGATGGTCCCCAAATAAGTTGTATATATTTTACTTTGGTCAGCTATTTAAAAAATCTTCTAAAACATCCATTAGAGAAAATCATCTAAAAGAAGGGATTCTTGTCATCTGGAGTGGGAAGGAAGGGAGACAAAAATGCCATTTCAAGAACTAGCTTATTCCTAAGATTCTTTTGTTATAACAAGTACGTGCAGGTTTAAATGAGTCACATAATGTGTAAAATGAATGGATGATAATTTTTTCACCTTACAAAAGGATTGCCTGCTTGCTTTGGAAGCCACATGAAGAAAGGGAATGTATCACATTTTTGAAGAGCTAGAATTTGTCCAGTGTGGTCTGCTGTGCCTGGTACATTATAAGTGCTCAATAAATGTTTGATGAACAAACACAAGGAATTTTTTTACAAAATAAGGTCACAGTATAGATCTTTGATTAAAAGCAAGAGTCAGATACACTTGGGATCAATTTTTGGCTGTACCACCTACTAAATGTGAAGCAATTGGCAAATTATTATCTAGGCCTCTGTCTCCTTAGCTGTAATATGGAAATAATAATGGTACTTAGTCTCAGTGTTGTTTATTTGTTGAATAAATATTCATTAGGTAAATATTTATTGGGCATCTACTAGGCTAATATGCACTGTTCAAAGTTAAAGGGCATATATTTCAGAAAGCAGAGGTGACAGGGTTCCTAGACAATAAATAAGGAAAAAAATCTGTGAACAAGTTAATTAAAATTGTGATGCAGTGCTGCAAAGGAAATAAAGAGGGTAATGCAGACTTGACAGTGAGCATGGGAGCACTTGAGACAGAACGATCAGAAAAGGCTTCCCCAAGGAGGTGACACCTGAACTGAGATCTGAGGAGAGGAGAGTGAGCATCAAGGGTAGAGTTTTCTGGGCAGAGGAAGCAAAAGCAAAGCCCAGGGAGGAGACAGGAGTGCAGAGCTGGAGGACAGAGAGGAGTCCGCTGGGGACTGAGCAAACAGAACAAATGTATACTTGGTGGAAGAGAGGCTGGAGAGTGGCCAAATAATGGAGTGCCTTATAGGGCAAGGTGAGGGATTGCTCTAAGAGCAATAAGGAGCCACCGAGGGATTTAAACAGAGGAGCAGCCTTATCTGATTTACATTTTTAAGCAAACACTCTGTCTCAGTAAAGAGCATCAGCATCCACCAAAGTGATTATGTGAAAAACTTGAGTCCCTCTTGGTTCCTCACTTCCCTCTCCCCGCCATCAGCAAACTCGGCGAACCTGCTCTCTAAAATATAACCTAAGCATCTTAATTTTTCTCCACCTCTACTAAAATCACTTCCATCTGAGCTACCATCTCTTGTCTAGGCTATCTGCGATCCTACCTTAGACTCTGTAAGTTTGAGAACTTATTAGATTTTCAAAGCGGGAAGTGAAGTAGGCAGTTGGACGTTTAAGACTAAAGCTCCGTACCCTAAAACTTAAAGTATAATAATAATTTAAAAAAAAAAAAGACTAAAGCTCAGGCTGGATTACATACGATAACACATATAAAATACCTGGCAAAGCACCTGGCTTCTAGAATGTTCTTAATATACGTGGTCTTTTTTTTTTTTTTTTTTTTTGGTAACACCCATTCTCTCAGTGCATTTTGACAAGATAAAAACATCAAGGGATTTAGAGCAGAAGATTTGGGTTCATGTCTTAGTTTAAAAGAAACATGGCTTTGGACAAGTCCTAATTTCCCTGAGCCACTATTTCCTCGTCTGTGAAATGAAGATGCTGAACACTTGTTCTTCCTATTATGCAGGGCTCTTGTGGGCTTCAAATAGGATGATAGATGTTAAAATGCTTTGTAAGCTGAAAAGCAACTTTTCATGAGCAGTCAACTGTACGAAATTATATGTAATTCACTTTCCCTGTGTATGTGACCTCTCAGGTTCCTATACTGTAAGGAAACATTATAAAATATATTTCCTTATAGGGCACTGGGGTCTTTAGCTTACAGGAGTCCCAGATTCTTTTTTTTTTTTTTTTTTTTGAGACGGGGTCTCTGTGTCACCCAAGCTGGAGTGCAGTGGTGCAATCTCAGCTTACTGCTACCTCCACCTCCTGGGCTCAAGAGATTCTCCTGCTTCAGCTTCCTGAGTAGCTGGGACTACAGGCGCCCACCACCATGCCCAGCTAGGGAGTCCCAGGTTCTTGAATCTCAGCCTTATATGGCCCAAACCAGCACTGTCCAAAAGACCATTCTGCTAAAATGGAAACATTGTATGTCTGCACTGTCCAATAGGGCAGCCACTAGCCATTGTAGATACTGAGAACTTGAAATATGGCTAGTGTGACTAATAAATATTACTTTTTCTTTTTAAATTTTACTTAATTTAAACTTAAATTCCCAGGTATGGCTAATGGCTATTGTATTGAAGAGTGCAAGTCCAAATGCTCTACTTTCTTGGGTCCTTATCCGTAAAACAAGAACCCAGTAAAATCTTTTCTAGTTCTATCTATGCCTCTACATGCACAGTTTAGAAATAGATAAGCCAATTTGGATAGAATAAGGGTTGAATCCTGAGTCGCTTTCTTTTAAACTCTCAAGTTTAATATAACACTAGACTTTTTTTAAAATTTGATATCTTATTTATTTATCAACAAGAGGGAAGACTTCAAAACAATGGCAACACAATCGTAAGTAAAAGGTCATCCTGGAAGATGAACTATTTAAGAAACACATTCTCCCGGGAGTTATATTTGGGTATCAAGTCGATTACTTGTTCCAAAGTGAATATCCTTCATTTCTCATCAAGAAAGATCACTAGAGAAAAAATATTTGGAATTGAATAGATAAACGAATGGCTGCCACGGGGGTTGTTTATATGATGCTGTCAGTTGTGAGGTCACCGGGGCTTCCATGATGAAGCTGGCACTAATTTTGTTTCTTTATATAAGAATTGTGTTCCTAAACTGAGTATTTAGAACCTAAGGTGCAATCTAATTTTTTAAAATAGACAGAAATGGAAGGCAACATGATTGAAGTGTTTGGGGAAAAAGTGGGAACTCAGAAGAAAGGAACCCCAAGACAATTGAAAGGACTAAAGACGAGAGATGGAGAGAAGTAAGAAAATCTTCTGAAAGGAAGAAATGAATACAGTACTGAAATCAAGAAGACAGAGAGAAAACAGATTGGGGTAGGTGGCATGAGGATCAGAGAAGAAATTCCAGATTCATTTGTGAAAGACACCAGGAGCTAAACTTATCTATGGGGGAAAAAAGGAGCAAAAATGAGGAAGACCAGAAAAAAAAATTGCTTTGGAAAGAACGATAGTGACAAGGTAGTGAGGACATGGAGGAGGGACAGCTGTCATCTCATTTAATTAAAAAATTATTAATGGAACAGACGGGATAACCACACTGATCCTTTACAGATAAGATGCTACTATAAAATTTCAGATAATAGCAGTGGAAGGCTGAAAAGTTACTGAGAGCAAAAGTGGTAAGAATGCTAATTTAATTGATAATAACATTATACTTAGCACAATGCTTAGGAATTTAAAAATCACACATTAAATACATTTAAATGACTATGGTTATCATCTAATTATGGTTGTTTAAATAATGTAATATAATTAAATGCTTTAAAAAAAAAGCCCTAGTACTTTTAAATGATCACTCTCACATTCTGAATTCTCCTTGTGAGCATTTAGTGTTCAACACTGCAGTCCTGGTGGAGGTAGTATTATCCTGACAGCCACACCTTTCCAAACACATGAGGTTGTTGGGTTAGAAGAAGATAAATATCAAACTTAGCTTCAGAATGCCTTATCATTATTCTCCATCCCTTATTCTTCCATTATCAGAACAGGTAGCTTCTCTCCTCAATTACTTTGTCTCTTTCCTCTCTGTTCCCTCACCAAGCAGGGTTCCCTAACATGTCCCCTTGCCCTCATCTTAAGACAACGTGGCATAAATCCTGCTGGGCTAAACTTGAAATAGGTCATCCAGGTGCTCAGCTATACAAATGTACTTCACAAAAAGACGTCTGAGTTTGGGAATTGGAAGCCAAGAACCATAGACTTGAGGCTGTGACCACATTGCTGACGATGGTCGGAGGTGAGAAAGGCAACACTTTGCTCTCCTGACTCTTTTATGGTCAGTCAGTCCTGGAATTTTTCTTACTTCGAGTAACAGCCTCGCAGTGGGTGGAAAGAAAAAGACAAAGCAAGTCACTTATTTAAAAATACCTTTATTTTAGCTGATAATACATGAGTGTTGTAAATTGTTTAGAAAAAAAATACAGAAAAAGTTAGAGCTCTTATAACCCTACCCAGAGACAATCACAATCAAAAATTTGATGCATCTGTTTCCAGAAATCAACATATATACTAACATAAATGTGATATTATCTATGGACTGTTGTATAGGATTCTTTTTTAACTTCATGTGCAGTGGCCATATTTCACATCAATACGCCATACTTCATTGAATCAAAAATACATGTAATTGTAAGATTATGTGCCCATTAAGAAGGAAAAAAATTGCTGCTGATTATAAGTGGCAGATTCCTTTGACTATAAGACACATCCTTATTTCAGAGATGCTAAAAGAATAAAAAAGCATCTTATAAATGATGAAAGACAGTATTAAAAACCTACCTTCACCTTTTTGACAGCTGCATAATATTGCATTGTATGGCCATATCGTAAATTACTTAACAATTCCCCAGGATTGCACATTAGTGTTGTTTCCAATATTTTCATGAATTTCCTTAATGTATATCTTTGCACACTTGTTAGGTTAACTTCCTCAGTCTGAATTCCTAGAAGTAGAATTGATGGATTGCATGTTAATTCGCTCACTGTAGCCATTCTACAATGTATACACATTTCAAAACAACATGTTGTACAAGATAGATATATACAAATTTTGTCCATTTAAAATTAATTAATTAATTAAAAGAATTGTACAGATTATTTCATCACCCAGGAATTAAGCCTAGTACCCATGAGTTATTTTTCCTGATCCTCTCCCTCTTCCCACCCTCCACCCTCTAATAGGTCCCAGTGTGTGTTGTTCCCCGCTATGTGTCCATGTGTTCTCATCATTTAGCTCCCACTTATAAGTGAGAGCCTGCGGTATTTGCTTTTCTGTTCCTTAGTTAGTTTGCTAAGGATAACAGCCTCCAGCTCCATCCATGTGCCTGCAAAGGACAGCCCCATGACATGAGTTCACCTATATGACAAACTGGCACATGTACCTCTGAACTTAAAAGTTGAAAAAATTACAATGAATTATAACTTTCCTTTGCTAAAAAATGTAAAAGAGTCGATGAATTAAATAAGTATGTAAATCTTGTTTACACCAGATGATACTGGTTTGCATTCCGACCAGTTTTGTATCAGAGTACATAGTTCCTCAGGCTCTCAGCAATTGTCATACTATTAATACCCACTTATGCCTAACCTGGACCTCAAATAAGAAAAGTCCAAAGCTATACACCTCATTTGTCACTCAATATTATTCTTGTCTTTTGTCTTGGCATTTCTTATATTCAAGAGACTTCAGGAATTTGACATGATGATGTCTGTAGATGATTCCCTAATAATCGACAAAGCCCAGATCTGTTTACTTGTACAGAGCTACCTTTAACAACAGGGGTGTATGTGATGATCTACATTATTACTCATTATCTTTCTGACAGTTAGCAAGAAAGCCTAAACAAAGATCATGAATATTTGGATGTGACTTAATAGCACCAGGAACTAGAAGTTAGGTTTTAGGCTACTTTCCTGAAATCTTGTTTATTTTATCTGAAATCCCTGAACCCACACTGTGTACTAGGTTGTAGAAACACAAAGATGGGCAGCTTAACAATTCTGTCCTGGGAACCTACAGTCCAATGGGGGAGATGAGATACACTCATATATAAAGTTATAGAACAATGGAAGACAAGTTCATCAATTTCATAAGACAGGATATTATTTAGCGTCAAATGCGCAGACATGAAGTCCAGAATTTGAATGAAATCTGGAGTTAGAATGCCCTACCCTCTGAGAGGCACCAAGCCCAGTGCTAATGTGCCGTGACCCTCTGGAAGCACAAAGATGACACATGGTCAATCCCTTTATAAGCAGCATCTGTGTCCTGTACCGTCCCGCAGGAGTCTGCGGCATGTCAACAAATGCTCAGTCTTTTCCTGGAGCACCAGAGGCACAGCTGTACCAGTGTCCTCTGTGTCCTGGAGGGGAGGAGCAGGACCATTTGACTCCAGATCCTTTTTGGGAAGAGTGCCCCTAGGGCAAGACCCACAGTCCTAGGATACAGAGAGTGCACAACTGAGGGGCTGCTATGCTAAGAAAGTGCTAATTCATCGATCACATTTCTATGCCCAGTGGCATAGGAACTAAAGTCCCATCCATAAAGCAAGCTTCCCGGTTAATCAGCAATTTAAGTTTTGGGACATGTGCCTCCCACACCAAATTTCAAGAGGGGGAGAGGGAGCATGGGGAGAAAGGGGGTGGGTGAGAGAACGTTGGCTCTTTTTTTTTTCTTTAATTTTTTCCGAAGCCAGATGCACATGGTTTTTAGGAGGCACAACATCGTGGTCTTGCTTCAGGGCTCTGATTTAATAAGGATGGCAAGAAATAAATGATTCACTTGCTGATATTAAGAGAGTGCAAATGCACCTGCCCCAGGCCCTTCAAGTCAGGGCATATGTTTGTAAATTACATGCCGACTGTGAACCTGTGGGTGGAGCCCCAGGTGGGGAGGCTGGAGAGACAACTGGACCGTGTCAGTGGATCTTCATCAGAACTGTGGACCAGAAAATCCAAGGATGTTTCAGAATAGATGCAGGTCCTAGCTACACTCCAGATCTCTTGAATCAGAATCTTGGGGTGGGCAGGGCATTGTTTTTCCAGAAATTCCACCGATGAATCAGACATGTTCCTTTGGTTAAGAATCACTAAACTAGCTAATCTCTAGCCAGAACTCTCATCTGTCAAGAGAGGGCAGGCAACCTCATTTCTGATGTATTAGGACTTTCACGTAATTGAAAAATGAAGAAAAGTCAAAATGGGGCTTAAAAAATCATTTAAATAGGTAAGCACATTTTGAATCCCATAACCTGTGTTTACATTTAACCTAGTAACACTGAATATAAGATTGCAATACAGTTTAATCTCACAAGATAATTAAAAGATTTATGAACAATATTAATGCTTAGGAAACCATAGGCAGTGTGATCCAAAAATGGAACACAAGTTTAAGGTTGTGTGATGAATGGCTTCTTTCAGTCCTGTCAGGGTATCTCTGAGACTGAAGATACCATCTCATTTGGTGAAATAATTAAAGTATAAATTTTACCCTCTTTATTAATGGAAAGCCGAGGCCCCATGGTCATCCTGCCTCCTCTTCACATCCCCCTCCCAGGTATCCCTGCCATGGAAGTTCTGGACTTCAGTGTAAATGATCAAAGACCCTTTGCTCTAATGTTTGCAATAACGTTTCTGGGCTGACTACATAATCCCCAGGGGAGAATTGTTAATAATAATATTAATAAGTGCTGCTAACATTTGCTGAGGTCTTACTATGTTTAAGGCTCTATGTTAGGGGAAGAAAATAGATTTTCCTTTCTATCCCAGGGGTCCACGTCCCTGAGAGTTTACAATTCAAGAGATGCAGTCTGTTTTCCAGAACAGGCTCTGTAGTAATTATGTTACAAGTGTAAAACAGGTTTTTCTTTTCTACTCTTTCAGACAGTATATTGACTTTCCCATAATTATATATCATCTCTTTTTAGGGTACCGAAGCACCATTCAGGCCCCAAGTCAGTGACACTGAACATAGTCTTAAGATTTGGTGACCAGAAGTACATAAAACTGGAGAGGTAAGACTCTAGATAAAAGCGAACAGGTGCTTCAAAATAAACTTAGAACAAAAGGGTGAGGGGAGATCTTGCAAGCATGCAGCCTGCAGGGAGAATCTGGTCCTCATGGGCCAGGTTTTTGCCATCTGCTCCTAGGCCAGGCACCTTAACCCCTTCCCACTTTCTCTACCCTTATTGGAGTCAAAGCAGTTATGTTCTCCTTCAATGAAGGAGAACCTTCTACGAAAGGGTCCCTCTGTTGACAGAGATGTATCCCTAACTCAGGCCTTTCATACTATTACTTCCCAAATTCTCTGCCAGAGACTTTCACATTCCTTATTCCTTCTCCATCTTACAGCTTCATTCAGTAGAATGAAGACCCTCAAGACCCTCCAGCCTCAAGGTGAGAACAGCCTTTTCTTTACTCTGCGACTTCCCCTAGGTAATCAAGACGTAGCTTTTAATGATCTACTGCAATATGATGGCTTCCACATACGGGTCAAGCCACCAGTGTACAATTTGGTTTCTATTTCCACTGTGCTCTGATGCCACCGCTGGCCCTGAGGCCACTTCCGGCCCCAGCAGTGTCATATTCCCTGACCATACCCAAGCCCCCTTCCTCCTGGGCCTTGCCCCAGGATTTGGGACGCCAGTTTCTGGTTCTTCAGTGTCCACCATTTTGGTTTCCTCAGACCACTCCTCTGTCCCTTGTGGCATCTGCTCTTCCTGATCTTTGAATATAGTGATTTTTAGAGATTATGCCCATGTGTTCCCTCTATCCGCTCCCTCTTGTTAACCTCACTTCCTCCCATTTTAAACAAATGACCTCATCTCTATTCATCATGTCCCCAGCCTGGTTCTAAACTCTGAACTAGCTTTTCCACCTTCCTTTGAGACATCTTCAACTGAATATTTTTGAAACTTCACATTCTACTTCCTAAAACTAAATTGATCAGTGTTCTCGATTTCGTTTTAGGGTGGTTTGGGTTTGCCCAAACCCGAACCATCTTTTTCTCCTAAATTTCCTATTTCCATTCATTTCTTGATCTATAGACATCTCTTGATCTAGAAATAGCTCAAGGTAATTCCAGGGGGCAGGGATGAGGGGAGGGTGGGCTCTGCTCTCACTGCCATTCAGGGATCAGGGTGAGGGGAGCTTCTGTCATCTTCAGTGCATGGCTTCTGAGGAAGTCCCAAGCATTGACATCCAGATGGCAAGAGGAGAAAAGGCACTGAGAATCCTGTGTGGAGATTTACACAGGCCAGGCCTGGGAGTGGCGCACATCATTTTGTTCACATTTCATTGGCTAGAACTTGGTCACATGGTGTAATTGCCAAGGAGGCTGGGTAATATCTGACTGTGTGTCCCAGAGAAGATGGGTTTTAATGAGTAGTTAGCTGTCTCTCATTCTCCCTGTAACCTGTGTCCAAAGACTAAAAGGTGGTGTCCTTTACTCCTCCTGATCTCCTTCCCTTTTCCAGTTAGTCACCAGCTCCTGTTGTTATTTCCTCTACAATACCACTCATCACATCCAGCCTCTGTTTTCTATCCTGAATGTCACGCCATCTTAGCCCAGGCCCTCATGAGCTCTAACTGGACAACTATAATGGCCTTTAAATTCCAAGTCTTTCTCCCTTCTAATCTCTCATTCATTCCACCAATACTTATCAAGCACTATATTCTGGGCAGCATGTTAACAACTAGAGGCAAATAAAGAAATGGATAGACCTTGACCCTGCATTTTTAATCTTGCACAGAAAATCAGTTAAAAAAATGGCTGCTACAAAAAAATTAGCTGGGCATGCAGGCACGCACCTATGGTCCCAGCTACTCAGGAGGCTGAGGCAGGAGAATCACTTGAACCTATGAGATGATGCCACTGCCCTCCAGCCTGGGTGACAGAGAGAGACTCTGTCTCAAAAAAAAAAAAAAAAGGCTGTTATCACATTAAGTTGTTATTACCGCTAATGGGGAAGTGCAGGGTACAAGAGGAACATGTGGGAAGGCCCCAAACTCCCTATTTTTTCATGTAAGCAGGACACATCCCCTTCACTGTTCATTGTTCCCTGGCCTGCCATTCTGTTTTATTTTTATTACAGTCCTTAACATCATCTGAAATTATCATATATATTTATGTTTATTTAATGATTCTGTGTCTTGTCCCACCAGAATGGGAACTCCACCAAGAGCAGAGACTGTGACTCACTTGTCAGCAGTAGATTCACTGGGTTGAACAGTGCTGACACATAGTAGAAAGGGATCTAGGGGCCAGGCACAGTGGCTCACGTCTGTAATCCCAGCATCTTGGGAGGCTGAGGTGGTTGGATCACCTGAGGTCAGGAGTTCAAGACCAGCCTGGCCAACATGGTGAAACCCTGTATCTACTAAAAATAGAAAAATTAGCCAGGCATGGTGGCACACGCCTGTAATCCCAGCTACTTGGGAGGCTGACAGGAGGAAATCACTTGAACCTGGGAGGTGGAGGTTGCAGTGAGCCAAGATTGCGCTACTGCACTCCAGCCTGGGAACAGAGAGAGACTCTATCTCAAAAGAAAAAAAAAAAGGAAAGGGATCTAGTCTGGGGGTTCAGATTAGGTTTCTGGAAGAAATGATCTGTAGCATGAAGATGGAAAGATGCACGCAAGCTAACTAGGTTGGTGGTGGGAAGGAGGGAGGAATCACCATTCAAAGCCAGGAGGAGAGAGAACATGGCTGAAATTCAGTGTTGGGGAGGGGGAGAGTTGAAGCTAGACCTTGCTTGTAAACTAGGTGTGTAGGTTTAAATTTTCTCCTGAAACCAATGAGGAGTCACATTAGGATCCAATTAGAGTTTTAAACCCCTCTAGTGCTCTTTGTAGAATAAATGGCAGGGCTGAGGGCTGGGGAACCTGTGAGAACGCAGGGAAGATAGCCTGGTAGCATGAGCCAGAACAGGTCTGGTGCCTTCCAGATCAACTTTTCAAAAGTATTAGCGCAGATGATATCATCCCCTCAAAGAAAAGTGTTCCAATGGTGACTGTAACAAAACGTTGGATGATTACTACATTTTTCCACTTATATTTTATCTTTCCTAGTTCAAGTCCTGCCTCCTCCTAGAGGCTTTCCATGATTCCCCCTACTCTAAACTGCTGCAGAATTTTATATTTATATAATTCATTTGTCATGAATGCACTGTCCTATAATTTTCGTAACCTTTGCAGTTATGCCCAGCGTTCCCCCAATAGATTTCTAGCGTCTTCAAAAACTAACTTTTGTTTGTTATTTTATAAAAGTGTGCTTGTAGAAATGTAATTTGAACAAACTAATTCATGCTAGAGTATTTGTCACTGATTATGACAACTACCCCCATGATATAGGAATCTCAAAAGAGGAAAAAGGGAAAAAGAGTTCTTTAGGAAAAGAGAAATGTTTAGCCCCATCTTTCTGAGAACATATCTTCTTAGGATGTTACAAAGTAGAAATATGGCCCATTGCTTCACCCCAATGCTACAGACAAATCGTAGTGAGATTTCTGGCACCCCTGGGGAGAGATTTTTAAGTGAAAGAAGATGATGATACCCTACGTTGCCTCCATGGATATCCTAAAGTCAAGCGTGCTAGCACCTTCCTGACGATCAGTAGCTCCTTCTTTCCTCTGGAACATTCAAATGTTGACAATCACGTACTCCAGCAGGTGGAAGTGGATTTAGAAAACGTGTGATCCTTTGTCTGGGTCTTTGACTGACAGTCTCACAGAGCAGGGTGGCAGGGAAATATATTTTAATTCCAGGTGATATTGGAGAGCCACCCAATTGTGAAAAGGAGATTTTCTCTTAAATGCAGCCTTTCTCTTCCTATTTCCATCCTCCAAAATCCAGACCATCAAGGCCAGACTTGCAATTCAGAGAAAGAAGAGCACCAGAGGGCCCAGTGGGGTTTTTATTTCTGAAGTGTTTGTGCTGCAAGAGGTCAAAGGGGGTAGGGAATTGTGTTTGGAGGAAGCAGAGTAATTGTCACCTGGGAAGCCAGTTATTCACAAACTCTAGGAAGTAAAAATGAAAAAGCCCTTTTATATCAACCCGTGTCTCCCCTTGTCAGGGCAGAATTTGCCAGTGATAATTGCTGCTGAGGTGAACATCTCAATGTTAAGACATCATTTATTCCCCTTTCCTTTGTCTTTCGGACCATCCTTACATGACTTCCATTTTCTCAGTCTGCTATTTCTCATTTTCTTTTTAATAATAATTAAACTAGCAGGTACTTATCTTTTGCAGGACTTACGTTTGCATTTGTTTTGCTTTTTGTGTGTCACACCATCATTGTAGTTACATGAAAATACCCCTTTTTCATAAAAACTTCATTTTTAATAGCTCTTATGATTGCAGTGTTAAATCATTGCATCATTTGCTGGTTTGGGGTGTGAAAAGATGTTGCGTGCATGTGGCTCCTCAAGGGCTAACACACACGGACTATTCACCAGTTTGTGCAAGAAGGTAAATGAGAATATCTTTCTTTTTTTCCCTTCACCTAGTCAAATTGAAAACATGTTAGACACAGAGATCTGAACGTGAATTTAATTGGAAGGTTCACTATATCTCCTGCTTTTTTGAAATTCGAAAATAGCTTTCTGTGCACTCAAAATAAAATAAAAAGGGAGCTAAACAAACAGTATCAGTGTTGTTTAGATGCAAGCAAGAATTGGCTAATCTGCTAGTATTCTTAATTCCTTCCCATTGCCACCTCTTTGGGAGGAGTATAGAAGGCAAGTAGCTAGAAAAAGAAAACGGGAAAATCAAAAGATTTTCATCAACCACAAACTGGGGAAGCTGCCCCTGGATCATAGAAAGTTGACCGTTCTCATTTCTGAAGACACCCTTGGGCTGAAGGACCAACTATGTTTTGCACACTTCAAAGCAAGCTGTGGGCTTGCAGGTTCTTGCTTATGCCTATCTCCTGGAGGCCAGGTTGGCATGTTAATACACTGCGTGACCATTTTGGACTTCGTACTTGGAAAACTGTCATTTTTTTTGCTCAAAACCAGATCCTGAGAGGAACATGAACTTGATCCATGCCATAAATCAAGTTCTAATACATGGCGAGAGTCTTAACCCCTCTCTTCCCAGCTCCGCCTCCTGTAGAGCTCCTCTGCATGCTTCCAATACTATTGAAATGATTCAGAGAGCTGAAACTGGGCTGTTATTTTTATCGCTCAGTCCCAAAGGTAAAATGTTTAGCTAATTTGGTTCTGACCCTCCCCCACCCCATATTTAGACATGGAAGGAGAAAGGCTAAGAAAAGAATGTGTAGGAAAATCAGTCTGAAAACAAAGCTTAGGGGAAAAATGGAGAGAGAAAGGAGGGGAAAAACCAGCAGAAAGGATGGAGCACGTATCTAGACAATCTCCCTTTGTTTGCGGAAGGCTCCCCTCCTCCTCTTAAGACGGTTCCTTCCTTCACTCTTATTAATTTTTCTCTGCAGCTTATCTCTTAGCCCTTGGGTAAGAAAAGATCAGAGCCTGAGCACACCTGCTCCAGAGGCTGCAATTCTCAGCATCCCAGGCCTGCAGGGAGCTCACAGAATGAGAGGCCTGCAGGCATCCGCAGGTGCCCAGCCTGTCCTCCCTGGGTACAAGGCGGTTTTCTCATCCCTCACGAGCACCCTGTCAGACATTAATAGTTGTTCTCGGCCGGGCGCGGTGTAATCCCAGCACTTTGGAAGGCCAAGGTGGGCGGATCACGAGGTCAGGAAATCGAGACCATCCTGGCTAACACCGTGAAACCCTGTCTCTACTAAAAATACAAAAAATTAGCCGGGCGCGGTGGCGGGCGCCTGTAGTCCCAGCTACTCGGTACTCGGGAGGCTGAGGCAGGAGAATGGCGTGAACCCAGGAGGCGGAGCTTGCAGTGAGCCGAGATCGCGCCACTGTACTCCAGCCTGGGCGACAGAGCCAGACTCCGTCTCAAAAAAAAAAAAAAAAAAAAAAAAAAAAAAGTTGTCCTCAACTCTGGACATTTCTTTTTTCCCTTGTATCCTTAAGACATGGAAAATATCCACTTTAATGCCTCTAAGCAGAGGAAGTAACCCCTGAAGGTTAAGGTAGAGAGTGGACAACGCTATTGAAAGGCACATTGCTTGAACTCCTTGGTGATCACACTCAGGAGTTACTGTGCCTTACAATATGAAGTTGGTTGTTATCAAAATGTTCAGAGCCAGTATGACCAGTGGGTTAAAAACTAGGGGCATGAAATGAACATACTTCCTAAACAATGTTTTGACACTTGTTATCTGTCTTACCATGATCAAGTTACTTAAACTCTCTCAGCCTCAGTCTCCTTATCTGTAAAATGAGCATGATAATAATAATACTTACTTCGAATGTTTTGAGAGCATTAGGTAAGCTAATGTGAGTAACATGCTTAGCATAACATGGGCTGTATGTAAGGACATCAAAAGCTATGGTTGAGTAGGGAGAAGTGCTACTGTTATTGTTTTGCCCTTATTATTAATTTTAATTATTAGTGAGATGACCTGAAATCTGAACG
Source organism: Homo sapiens (assembly GCF_000001405.40). Classification (NCBI taxonomy): domain Eukaryota; kingdom Metazoa; phylum Chordata; class Mammalia; order Primates; family Hominidae; genus Homo; species Homo sapiens. Next base: position 207,047,237 of record NC_000002.12, on the reverse strand, counting down.
GTGGCTTAATCTGCATCTGTAACGGTGTCCAAAGAAGATTCCCAAAAACAAACAGAATGGGCTGTGATAGAATCAAATGAGGAACACAGTAACTCCTCTAATATTTTAGACAGAGGGAATTAAATACACGACCTAATTATGCAGGCGACAGAAGAGATGAGAAACCAAACAGGAAATGGTGAAGCAACTCATAGATTAACAATAGCAGGAAACTGCTGCCACCCTTAGGACTGAAGAATCGCAGGGAAAATGTGATGTTACAGAAGCCAGACATCAGGGACTACTTGGTAGGAGCTGGAACCTCAGAGAAAGAGGCTGCGGGAGGGCAGCTTAAACCATAGAGAAGATAAAATCACTACTGTGAACTGTGACCTGAAGAAGAAAGAGAGAACTTACGCTGGGTTCTCCCCTCCTCCTGCCCTTTGGTGCCTCCCATTGACTGAACCTAGCCAGAAGCCTGTTGACAAAGAAGCCTAGGGAACAAATTGCAGAGCCATCAATGTGTACAGACTCAACAGAGATGGATTTCAACCTTGAAGGGGAATGAACTCTTCATGCCTATGAGATTGAATAAAGAACTACTTGATATATTCAAGAGGAGCCATTTAGATTCAGGGTTTCAGCATTTAGCTGGAAGGTGTAAAGATCCAGAAGTTCAAAGCCAGGTGATTATTTTGTTATAAAAGTACTTGAGTGTAAAATGATAAGAAACATGAAAAGAAGTGCTGACAATCCCATACCTTTTGGGAAGCTGCTGCTGGTTCTTCTTCTTCTTCTTCTTCTTCTTCTTCTTCTTCTTCTTCTTCTTCTTCTTCTTCTTCTTCTTCTTCTTCTTCTTTTTCTCCTCCTCCTCCTCCTCCTCCTTCTCCTTCTCCTTCTCCTTCTCCTTCTCCTTCTCCTTCTCCTTCTTCTTCTTCTTCTTCTTCTTCTTCTTCTTCTTCTTCTTCTTCTTCTTCTTCTTCTTCTTCTTCCTTCTTCTTCTTCCTTCTTCTCCTTCTGCTGCTGCTGCTCCTTTCTCCTCCTCCTCCTCCTCCTTCTTCTTCTTCCCTTCTATTCTCCTTTTTCATCTAGAGAGTTCTTATCCACAATCATTTTAATAACTCACCAAAAAGCTCCATTATTATTTATTGATGCCAGTTGTGTAAGTTATGGACCAAACCACTATTATCCATGGTGAGAGAAAATGGCTTAGCCATCATGGAAGGTCAACAGTGATTCTTTGGCATGTTAAACGGTACAAAGGGGTGAGAAAAAATGTGGTGTCTTTGCTTTCTGCAGAGTTTCTTTCAAGCTGAGGAATGTCCTTTTTAAAATAAATCAATCCTGAGTATGAGAGAGATAGAATCAATCTGATACATACTGTAAATGTTCAACAGCACCTTGGCTTCATTTCTCTGTCCTAGACCGTAACACTTGTTTCTTATAAAGTGCTGGGCTCTGGCTCTCTTCCCAGTACAGAATGGGCTCCCTTGCCATTTCATTACCAGAAATTACAATGATCATCTGCCTAACTGGGAATAGCATTATCTGAAACACAATTAGAAGTAAACTGAAAGTCTAGGTGGCCTAGTGATGACTAATCAGAAATATCACTGCCTAGCACGTCATATCAGATTATAGTTTCAGGATCATCACAGGTTTTCCTCGTTTTCAGAAGCTCCTCAATTGCCATTAACATGGCTGGAAGGAATGAAGCAGTTTATCAATGTCTTCAACTTAGATATCAAGAAATTAAAACACTTCTGTTTCTGGGGTCATCAGAAACAAAGACCCTGGTCATAAAATGTCTTCAAAACCCCTATGTATATAACAGTGATTTGGTCTATTCTGATTCTAAGTCTGGAATTCTCGCCCAGTGGGAGTGGGAGGAAAGTAACTCTGAAAACAGGTCTGCTCAGGGCTAGAATAGCACACACTAATTTAATGAGGCAGCAGGGCACATGCTCCAAGGGAAGCTAGCTACAGGAATTTTCCCAGAAGACAGAAAGCACTGGAACATGGCTCTATTTGCAACTGGAAATGAGTGTAGGAAAAATCACCTCCATATGAGTAATGGGGACCTAGCCTTAGGTCACCGACTCCGCCAAGGCAAAGTCCCTTCTCTCTAAGGCAAAAATAAACAAACCTAAAAAGGAACTGTGAGCTTGTTTTGCCACAATGGAAGAGTATGTTCCAATGTCTGTTATATGTGTTTATCCTTGAAATAATGTAGCCACATGACAATGGAACTTTTGGTCAAAACTTGGTTCAGATTAACCCAAGATGCTGAGGACCCCGTGGTCAGACAGGAAAGCCAACGGCCATATCTAAGGTAGTCCAGGAGAGAAGGATTAAGAATCTTGACAGCAGGAGCCCAAGCCTCTCTAGATTCTCTTTTTCAGGGCTCATCAGAAGAGGTGGCAATAATACTGTGTAGCGGTCGCCAGTAGCAGCATCCAGTGGGGGAGATATCTGGAGCTGCCTAAGGACAGCCACGATGGCTGGTGAGTGAAGCCATCCCTGTGACCAGAGCGAGGGTAAAGAATAATACAATGAAGATTTAGTTTGTATCGGCACTCTCTGTGCATTAAATATAAGAGACATGTCCCCAAATGAATTGCAGTCTTTTCGACAATGATGCTCTAGGAAAAAGAGCAAATATTGACACTTCAATAATGTTTGCCCAGCAATCAGTGAGCTGTATACAGCACTCAGGGTATCTATGTTACTGGAATCAATTAGGAAAAGGGAGAATTGATATCCGTCAGTGAAAAATATATGGTAGCTGCTGACATTACAGATAACGTGGGCTCTGCAAATCATTTCTGAAGTCCTAGGCCTGCCGACACTGTTATTGGTGCTTAGGGAATCTGTCTGAGAACACAGCCCTAACTTCAGTTGTGCTGTTCACTGTGCTTACCAGACTCTCTCCTCCAATATGCAGTTTCCATCCCACACAAGTAACTATTCCTAGTCATTCATTCATTCGTTCATTGATTCAGCAAATTTGTTGAGAACCTACCTTGTGCTAGCACTATTTTAGGACAGAGTTCCTGGTTGGAAGGGGAGGAGAGGGAAGGATATAAACAATGAAAAAGTACATAGTAAGTGATATATTGTGTGAAAATGAATAAGTCATTTGAAGATTTGGGTAAAGAGGATTCCCTCCAGGGGATCAACTGCAAAGGCCCTGAGGTATCTATCAACTGCCTTATCTTGACACTGCTGGTGTGTTTTGTTGATCTTTGGTCTCTGGTTTCTTCTTAGACTGGTTGCTCCTTCCTTCCTTCTTTTCTTCCTCCCCACCTTCTTCCTTCTCCTCTCTCTTTTATTTTATTATTTCTTAAGATATACTGTCAGAGTCTTTTAAGGAATTGATGGCCATGAAGACCCTACACCATAAAGACTTATCTTCCTATTAGATCTGTGTTGTTGTTGATTATTCAGATGTCTCTCTCACCAAATAGATTTTTGCTTCCTTGAAGATAAGGATAGACTCAAGTTTCTTAGATTTTTATGGATTTCCCAAAGTATCCAATATAATGAGGGGCAGATAGGAGAGGCTCAGCATAATGAAAGTTGGCTCAGTCTGAAACACTATAAGCTGGAGAAGCTTATTGATGCAAATGTGCCCACCAAAGATACTTTTTAGATATTTTTGGACTATATGTTCTTGATTGCTCTCCTTTTGTTTGTTATATATATTTGATCTATCTCTAGGGAACTAACATTATTTAAAGTACTCTGGGGAAGAAAGCCCTAGATGTCGTTGATGGTTTTTGTTTTGCTGCCTTCAGAGTATCAGTTCCCATCCTGTGAAGTTAACTACTAATGTCTATTGATAAAAGCAGTCCAGTAACGAATAGTTTTTATGTGAAACTAGGTATGTACAGTGTAATCAGGCTGGATAAAGTTGAAAGATAAAGCTCATTAGCTTCTCTTAATAGAAGGCGATTCCAAAGAGCCAACTAATGATTTATATAGGTTTGGAGAAAGCCCAAAACCTTAACTTTTGGAGCCAATGAAAATTTTATTTTCTCACTGCACCTCTTTTGAGAGAGGAAAGATGTCATGCCCCTGGATGAGATGGGGTGGTGGGGAAGGTTTAATGTAAATTCTCAGCCTGTGTATTTTAGGATCACAGCTTTGGCACCCAACCTACAACCAATGTAGATGAAGAGGGTTTTTACAGCAGTGGGCTGGTGCCATAGTGATAGGATGGTTGCTAAGGATGTCATTATCACTCTGATTGCAGGAATCAGAGTGATTGAGTTAATTGGCATGACCTCATTCTGGTCCTCGGGGCCTACCTGTTCACAAATTATAAAGGAGACAAAAAGTTGATCTTTTTATAGTGTCAGGAGGCAGCACCTGTTAACATTTAACATAACATTTGAAACCAGCTATAATACACATTATGTATCTACCTGTTATCTTTTTCTCACATTGTGTCCTCCTTCTCTCCACTACATACAATTAAGACATGCCCTTCTTAAATTTTTTTTTTCATTGCTCTATTTTTCTCCATTCCCTCTAGAGGAAGGGGATTTTTTTTTGGTCTGAAAATCAGCCATTAAACTGAAGAAGGCTCAAGGAAATGAACTGAAATGTCTCATAGGAAGAAAAATAGCACTATGAAGATGAAAAAAAGCCCAGGATAATGGAGATTGATCGCTCGATCTATCTATGGCCTCAAATAAAACTGATTGAATTTAACATGTTAGGTTACAGTTAAAAAGCTTAGTTGCTTCAGTTGGGGTAATATAGTTTCAGATTTTCATAGGGAGCCATTTATTTATTTTTGCATTTGTGAGTCATTTAGTCATTCCCTTGTGAGTGAGAATACATTTATTTTCCTACTCCCTGCTGTTAGGCGTTCTATTAATACCACACTAGTTGAAATAAATGGAGCAGTAGAAACTGTTTGGTGGTGAATTTGTTTTTCAGATTTTTTTTGTTACTGCTATTTTCGTAAGTCGGCTTTCCAACCCCTCCAGTGGTTTAAATAGAGTATTAACTTCTCACCGTTTCTCTTCTCTTGCTTCGTATTTAATTGCTGCTTTTGTTTCACTATTGACAATTTCAACACCACCTGAAGGTGTATAATCCAAGAAATCTAACAGTGGATGTCTGGTAAAATATTCCCAATCAAGCACCAGGATTGTCAAAAAATTATGGGCAAAGTGACAGTTGTCTTAAACATCAGGTTTCTCTCCACCTGTTTGTGCTCTACCCAAAAGGAAAATCCAACCTAATGAAGAGAGGAATTGTTCCTACATGTTATCAAGCAGTAGTAGCATGGGTCATGTTTTCCAGAATTCTAAAAGGGGATTTTCAGATGTATTTTATTGTGCTGGAACACAATAAGATTTGCTCATGCGCCTTTGCACTAAAGCTGAGCAAAATACAACGTCCTTGTTATTCTGGACAGCTGATTACTGTCAGTAATTGTTGTTTGTAATGAACGCCACGCGGGATAAAGCAGGGTGGGGGTGGGGGCTGGGGGGAGGGTCCGCTTAGGTTTTGAACCACATTCAGCCCATTGAGGCTGATTTAACCCAGCCGCAGGAGAGCTCCTATGGGGGCACGTCCAGAAAAGCCCCAAAGGGGGATTGGAGGAAAGCACGTGGATCTACACTCTTTCCAGCACCGGCAAAGGTCAGGCAATAATCGAATCACTCTTCCTCGGCTTTCATTTCATCAACTGCACTGATGAGGATGGGGGAGGGGGCATGAAGGAAGGGAGCGGTAGGAAGTGGTCCATCCCTCCTCCTAAGGAGGGGGAGCAGGCTGGACAAGGACATTCCATTCTATTTGCTACTCTCACAGAAGCCTTGGGAAAGAACAAAGAAAGAATGAAAAGGAGACAGATATGCTGGGCACGCGCATTCACAAATACACGTGCTCACGCTCACACACACCCCCATTTGCAATAGGGAGTCAATAAGAGCAGAAATAATTTATGCTGAGGCTTCAAACAGCAACCTAGAAGTGTAAAGTGGGGAGGGGAAAAATCCATCGCATTTCTAAATGTTTGGCTGCCCTCTAAGACCTCAAGTTGTACCTATGCCTGAAACAGGTAGAAACACAGTATCACCTGAAAGTGTCAAATGGGGAAACCGAGGCTCAGAAAAACCAAGTGGATCCTCTCAAAAACACAGAACAAATATTCAGGGAAGTGGCGACTAAATCTCAAGTCTGTGTCACGAGCTGGTGTTCCTGAGACCACAGGGCCCCGTGCAGATGGCATTAGTTAAAAGCAGCACATTGGAGGAAGCACTAGAGATCCGGAGCCCACACGGTTCCCTGCAGTCTACTTCATAAAGAGACTTCACGTCTTGGCGAGGATCTTGGACTGTCTCTGATTTCTTTCACTTGTTTTATAAAACCAGTAAAGTCAAGTCATTGAAACATTTTACTGGCAGTTCTGGGTGTATTCTAATTGTCCTGTAGTGGGAATTCCCGTTATTGCCAGAGAGAAAGCAACCACTCCAATTCCTTGAGGACTACTTAGAGGGTAGATTTACGGGGAGGAAACAGGAATGGGGTTGAGGCATAACTTCCTAAAGCCATTTTCTCTGATTTGGGGGCGAGGGGGGGCGGGTAGAGGGTAGCTTTTGCCACTAATTTCCTGCCTGCACATTCTTAAAAATTTTCACCATTTCCTCCACCACTCCCATTTTCATCAACATATTTGAAATCCTCAAGGATCACTTTTCAGAGCCCATCTCGTCTAGAGGTGAACCATCACCTCTAATGCTAAGGCGGGTCCCAATCACATTCTGCCCCTGTCCAAGCTGGCTGCTGGCTGGGAGAACCAGTTCTAGTGTTTGCCCCATCCCAGCCTCTACCAAGGTTAATGAAATTGAAAAGCAACTCGCTGCGGGCCACGGTGACTTTGCATTGTGCTGGAGACAGTCAGGGTAGTGTTTGCTGGCTGTGGCTCTCACAAGCAAATGTCACTGAATGTGTTTAGAAGGAGCGTGCTTAGTTGGACACTGTCATGCTGTAGGAGACAAAATCAACTGAAAAAGGAAGAAAGAGTGTAGAAGAGTTTTGTGTCTTAGTGTGTGGGGTCTGGACTTTGATCTAGGTTAAAATCTCACCTACAGTAGATTTTGAATCTTGGTCAAGTTATTTAACCTCTTTTGTGCCTCAGTTTCTTTATCTGTAAGAAAAAAAGACTAGTAACTAATTTACAAGTTTATTATGAGGATTCAGTTATACTATGTGTATGAAGCATTTAGCATAGTTAGGAACATAATTAGTACTTGACAAACCTTCGTTTATAACAAGCCTTGCTCACTAGGTGTTCCTGTAGCTCAGTTGCCCTTCCAGCTGTTTATTTTGTAGAACTAAGTAATACCTTATAGTTAAAGTCATCATAGGGAAAGGAGGGACCTAAACTTTTTTGACTTTATATTTTGCTATTGATGTTTTTTCTAAATATCAATACCACTCATTAAGGCAGTTAGAGAGAATGAATGTTGCAAAATGAAATTTTATATTATAAAGTCTTCCAAATGTTGAATTTCCCATTCTGCTTGATCTTATGGTTTAGTAAATTAAATACAATACCATTGAGTGATGGGTTTGCCATTATTAACTAGAGATTGTCAAGTGTCCATCTAGTCCCCACTATTTGTAATGTTTTGGCAGCTTTGTGGTCAAAACAGGCAAACTCCATTTTGGTGGGACGTGGAAGCATCCAGTCTTATGGTTAGACATGGCTCCTTTAACTGCAGGAAGCTAGAGTACATAGGAGGCATTGCAGCCTGCTTGTCTGGGCAGGTGTTTTAGGGACCGTCCAGCTGCTGAGATGTGAAGCAACTCCATTCCGGCTGGCAGGCAGCAGGTGACAGCCCAATCACTTCCTGCCATTGGAGGAGTTAACACAGAGTGTCATAAGATGACACCATGAGGGGGTGAGCACAGGGATAGACAGTTCAGAGCGTTCAGACATCCTGGCAGGTGAATAGCATCAGGGATGTCTTAGGGAGACAGAAGGGTCATAGACACCACACTCCCTCCCTTGACAATGGTGGAAGGGTGCAGAGAGAGTCTGATTCAGGCCCTGGTTCTCTACCAAGTCATTAAGACGAGGCTTCAGGCTTTGGGTTAGAAAGCCAGCTGTCAGGACTGGAGGGCAGGCAGGGACCTGATCTTAATGGCAACAGCAGAAACAATAATAGGCACCCTAGGAACCTGACAGCAATCCTTAAGCTTTAGTAGGTTAAGTCAACGAATCCTCACCACAAGCTTATGAGCTGGGTATGATTATCAATATGCCCATTTTTCAGAGAAGGCAACCGAGGCTGAGAGAGAAACTTGCCCAAAGACACACAGCAAATAGCAGAGTTGGGATCAAACACAGGCAGTCAAACTCCAGTGTCCACTCTCAGCCACTGTGTCAAACGGCCTCTCAAAGCAGGTACTCCTTAGAGGGTTATAGAGTCCCAGAATCTTGGCCGGGGACAAGCCTGCAGGTGAGTGCTGAGAGGCCCCAGCTACCGGGAAGGAGGTATGCAGGGAAAATCTAGGCTAGGCCTGACACTGTGTCACAGTGTCCCTTGGAGGAAAGCATCTCAGCTCTTCTCAATAAATGGCAGTTTGTGTTCCATTCAGGAGTTTCTTCTGTTCTAATTCAGATCTAGGAATTTTGGCTCAGTCCTAACCCAGAGATCCCCCAGGAAACCAGATAATTTCTGGCACTACTCTGTAGAATTTAAGCAGACTCAAAGATTCATCTGCCATGTGGTCAGATCATAGTGGAGCTCAAGGGAGAAAGTGAGGCGTATTTGTCTGCATACCAATGTACAAATCTTTTTCTTTGGAAAGAGAACTTGGATTGATTGAGGTTCTACAATATGCTTTACATAAGGAATTGCTTTCAATATTTACAATATATTCATTTCTAAGGCTACTGTCTGTAACAAAGTACCACAAACGGTGTGGTAATTGATTGTTGTACAATTGTACAATTCTGGAAACTGGAAGTCTGGAATGAAGATGATGGCAGGGCCGTGCAATCTCTGGAAACTCCAGAGGAAGGGTCCTCCCATTCCCCTTCCTACATTCTCGTGGTTTGCCAGCAGTCCCAGACTTCTTTGGCTTATAGAGTCATTATTTCAATCGTCTGTCTTCGCGTGGTATTCTCTCTGTCTCTTCACACCATCTTCTTCCTGTGTGTGTCCGTATCCAAATTTCCTCTTTTTATAAGGACTCCAGTCATATTGGATCAGAGCCCATCCCAATGACCTCATCTTCATGTGACTATATTTGCAAAGATCTTATTTACAACTAAGGTCACATTCTGAGGTACTGGGGTTAGGACTTCGGTGCCAGGGGGCAAAATTCAACCCATAATATACAAAAGCCTTATTCAATTAGTACCCCGCTCCTCACTTTTACAGACAAGGAAAAGGAGGCTTAAGTTCACTCAGATAGTAAGTGGTGGAGTACAAGTGTAGGGGTGGGTTGCCCCTACACACCTGTGGGTGTTTCTCGTAAGGTGGGACGAGAGATTTGGAAAAGAAAAAGACACAGAGACAAAGTATAGAGAAAGAAATAAGGGGACCTGGGGAACCAGCGTTCAGCATGTGGAGGATCCCGCCAGCCTCTGAGTTCCCTTAGTATTTATTGATCATCTGTGGGTGTTTCTCAAAGAGGGGGATGTGTCAGGGTCACAAGACAATTGTGGGGAGAGGGTCAGCAGACAAACACGTGAACAAAGGTCTTTGCATCATAGACAATGTAAAGGATTAAGTGCTGTGCTTTTAGATATGCATACACATAAACATCTCAATGCTTTACAAAGCAGTATTGCTGCCCGCAGGTCCCACCTCCAGCCCTAAGGCGGTTTTTCCCTATCTCAGTAGATGGAGCATACAATCGGGTTTTATACCGAGACATTCCATTGCCCAGGGACAGGCAGGAGACAGATGCCTTCCTCTTGTCTCAACTGCAAGAGGCATTCCTTCCTCTTTTACTAATCCTCCTCAGCACAGACCCTTTACGGGTGTCGGGCTGGGGGATGGGTCAGGTCTTTCCCTTCCCACGAGGCCATATTTCAGACTATCACATGGGGAGAAACCTTGGACAATACCTGGCTTTCCTAGGCAGAGGTCCCTGCGGCCTTCCGCAGTTTTTGTGTCCCTGGGTACTTGAGATTAGGGAGTGGTGATGACTCTTAAGGAGCATGCTGCCTTCAAGCATCTGTTTAACAAAGCACATCTTGCACCGCCCTTAATCCATTTAACTCTGAGTTGACACAGCACATGTTTCAGAGAGCACGGGGTTGGGGGTAAGGTCACAGAAACTCAAGGCAGAATAATTTTTCTTAGTACATAACAAAATGGAGTCTCCTATGTCTACTTCTTTCTACACAGACACAGTAACAATCTGATCTCTCTTGCTTTTCCCCACATACAAGAATCAAATCAAGTCTAATTCAAAGGTCTGTATTCTTCCTGTCCACATAATACTGCCTTCTCAGGATAGTAAGTAGTTTCTTTGGCTCTTTAAATGACACAAGGTACTTTTTAAGAACCACTGTGTTTTCTTACTGCTCGTCTCAATCTTGCTAATGACTTGGAAGGTCCAGTGCTCATTCAATGCCAGTGCTTTCAACAAGCCTCTCCTACTTGCTACTGCAGAAACATAATGTATACCCCATGTTATGAAGAGGAGTCATAGATGAATATATGCCGGGTACTTCTAAGGGTAGATGTTACATCCCAAGATCTGTACACTGCTCAGGAGAGTTTCTCATATTGTATAAACAGCAGATGTCATATGATATGTCTTAACTCTAGAAAGGTTTATTTTCTGTACAAAGAATCAGAAACTTGGAGAGATAATCCCATATTGGCATCTGATTCCTGGAAACGAAGTGTGTGGCCTGGGACTGTTCATTTAACCCCTCAACCTCACCATCTGGGACCTGGAGGTAATGATGCCCCTCTCTTTGGAGGCAACATTTGAGTGGCTTCAAAAATGTCCTGGAAGTCTCTGGCAAAAGGAAATGCTACATTGACAGCAAAACATTTAACCGAAAATAATTGGAATTTGTAGATTATCATTCTTAGGGATCCCAAATTTCTTATGGCTGATCTGCATTCCCAAGCCTCAGGAATTGGAAGAATTGACCTGGAATGTTGCCAAAAGTTAAATGCTCCCTGATCTTCTTCTTCTAACTGTTCTGTTTTCTGTTAGAATCATGATTTGAGTTCTCCCTGAAAATGGAACACTAGGTCAAGGGGGATGTTTGGGATCATTAGCTCCCATCAATCGTCTGGGAGTGAATGTGCATCTGCATGAAACTTTTCTTTAGAATTTCTTCTTTGATAAAATGTATGCAGCATCCAGTCTCAGAGATAGATTCCCCTAGTCTCCCTGCCTCATTCAAGTTGTTTAATTATATTGTTTTTACTATCCCTTGCTGTCTGACTTTTGGATACCCATATAATTATCAGATTAGCTCCTATGTAAAAATCCTTGTTTTTGGTTTTCCTTCCAATATGCTAAATATATGTCTAGTGGCACAGAGCTGGCACTAGTACATTAAGCAACCCAGAATAGAGTAGAGTCAGATGTAAAAGGTTTGCATCTCACTTTATTTTTTAAATTTTATTTTTATTTTGTTGAGGCAGAGTCTGGCTCTGTCACCCAGGCTGGAGGCTCACTGCAGCCTCAAATTCCTGGGCTCAGGTGATCCTCCCACCTCTGCCTCCTGAGTAGCTGGAACTCCAGGTACAGGCCACCATGCCTAATTAATTTTTTAAAAATTATTTTTCTTGTAGAAACAAGGCCTTGCTATGTCGCCCAGGCTGGTCTTGAATTCCTGGCCTCAAGCCATCTGCTCACCTCAGCCTCCCAAAGTGCTGGGACTACAGGTGGGAACCACTGTGCCTGGCCGTGTCTTACTTTATATTAGAACTCCTGAGCATTAGACACTCTTGCCCATGTTGGAGCTCTGCTAGGAAGAGAATCACATCGCAGCACTATTTTGCAGCATGGTTTCCACTTATCTTTATTAATAAATTGCATATTTACAAGTTCCAAATAAGAGAGAAATGCATTCCCATTACATTAATGTTTCCTGTAATGAGTAGGAAGACGGCTCATTAAAATTATTTGAGGTGCCACCTTTGACACTCAGTCTGACTTTCTGCTTGCTTATGGTTCAAGTCCTTCTTGATGTCTCTATTTGTTAAAAAAAAAAAAAAGAGAGAGAGAGAGAGATTTAGAGCTGGCTGACTTCTGTAGGAATGCTTTCAGACTGTTCATTTCCTGGCAATCAGCTATTTGGTCAGAAATGTGGAGTTATTTGATAAGTGTTTAGTCCTTAAATGATGGTCACTGCAGGTGAACAAAGAGAAAACAATTTAACTTAAACAAATGCCATTGTTAACTCACTCAACTGCAGCAAACTTATATCAAAACCAATAGAAAATCTCTCTAGATGAGCACCGTTCCACCTCTATGTGTAAATGAATGATTGACCAAAAGAATCTACAAATGGCCTTGTTTTCTTCAATTTTCATGTGTTTTCTGATGCTGGACTTCATCAGAAACTTGAAAACATAGTTTCTGATCACAGCACTTTTTAAAGAAACGGAATTGTTTGAGGGACTCAATTGCTGTTTATCTATTAGCATAGGTATATCGAGTTGAGATAATTCATTGAACGCTATCATCCTTGCAAAGCCCTATTTTATTTTGGTTTGTTACCCCTTTCATGTCCATCTCCAATCATCCACTGCAACACTTTCATCAGCACCTTCTCAAGTGTGTTTTACAGATCCTTCTAAACCACCTTCCATATGTTTATTTGGTATATTGGTGTTTACCAACAAATATTTAGTGTCATTTATATATTTTTTAAAGTTCTATAGATGGTAATGTGCTATGAATCTCATTTTCCTTCTCATTTTTATCTAACATAGTATTTTTGAGATCTCTATGTACTTCCTCTATATAAATCTAGTTCATTGCTTCTGAATCCTGCAGATTTTTCTAATACATGCATACACCATTTCTGACTCCTGCATGTAATGCACTTTACTTATTCATTTCCTTAGGGGATATCTATGGGTTACCCAGATTCTCTAGTGGATACTCAGATTGCTTCCAACTTTATGGTACCATAAATAATGCTGCAATAATCTTATATGAGCATGTTTCCTTGCGGATCTGAGCAAGACAGTCTCTAGAGTATGTATCCAGGAAGGGAATTTTTGAGTTCTATTATACCCATACTTTATTTCACTAAGTACTTCTCAGGTTGTGATACAGAATGTTTCTACCAATTTATAATTCACCACCAGAAAGGACAAAACTTCCTGATATTCTTGCCAGCGCTTTCTAATTTTTGCCAATCTAATGAGTGCAATATCATATCTCATTTTGTTAAAAAAACCCACAAAATTTGTACGTCTGATTACTAATGAGGATGTATATCATTCATATACACAATAGCTATTTCAATTTTCCTGTCAATTGCCTGTTCATGTGCTTTGCCCATTTTTAAAAAAATTTTTGTTTCCTGTCCTTTTCTTGCTTGTTTGCAAAGTTTCTTGTATGTTCTAGATATCAATTCCACATTGCTTTGCAAAGATCTCTTTCCAATAATTTGCTGATTTTTCTATGGATAAATGGAAGTTTTAAGTTTAAGTGTGGTCATTTCACGATTTTTTTTCTATTAGCTGATTTCCATTAATGGTCCCTATGTAAAATCCGTGTGTGATTTTCCTTCTGGTATGCTAAATGTACAACAAACAGCAAAGAGCTGACTTTGGTACATTAAGCAGCTCAGAATAGAGCCAAAGTGGGCCTCATCTCACTTTATATTAGAACTCCAAAACTTTAGATATTCTTGACCATATTGCAGCATTGCTTACAACGGAAGCAGATTATAGCTCTATTTAACAGTATGGGATCACTTATCTTTATCAAAGAACAACAACAAAAACAAACCCAACACACAAGTTCCAAATAAGAGAGTAATACATTTTCTTTGTGCTCTTCCTTCCTATAATGAGTATGGCAATAACTAATTGAAATCATTTGCAATGCCACCTCTGATACTTAGCCTGAACTTCCTATTCACTTACCATTCCCTGCTGTTCCTAGTGTGGTTTAGTGTTTTGGTTTGGTTTTTTGGGTCTTCAGTGTACGGAATTTATTTATCATATTCCTCTGTTTATGCCTTATTGTTATTTGTCCATGCAAGTCTCTTTATTTCTTATTTTATGAATGTATGAATATATTTATATGCACACATATAATAACATAAATCTATCTACCTACCTACATACCTACCTATCTACTTAGGCACCATTATGGTAGATGGAATTACTGATTCCAAATATTTAGCCTACCTGTATTATTATTATATATCTATACCCTTGCCATAGCCAGGAGGAATATTCCTCCTGGTGGGTGGAACATTTTTCCTGACACTGGACTTTGGGCTTGGCTGAATAACTTGCTTTGGTTAACAGGATATTAGTCCCATTGCATTAGCATGGTTAGGCTTGCCCACCTGAGCACCTGCTCTTCATCACAAGAAAAACATAACTTGGTAATGACTAATCTAAGAATGGTGAGAAACATATGGAACATACCTGGACCCAACCTTTAGCTTGTAACCGAGTTCCTAGCCTAGATAAGCCAACTCCAAACCGACCTTCAGATGGTGTGAAATAAATGTTTATTTATGAACCACTGAAATTATAGTAACTATTATGCAGTATTACTGTAACAATAGCTAACTAATGCATCTTTCACCCTTCATTCCTTCTGCCTTTTTTCTTCTATTTGCATATCTCATTTTATTGTCATAACACTACCATAGGTTAATGTGCTTTATGTGTATCCTTTTAATTCAAAATCGTCTTGAAATATATGTATTTTTGTGTGTGCATAACTTTTTAATTTTTGTAAATAATATTATATATCTTCTGTTTCCAACTTTTTTCACCAAGCATATGTGTATTGATTCATTTCTAATTGACATAATAATTATGTATATTAACGGGGTACAATGTAATGTTTTGTAATTCTTTGCTTCCAACTGCTACATAATACTCCATATTGTGTCTCCATCACGTTTTTCCTATCCACTCCCACAGTGATAAATACCCAAGTTACCTATAAATCCCTACTCCCTTAACCCATGTTGCAATGAACATGGTCATACATGTCACTTTACAGACCCCAAGGATGATTTCCAGGATACATATCCAGAGTGGAATTGCTAACTTACAGGACACATGCCTAGTTAATAATACTAAATAGTGAAAAACTGCCCTATAGCCTGCCTTTGCTTCAGCAGTGCCTGAAAGTCCCAGTGTCCCTATATCCCCACATCCTCTCTAATACTTGGTATTATCCAACTGTCTATTTTTTTGGTCAATCTAATTGTTTTAATTTGTATTTCACTGATTACCAATGAGTTTAAACATCCTGATACATGCTTGTTAACTTTCTAGATTTCCTCTTTTGTAAAATCGCCTTGCCCATTTTATCTATTGGAGTTATATTTTCCTTATCCATTTTTAGATCTTTGTATATTAAAAAAATCCCTTGTTGGTTTAGATGCCACAAATATCTTCTTCATCTTGGTAGATATCTATTAATGTGTGATGTCCTTTATTGAAGTAAAATTCTTAATTTCAGTGTAAATTAGTTCTTTTTTTGGCCTGATGATTTATGCTTTTCAAGTTTTGTTTAAGAAGTCATTTCCTGCCCTGTCACAAGAATACTGCCTTACATTTTGTAATTTTAACTTAATTGCTTCACCAGTCACAGTTATATATTTTTTCAAGTTTCTAAGATTTTCTAAATTATAAATGTAAGTACTGAACTTTATCAAACAATGTTTTGCATCTGGGATGATCAGGTAATTATTACATCTATGTTCATTCATGAAACTGATCTATAAATGTCTTCATTATATTGTAATAAATCAGTACTTATTCTATTAAATCCATTTTTATTTTAAATAAACACATAATAACTGTACGTATTAATGGGGTAGAGAGAGATATTTCAGTACACTTATACAATGTGTAATGATACAATCAGGGTCAATAGCATATTTATCACTTTAAATATTTACCATTTTTTGTGTTGGGAACATTCAAAATCCTCTCTTCTAGCTGTTTGAAAATACACCATAAATTATTGTTAACTAGTCACCCTGTAGTGCTTTAGAACACTAGAACACTTTCCTCTTATCTAGCTGCAATTTTGTATTCATTAAACAACCTCTCCCTATCTCCCTCTCCCCTTTATACTGCCTATCCCCTAATAACCACTATTTCACTCTCCACTTCTATGAGCCCGACTTTTTTGGATTCCACACATAAGTGAGAACACACAATATTTTTCCTTCTTTGTCCGACTTACTTCACTGAAAATTATGTCCTTCAGGCTCATCCGTGTTGTCATAAATGATGGGATTTCATTTTTATGGTTCAGTAGTATTCCATTGTGTATATATACCACATTTTCTTTATCCATTCATCAGTTAATGGACATTTAGGTTGATTCCATATCTTGGCTGTTGTGACTAGTGCTGCAATAAACATGAGAATGCAGATACCTTTTCAATATACTTATTTTCTTTCCTTTGAACAAATAGTAGTGGGATTGTTGGATCATATGATAGTTCTATTTTTAGTTTTTTAAGGAACCTCCATACTGTTTTCCATAATGACTGTAATAATTAACATTCCCACCAATAGTGCATAAGAGATCATTTTTCTCTGTGTCCTTGCCAGCATTTGTTTTTTATTTTATTTTATTTTTGTCTTTTTGATAATAGTCATTCTAACTGGTATGAGGTGATATCTCATTGTGGTTTTAATTTGCATTTCTCTAATGATTAGTAATGTTGAGTATTTTTTCATAATACTTGGCCATTTGTATGTCTTTTTATTTTTTGAGACAGAGTCTTGCTCTGTTGCCAGGCTGGAGTGCAGCGGTGCGATCTTGGCTCACTGCAACCTCCACCTCCCGGGTTCAAGTGATGCTCTTGCCTCAGCCTCCCAAGTAGCTGGGACTACAGGTGCATGCCACCACACGCAGCTAATTTCTGCATTTTTAGTAGAGATAGGATTTCACCATGTTGACCAGGATGGTCTCCATCTCTTGACCTCATGATCCACCTGCCTTGGCCTCTCAAAGTGCTGGTATTACAGGCGTGAGCCACCACTCCAGGCCTGTATGTCTTTTTTAAAGAAGTGCCTATTCAGATCCTTTGTCCACTTTAAAGTTAGATTATTCATTGTTTTGTTGTTGTTGTTGTCATTTTTTTCCTGTTGTTTGAGTTCCTTGTATATTCTAGATATTAATCACTTGTATGTATAGTTTGCAAATATTTCCTTCCATTCTACAGATTGTCCCTTTACTACGTTGGTTGTTTCCTTTGCTGTGCAAAGTTTTTTAGTTTGATATAATACTATTTTAGATATTTGATAGATTCCCCTATTTTTGCTTTTGCTGCCTGTGCTTTTGGGGTACAAAATATTTTCCCAGACCAATGTCCCAAAGCATTTCCCCGGTTTTTTTTCCTAGGAGTTTTCTAGTTTGGGATCTTATACTTAAATCTTTTAAGTCTAGTTTGAGTTGATTTTTGTATGTGGTGAGATACGTGAGCCTAGTTTCATTCTTCTCCATATGGATATCCAGTTTTTCCAGCACCATTTATTGAAAAAGCTTACATTTTCCCAATATATATTCCTGGAACCTTTGTTGAAAATCAGTTGTCTGGCCGGGCGCGGTGGCTCACGCCTGTAATCCCAGCACTTTGGGAGGCCGAGGCGGGTGGATCATGAGGTCAGGAGATCGAGACCATCCTGGCTAACAAGGTGAAACCCCGTCTCTACTAAAAATACAAAAAATTAGCCGGGCGCGGTGGCAGGCGCCTGTAGTCCCAGCTACTCGGGAGGCTGAGGCAGGAGAATGGCGTGAACCCGGGAAGCGGAGCTTGCAGTGAGCCGAGATTGCGCCACTGCAGTCCGCAATCCGGCCTGGGCGACAGAGCGAGACTCCGTCTCAAAAAAAAAAAAAGAAAATCAGTTGTCTATAAATAAATGAATTTATTTCTTTGTGTTCTATTCTGTTCCATTGGTCCATGTGTCTATTTTTATACCAGTACCATCTTGTTTTAATTACAGTAGGTTTGTAATATATTTTGAAGTCAGGTGGTATGATACCTCCAAGTTTGTTCTTTTTGTTTAGAATTATCTACTTGGGATCTTTTGTACACATTTTGGGATTGTTTTTTCTATTTTGGTAAAGAATGCCATTGGTATTTTGATAAGGATTGCATTTAATCTGTAGATTGCTTTTGGTAGTATGGTCATTTTAACAATATTAATTCCTTTTTTTTTTTTTTTTTTTTGAGATGGAGTTTCACTTTTGTTGCCCAGGCTGGAGTGCAATGGCATGATCTCAGATCACCACAACCTCCGCCTCCTGGGTTCAAGTGACTCTCCTGCCTCAGCCTCCCGAGTAGGTGGGAATACAGGCATGCACCTGGCTAATTTTGCATTTTTAGTAGAGATGGGGTTTCTCCATGTTGGCCAGGCTGGTCTTGAACTCCCAACCTCAGGTGAACCACCTGCCTTGGCTTTCCAAAGTGCTGGGATTACAGGCATGAGCCACCATGCTCGGCCCAATATTAAATCTTTCAGTCATGAACATTAGGTTTTTTTTCTTTCCATTTTTTGCGTGGCCCTTTCCATTTCTTTCATCAGTGTTTTGTAGTTTTCATTGTAGAACTCTTTCACCTGCTTAGTTAAATGTATTCCTATATGGGTTTTTTTGTAGCTATTTTAAATGGAATCATTTTCTTGATTTTTTTTCTTAGCTAGCTTGTTATTGGTGCTTAGAAATGATAGTGATTTTTGTATGTTGATTCTGTATCCTGAAACTTTATTGAATTCATATATCAGTTCTAAGGGGTTTTTGGCGGAGCCTTTAGGTTTCACTATATCATTTGATCTGCAGAAAAGGATAATTTGACTCCCTATTTTCCAAATTGGTTATTATTTTCTCTTGCCTGATTGCTCAGGCTAGGACTCCTGGTACCATGTTGAGTAAGAGTGGTGAAAGTGGGCATCCTTGTCTTATTGTAAGTTTTTTTTTTTTTTTGCTTTTGTGTGTGTGTGTGTGTGTGTGTGTGTTTTTTTTTTTTTTTTTTTGAGACGGGGTCTTGCTCTGTCACCTAGGCTGGAGCACAGTGGCATGAGCATGGTTCACTGCAGCCTTGACCTCCGGGGCTCGAGCAATCCTCCTGCCTCATCCACCTGAGCAGCTGGGACTACAGGTATGTGCCACCATGTCCTGACAATTTTTTAAATTTTTTGTAGAGACAACATCTCACTGTGTTGCTCAGGCTGGTCTCAAACTCCTGATCTCAAGTGATCCTCCCACCACGACCTCCCAAAGTGCTAGGATTACAGGCATAAGCCACTATACCCAGCCCTTGTTCCAATTCCTAAAGGCAAAGCTTTCAGCTTTTCTCCATTCAGTATGGTGTTAGCTGTGGATTTGTCATATATTGCTTTTATTGTGTTGAGGCACACTACTTTTACAACTAATTTATTGAGAGTTTTTATCAGGAAGAGATATTGAATTTTATCGAATGCTTTTTCTGCATCTATTGAGGTAATCATATGGCTTTTATCCTTCATTCTATTAATATTAATTTGATATATCATGTTTATTGATGATGTACATATGTTGAACAATTCTTGCATTCCTGGGATAAACAACACTTGATCATGTTGTATATTTATGATGTACTGTAGGATTTGGTTTGGTAGTATTATGTTAAGAATTTTTGCATCTATGTTCATCTGGGATATTGGTCTGTAGTTTTTTTTTATCGTTGTTGTGTCCTTGCCTTGTTTGTTATCAGGGTAGTACTAGCCTTGTAAGATGAGTTTCAAAGAATTTGCTTCTCTTCGATTTTTTTGGAATAATATGAGACGAATTTATGTTAGTGATTTTGTTGTTGTTTGTTTTTGTCATTGTTGTTGTTTTGGTAAGTTTGGTAGAATTCAACAGTGAAGCCAGCTGGTCCTGCCTTTTTTGTATGTGTGTTGAGAGGCTTTTTATTACTGATTCAATCTTGTTATCCATTGTTCCTCTGTTCAGGTTTTCTATTTCTTCCAGGTTCAATCTTGATAGGTTTTATATGTCTAGTAATTGATCAATTTCCTCTAGCTTTTCCAATTTGTTGGTGTATAGTTGTTTATAAAAGTCTGTAATGATCCTTTGTATTTCTGTGTTATCAGTTTTAATATCTCCTTTTTTGTTTCTGATTTTATTTATCTGGGATTTCTTTTTTATGTCTTAGTCTAGCTAATGGTTTGTTGATTTTATCTTAAAAAATTGTCATTTTATTGATCTTTTGTATTACTTTTTCATTCTCTATTTCATTTAGTTCTTTTCTGATCTCTACTATTTCTTTCCTCATACTAATTTGGGGTTCTATTTGCTCTTGCTTTTTTAATTCCTTGAGGTGCATCATTAGGTTGCTAATTTGAAATTGTCTTACTTTTTTGATGTAAACATTTATTTTTATAAACTTCCCTCTCAGTACTGCTTTTGCTGTATTTCATAGGTTTTGGTATGTTGTATTTCTATTTTCACTTGTTTCAATACATTTTGTAGTATCTTTAATTTCTTCATTGACCTTTAATTTCTTCATTGGCTGTTCAGGAGTAGGTTGTTTAATTTACATCTGGTGGTACAGTTTCCAAAGTTCCTTCTGTTATTCACTTCTGGTTTCATTCCATTGTGACCTGAAAAGATGCATGATATGATTTCAATTTCTAAAAATTTGTTGAGACTGATTTTATGGCCTAACATATGGTCTATCTTAGTGTTTCATGTACCAGTGAGAAGAATGTGCATTCTGAAACTATTGTATAAAATATTCTGTAAAAGCCTGTTAGGTCCACTTGGACTATAGTGCTGTTTTTTTTTGTTGTTGTTGTTTTTGTTTTTTTTTTTTTGAGACGGAGTCTTGCTCTGTCGCCCAGGCTGGAGTGCAGTGGCGCGATCTCGGCTCACTGCAAGCTCCGCCTCCCGGGTTCACGCCATTCTCCTGCCTCAGCCTCCCGAGTAGCTGGGACTACAGGCGCCCGCTACCACGCCCGGCTAATTTTTTGTATTTTTAGTAGAGACGGGGTTTCACCGTGTTAGCCAGGATGGTCTCGATCTCCTGACCTCGTGATCCGCCCGCCTCGGCCTCCCAAAGTGCTGGGATTACAGGCGTGAGCCACCGCGCCCGGCCGGACTATAGTGCTGTTTAAGTCCAAAGTTTCTTTGTTGATTTTCTGTGTAGACGATCTGTCCAATGCTGACAGTGAAATGCTGAGAGTTGAAATTCCACCTTATTTTTTTTAAGGTCTATCTCTCCCTTTAGCTCTAATAATATTTGTTTTATGTATCTGTGTGTGCTGGTGTTGGATGCATATATATTTATAATTGTTATATTCTCTTCCTGAGTTGATTCCTTTGTCATTATGTAATGATTTTCTTGGTCTCTTTGGGGGTTTTATAATTTCAAGTCTATTTTATCTGATAAAAGTATGGCTACTTTTGCTCACTTTTAGTTTCCATTTGTGTGTACTATCTTTTCCATCCCTTCGCTTTCAGTTTGTGTGTGTTCTTTACAGGTGAGGTGAATCTCTTTTAGGCAGCAAATAGTTGGGTCTTTTAAAAAAAAAATCCAGTCAGCCAGTCTGTATCTTTTAATTTGGGAATTTAAATCATTTACATTCAAGTTGTTATTGATAAGTGGGGACTTAATTCTTGTCAATTTATTGTTTTCTAGCCTTTGTCCCTTTCTTCCTCTCTTGTTCATCTTTTCAGTTTGGTAGTTTTCTTTAGTAATAACATTTGATTGCTCTCTATTTCCCATTTGAATATCTCTTCTACCTGTGGGATTTATATTTTCACATGTTATCATGATGGTAGATATCATCCTTTCATGTCCAGCTGTAGAACTTCCTCAAGCATTACTTGTAGGGCCAGTCTAGTGGTGATTAATTCCTTCACTTTTTGCTTGTTTGGAAAGACTTTATTTGTCCTTCATCTCTGAAGGATAGGTTTGCTGGGCATAGAATTCTTGACTAGCCACATTTTTCTTTCAGCACTTTGAATATATAAAACTCATTCTCTTCTGGACTATCAGGGAAATCTGCTATTAGTATGATGAAGTTTCCCTTCTATGTGACTTGACGCTTTTTCTCTTGCTGTTTGTAGAAATGTCTCTTTATCTTTGACCTTTGACAGTTTGATTATAATGTGCCTCTGAGAGGACTTTTTGAATTGAATTTATTTGGGGATCTTTGAGCTTTTTGTATCTGGATGTCCATATCCCAACACTTGGAAAGTTTTCAGCTATTAGTTCATTAAACAGGTTTTCTATGCTATTTCCCATCTTTCTGTCCTTTTGAAACTTAGTGATGCTCCATGTGTCCTGTAGACTTTCTTACTTTCTTTATTCTTTTTTATTCCTTTTTTCTTTTTTTTTTTTTTTTGTCTGACCAGGTATTGCAAAAGACCTGTTTTCAAGTTCAGAAATTCATTCTTCTGCTTGATCTAGTCTATTATTAAAGCTTTTCATTTTATTTTTTATTTCACTCATTAAATTCTTCAGTTCCAAGATTTCTGTTTGGTTCTATTTTATGATATCTATCTCCTATCTTTTTGTTGAATTTCTAATTCAGATGATGAATTGTTTTTCTGATTTCATTGAATTTCCTTTCTGTGTTCTCTCACATTTCACTGAGTTTTCCTAATATTTTTATTGTAAATTTTTTTTCAGACATTTTGGAGATTTTCTTGTCTTTGGGGACTGTTACTGGAGAATTACTGTTTTCCTTTGAAGGTGTCATGTTTCCTTGCTTTTTCATATTTCTTATATCTCTACATGGATATCTGCACATCTTGTTGAACAGCCATTTCTTTCAATTTTATGGAGTAGCTTTCATAGAAAAAGACTTTTTCCTGTGGGTGTATTGTATCCTGTAGTGTTGGTTGGATAGTGTACTTTGCCTTTCGTTGTGGATGGCACAGTAGTGTAGTCTCCACAGGATTTCTTTTGTTTTAATCAATGTCAGCATGTCTGTGAGTACCTCAGTGGCCTAGGCTGTGGTAGACGCTGTGGCATGGCTTTGCTGGAGAAGGGGATGCCAAATGGGTTGGTCCTTTGGCCCCAGGGGGCCACACTCAGGTGCACAGCAACTCTGCCATTGGAGAGGGCCACTCCTCAGGCCCCTGGAGGACACATGTGGATGCTCAGTGGTTCTGCTGCTGAAGGGGATAAGATTGTTAGCAGCAGCAGTAGGTCCCAGACAGGCCAGTCCTCAAGTCCCTAGGGGGCACATGAAGACCCATGACAGGTATGCTTTGGAGGAGGCAGGAATGCCAGCAGTGGCAGCAGGCCCTGTTCTTGCGAGTCCTTGGGTCCCTGGAGGGAGCACTAGCTCCACCACTGTGGTGCAGGGTCACAGGCAGTGGTGGTGTCAGGCCCCAGGTAAGCAGGACTTGAGTTCTGGGGAGCACATGCATTGGCTTCCTCTGTCCTAGAGGCAGCATCCTCACTGTAGTATTGTATGTAGTATGCAATGTGGGAAGTGCCAGAGTCATGGCTGCACTGCTGGATCGAGCTAGGATTGTGACACGGTAGCCCTTTGGATGAATGTAGTGGGATGTTGGTGGGGTCCCAGGATGTGGAGATACAGGACCTATTGGACCCTAGGACATGATGCACTCTTATGTTGGCTTCACTCTTAAAATGATAATGTGCTGCCATTTTGAGGAGAACCTATTATAAAATCCCTCTTTGGAATAATGCAATTGTGGGAACCCAAGACAGCTTTCCATACAAGTCTCAAGGACTGCAAGGGCTGTGGTTCTCTCTTTCAGCTTGGATTGCAGGTTTTCATGCGCGTCCGTGTGAAGAGACCACCAAACAGGCTTTGTGTGAGCAACATGGCTGTTTATTTCACCTGGGTGCAGGCAGGCTGAGTCCGAAAAAAGAGTCAGTGAAGGGAGATAGGGGTGGGGCCATTTTATAAGATTTGGGTAGATAAAGGAAAATTACAGTCAAAGGGGGGTTGTTCTCTGGTGGGCAGAGTGGGGGGTCACAAGGTGCTCAGTAGGGGAGCTTTTGAGCCAGGATGAGCCAGGAGAAGGAATTTCACAAGACAATGTCATCAGTTAAGGCAGGAACAGGCCATTTTCACTTCTTTTGTGGTGGAATGTCATCAGTTAAGGCAGGAACCAGCCATCTGGATGTGTACATGCAGGTCACAGGGGATATGATGGCTTAGCTTGGGCTCAGAGGCCTGACATTCCTGTCTTCTTATATTAATAAGAAAAAAAAAACGAAATAGTGGTAAAGCGTTGGGAAGGTGAAAATTTTTGGGGGTGGTATGGAGAGATAATGGGCGATGTTTCTCAGGGCTGCTTCGAGTGGGATTAGGGGTGGTGTGGGAACCTAGAGTGGGAGAGATTAAGCTGAAGGAAGATTTTGTGGTAAGGGGTGATATTGTGGGGTTGTTAGAAGAAACATTTGTCATTTAGAATTATTGGTGATGGCCTGGATACGGTTTTGTATGAATTGAAAAACTAAATGGAATAAGAGAAGGAGAAAAACAGGTATTAAAGGACTAAGAATTGGGAGGACCTAGAACACCTAATTAGAGAGTGCCTAAGGAGGTTCAGCATAGCCTTGCCAGTAAAGATTATTTATTTACTTTAAGAGTTAAGAGTGGCAGTTTGGGGATAGCACCAGGAGATATCAGCTGTGATGACTTGGAGTAACAGTGTAAACTGGCAGTGTAAACAAGAGCAGGGCATGTATGAGTAGTTGAGAACAGTGAATAGGAATATGACTAGACAGAAGATAGTAGGGATGACAAGTTTTTTGGGGCACAGCCTAAGTTGGTCTGGTGTCTGGAATGAGACTGGGGCCTAATAAAAAGGAGCATCTATACAGGAGCTTAAATGGGCTGTACCCTGTAGCATTCCAAGGACAGGCCTGAATTCTGAGAAGGGAAAGTGGTAAAAGTATTGTCCAGTCCTTTTTAAGTTGGTGGCTGAGCTTGGTGAGGTGTGTTTTTAATAGATCATTAGTCTGTCACTGAATACTAAGAGCCTGAAAAAATGCTTGGCTGATTTGACTAATAAAGGCTGGTCCGTTATTAGACTGTATAGAGGTGGGAAGGCTAAACTGAGGAATTATGTCTGACAGAAGGGAAGAAATGACGGCGGTGGACTTCTCAGACACTGTAGGAAAGGCCTCTACTTATCTAGTGAAAGTGTCTACCTAGACTAAGAGGTATTTTAGTTATCTGACTCAGGGCATGTTGATTAAAGCTAATTTGCCAGTCCTGGGTGGGGGCAAATCCTCAAGCTTGATATGTAGGGAAGGGAGGGGGCCTGAATAATCCTTGAGAAGTAGTAGAATAGCAGATGGAACACTGAGAAGTTATTTCCTTGAGGACAGATTTCTACGATGGAAAGGAAATGAGAAGTTTTAAGAGGCGGGCTAGTGGTTTGTACTATAGCATAGTCTGCCTTTGCTCGTGTGTGGTGAGTAGGCCTGGTGGAACTGCCATCAATAAACCAAGTGTGATCAGGGTGAGAAACAGGAAAGAAGGAAATGTGCGGAAATGGGGTGAATGTCAGGTGGATCAGAGAGATGCAGTCATGAGGGTCAGGTGTGGTATCAGGAATAATGTGGGAGGCTGGATTGAAGTCCGGGCCAGGAACGATGGTAATTGTGGGAGACTTAACAAAGAGTGAGTACAGCTGAAGGAGCCAGGGAGCAGAAAGTATATGCGTCAGGTGTGAGGAAGAAAATAGATTTTGGAAATTACGAGAGCTGTAGAGAGTGAGTTGGGCATAGTTTGTGATTTTAAGGGCCTCTAAAAGTATTATGGCGGCAGCAGCCACTGCATGGAGACATAATTGCCAGCTTAAAACAGTAAGGTCAAGTTGTTTGGACAAAAAGGCTACAGGACGGGATCCTGGTCCTTGTGTAAGAATTCTGACTGCACAGCCCTGCACTTCAGCTGTGTGTAATGAAAAGGGTTGGGATTAGTCAGGGAGAGCTAGAGTGGGGGCAGTCTCTAAAGCTGTCTTCAAGGAACGGAAAGAGGAGTGGGGAAAGGATTTAGGATCTATGGGGTCAGCTAGGTTTCCTTTTGTGAGTTTATATAATGGTTTTGTTAGGATGGAAAACCAGGTATCCAAAGGCTAGGAACCATGCCTAGGAAGGAAAGGAGTTGTTGTTTTGTAGAAGGGGTTGGGGTTTGAGAGATTAGTCAGACACGATCAGCAGGGAGAGCAAGTGTGTTTTTATGAAGAATTATGCCGAGGTAGGTAACGAATGGAGAAGAAATTTAAGCTTTGGAGGGGGATACCTGAAATCCTTTGGAGAGTAAATGCTGAAGGAGCAGAAGTGTGTCTTGTTGAGAAGATTCAAAGGAGGGGCTACAAAGAAGAAGGTCATCAGTATATTGAATAAGGTGAGAAGCAGAGGGGTGGAAAGAAACTAAATCATGAGAAAGAGCTTGGCTGAAGTAATGAGGGCTGTCCCTGAAACCTTGCAGCAGCACAGCCCAGGTAAGCTGCTGGGACTGATGGGTGTCAGGGTTAGTCCAAGTGGAAGCAAAGAGAGGTTGGGACGAGGGGTGCAGGGCAATAGTGAAAAAAGCATCTTTAAGATCAAGAACGGAACAGTTAGTTGTGGAGGAAGGTATTGAGGACAAAAGAGTGTACGGGTTGGGCACTACAGGGTGGATAGGCAAAACAATTTGGTTGATAAGGCGCAGATCCTGAATTAACCTGTAAGCCTTGTCTGGTTTTAGGACAGGTAAAATGGGGGAATGGTAAGGGGAGTTTATAGGCTTTAAAACGCCATGCTGTAACAGGCGAGTGATAACAGGCTTTAATCCTTTCAAAGCGTGCTGTGGGATGGGATATTGGCACTGAGCGGGGTAAGAGTGATTAGGTTTTAATGGGATGGTAAGTGGTGCATGATCGATAGCTAAGGAGGGAGTAGAGGTGTCTTATACTTGTGGGTTAAGGTGGGGAGATACAAGGGGAGGATGTGAAGGAGGCTTTGAACTGGGGGAAAAGGCGGCAATGAGGTGTGGCTGTAGCCCAGGAATAGTCAGGGAAGCAGATAATTTAGTTAAAGTGTCTCGGCCTAATAAGGGAACTAGGCAGGTGGGGATAACTAAAAAGGAGTGCTTAAAAGAGTATTGTCTAAGTTGACACCAGAGTTGGGAAGTTTTAAGAGGTTTAGAAGCCTGGCCGTCAATATGCACAGCAGTTATGGAAGCAAGGGAAACAGGCCCTTGAAAATAAGGTAATGTGGAGTGAGTAGCCTCCATATTGATTAAGAAGGGGATGGACTTACCATCCACTGTGAGAGTTACTTAGAGTGTCTGTGGTGGTCCTGTAGGCTTCCAAGGCGATCGGGCAGTGTCAGTCTTCAGCTGCTAAGCCGAGAAGGTCTGGGAAGGAGTCAGTCAGAGAGCCTTCGGCCAGAGATCCAGGGACTCTGGGAGTGGCTGCCAGGTGAGTTGAACAGTCTGATTTCCAGTGGGGTCCCACACAGATGGGACATGGCTTAGGAGGAATCCCGGGCTGCGGGCATTCCTCGGCCCAGTGGCCAGATTTCCGGCACTTGTAGCAAGTGCCTCCTCCTGGGGGAGGAGGTTCTGGAGGAACCCCTGGCAGCTGCGGTTCAGGCGTTTGGAGTTCTTGTGTGCTGGAGATGTGGCTGGGGTTTGTCTCACAGTGGAGGCAAAGAATTGCAACTCAGAAATATGTTGCTACTTGGCTGCCTCTGCTCTATTATTGTACACCTTGAAGGTGAGGTTAATTAAGTCCTGATGTGGGGTTTGAGGGCCGGAATTTAATTTTTGGAGTTTTATTTAATGTTGGGAGCAGATTGGGTAATAAAACGTATATTGAGAATAAGACGGCCTTTTGACCTTTTAGGGTCTAGGGCTGTAAAGCGTCTCAGGGTTGCTGCTGAATGAGCCATGAACTGGGCTGGGTTTTTCATATTTGATGAAAGAGCCTAAACGCTCACTGATTTGGGAGAGGTCTGATAAAGAAAAAGGAGCATTAACCTTGACTATGCCTTTAGCTTCAGCTACCTTTTTAAGAGGAAATTGCTGGGCAGGTGGGGGAGGGCTACTCATGGAATGAAACTGTAAACCGGACCGGGTGTGAGGAGGGGAGGTGATAAAAAGATTATAGGGTGGAGGAGCGGAGGCTGAGGAAGAATTGGGACCTAGCTTGGCCTGGCAAGGAGGGGAGAGGTCAAATGGGTCTGTAGAAAAGGAAGATTAGAAAGACTCAGTGACGCTTGGGGTTGGGACTGAGGGGACAGGTAGGAGGGAAAGAAGGAAGATTTTTGACTAGTTGCATTGGGAACAGAGACTAGGGAGGGACTGATGTGTAAAAGAGTGCCTGGACATCAGGCACCTCAGACCATTTGCCTATTTTTCAACAAAAATTATTTAGGTCTTGTAGGATGGAGAAATTGGAAGTGCCGTTTTCTGGCCATTTAGAACCACTGTCTAGTTTGTATTGGGGTCAAACGGCATTGTAGAAGAAAATAAGGCATTTAGGTTTTAGGTCAGGTGAGAGTTGAAGAGGTTTTATGTTCTTAAGAACAGAGGCTAAGGGAGAAGAAAGAGGAATGGAGGGTGGAAGGTTGCCTATAGTGAAGGAGGCAAGTTTAAAGAAAAGGGAGAGTAGAGACACGGAGGGAAGCAGTTCGGGGGTTCTTACCCTCCAGAAAAGTGGGAAAGGGGTTGGGGCACAGAGATATGAGATCGGGGCATGGAGATAAGGGGTCAGGGTGCAGAGATATAAGAGGTTGGGGTGCAGAAGTAAGGGATCGGGGCACAGAGATATAAGAGGTCGGAGCACAGAAATAAGGGATGGGGCACAGACATACGAGGTTGGGGTACCTGCCCCTCCCCCAGAAAAGTGGGACTTGCCACTAAGGGTGAAGGAGAAGGGGTTGAGGGGTTCTTGCCTCTCCCCCAGAAAAGCAGAGAAGGGGTAGAGACACGGAGAGAAGGGATTGGGGTACTTGCCCCTCCCCCAGAAAAGCAGGACTTGCCGCTAAGGGTGAAGGACCAAGGCAGGTGTCCCTGCATGGTCTGACACCTCTGAAACGTGGGTGAATAATCAGAGAGGTGTCCCTGCAATGACTAAACACCAAGGGAAGGCTGCCTTCCCAGTCTGTGACCGGCGCCGGAGTTTTGGGTCCATGGATAAAATGTGTCTCATTTGTCTCTACCAGAAAATGAAAAGAATTGAAATTAAGAGAAGGGAGAGATTGAAGAGTGGAAAGGAGAAAGTGGTTGAGGGATAGTGAGAGAGGTTGGAGAAGAGAGTAAGAAGAGGCTGTTTACCCGATTTAAAATTGGTGAGATGTTCCTTGGGCTGGTGGGTCTGAGGACCTGAGGTCGTAGGTGGATCTTTTTCACACGGCAAAGAGCAGGAGGACAGGGGATTGATCTCCCAAGGGAGGTCCCCTGATCTGAGTCACAGCACCAAATTTCATGCGCGTCCGTGTGAAGAGACCACCAAACAGGCTTTGTGTGAGCAACATGGTTGTTTATTTCACCTGGGTGCAGGTGGGCTGAGTCCGAAAAGAGAGTCAGTGAAGGGAGATAGGGGTGGGGCCGTTTTATAAGATTTGGGTAGATAAAGGAAAATTACAGTCAACGGGGGGTTGTTCTCTGGCGGGCAGAGTGGGGGTCACAGGGTGCTCAGTAGGGGAGCTTTTGAGCCAGGATGAGCCAGAGAAGGAATTTCACAAGACAGTGTCATCAGTTAAGGCAGGAACAGGCCATTTTCACTTCTTTTGTGGTGGAATGTCATCAGTTAAGGCAGGAACTGGCCATCTGGATGTGTATGTGCAGGTCACAGTGGATATGATGGCTTAGCTTGGGCTCAGAGGCCTGACACAGGTAACTGTGGTGGAAATGTGGATGGCAGGGATCTTCCACTTACCTTTTCCCTCACAGTGTGAGTCTCTCTTGGCTCTGAGTCAATCTGAGCTGGTGCTTTGCTTTCCTCTCTATGCTGCCATCCTGAGTCTCTGTGCCTCAAAGGGTCTTCATCACTTTTTTGCTGAATTCCAGTGTTCTCCCCCAGACACTCTATTGAACATGTGATTGCCTGTTTGTTGTTCTAATTGTTCTTCCTGGAGGAGGTGAGTGCTGAGTGCTTCTAGCCAGCCATCTTGATGACATCTCTTCTCAATTAAATTGTTATTCAATTTTGATATTAAGGATATACTGGCCTCATGAAATGAATTGGGCAGTGTTGTGGGTTGAATTATGTCTCTCCAAAATTCATGTTACCTTCTTAACCCTCAGTACCTCAGAATGTTACCTTATTTAGTGGTAGGATATTTACAGAGATAATTGAGATAAAGTGAGGACCCTAATCCAGTATGACTGGTGTTCTTACAAAAAGGGGAAATTTAGACTTGAAGACAGAGAGAACACCATGTGAACATAAAGATGGTCATCTACAAGCGGAGAGAGAGACCTGGAACAGATCCTTCCTCACAGTCTTCAGAAAGAACCAATCCTGCCAACGCCTTGTTTTTGGACCTCTAGCCTCCAGAACTGTGAGACAATAAATTTCTCTTCTTAAGCCACCTGGTGTGTGGTACTTTGTTAGAGCAGCCCTAAGAAATGCACGCAATTGGCTTTCCATTTTTCTGTTTTGGAGCTCAATGTATATATAACAGAAATTATTCAAAAGCAAGCATTTAATGTATTATCAGCATATATTTTCTTTCTTGTATAATTTTTTGTTTTTGTTGGCATTCATAATTGTTTTTGCTTTTCTACTTGCTTAGTTTTGTAGACACCGAATACCAATTCATCCCTAAAATTTCTGTCACCAGCATGTCTCTTCACAATACATTTAAATATCAAATAGTCTAAGAATTTATTGTCTTGAAAGCATTTCTCTCAGAGCCTCTGACCTTTTCCTCTAACATGGACTGGTTGCTCCCTAGGTCTGCCACATGACAATCATTCCAGGATCTCTTCCCCCCATTAACTAAAGAATTTCCTTGGCCTCTCTCCCATGATGGAATCCCTGTTTCCTGAATCACACGTCTTTTTCTTTCTTAGTTGACTGTTTTTTGTGGAACACATACGGCAGTAGCACAGAACAAAGGGTACAAAGGATATATATTTTTTATTCAATTATGGGAAATTCATCACCATTACATTTAAAAATTCTTTCTTCTGTTCATCTGGAAACTGATTTCTCTCCTTTTGTGACTCATAATTGATGGAGTCTGTTACTTCTATTTCTATCTTCTATATTACTTAATTTTTACCTTTTTTCTTCCAACTCTTACCCTTTCTAGTTCCTGTTAGGGGACCCCTTGTATATAATGTTCTAGCTTACTAATTTTTACTTTAGCTATGTTCATTCACTTGCTATTTAATCTACCCATTGGGTTCCTGATATTTTGAACTATAACATGTATCTAACTTTGGATGTTTTGTTTCCCAGTCCCAATAATCTACTGAGCTCCATTATTGCCCTTAGGTAGGGCCACCTCAGACTGGCACTGACCTGCCTTGAGGCAGCAGTAGATGGACAGAAATATGCCCCCAAGATAATGTGGAAGAAAGCAAGCCATCCTTGAGTTCTTTCCTTTTCTTTGGTTTCTGACCTTCTTCCTTCCAAGGCTGTTCTTCTTAACTACTTTTGGTCTCCCCAAGGGCTACTTGCAGTTAACGGTAAATAATTAAGGCTCTGTATTCCTTCCACCTTCTGACCTCTCCTGTAGCATCTCCAAGGTTAAGTTGTAGTAGAGTGGGGGTAGCCAATAATGTGTTAACTCACTATCTTGCCCAGACTGTCAAGCCCAGATGATCATTTCTTATTTTAATTCCAGGACCCTTATTAAGTAATTTAATCTCATTAAGCTTTTTTCTTCCCCGTGTGTAAATTGAGAGTAATAATACTTGTTCTAAAGTTTAAAGGAACCTTGGGAAAACTAAAATCATAAGATTGAGAATTATGAAATTTCTTCACTGTACTTAGAAGTGGTTCTAATTATAAAAATTTCAAGAATCTATTGTCTTGATGCCAAAACATTGGAGAAACAGGCTCTTTTCTGGCTCTTGGTCTCACTTTCATATCAGGAGAGGAGATCCTGACCTAGGGGATGTGCCATGGGAGATATATCAGTTATGGCCTAGGCTTCAGGGACAGGTGGACCTAGGTTTGATTCACGGATCTGCCATTTACTACTACAGCAGTCACCTTTGTATCTCCAGGGCCTAGCACAGTTCCTGACACATGGTAAATCTCCAATAAGCGTATATTAAACAAAAAAGATTATTTAGCATCTTCAAACCTCAGTTTTCTTCTCTTAAAAATGGTAATAATAAATTCCTACATAATGCTTGGCGAATAGTATGTGTTCAATAAATATTAGTTCTCTTTCTTGTCTTTCCCTTCATGTGGTTTCAACCATAATGTTACTTAAGTAGCTCATTATGTCAGCAGCCAAAGAAACTTGTGCTAACTTGCTGTTATTACTTCAATGCTCAGAACAGAAGAGGGAGGACGATCATCTCCAGCTGTTATACTCATATAATAATTTCCTGAAGAGTAAATTATGAATGAACCCAAATTACAAAATGCAACTCAGAGTCTGCATCAGGTTAGAAGATACATTAAAGCTAATGAAATATCTAATTTGAAAGCAGATTTTGGAATCTGCAAAGCTAAGGAATTGGCATGATCTGAAACAGGATTCAAAATTTATTTAATTCACAATTTCCTGATGTTGCCTTTTGAAGGGATGCTGATAAAAAATGTCAGATGGAGGCTGTGCTCAGTGGCTCACACCTGTGATCCCAGCATTTTGGGAGGCTGAGGTGGGTGGATCACCTGAGGTCAGGAGTTCAAGACTAGCCTGGCCAACATGGTGAAACCCCGTCTCTACTGAAAATACGAAAATTAGCTGAGTGTGGTGGTGGGCGCCTGTAGTCCTAGCTACTCAGGGACTACAGGAGAATTGCTTGAACCCAGGAGGCGGAGGTTGCAGTGAGCCAAGATTGCACCACTGCACTCCTGCCTGGGCGTGACAGAGCCAGTGAGACTCAGTCTCCAAAAAAAAAAAAGTCAGATGGAAATCTGACCTAGTCTTATTTTTCAGTTAACTGATTTATATTGTTTATTTTTTGTATCAGAATTGGCTTGGATACCAAGACTTTCCATTCAGGGTACAGAATTCAAAAAGGCAAATACTAGAGAAGCTTAAGTTTTGACTTCTTCTTCAAGAGACTTGGTAGTTAATTGAGAGATTTCATTATATTTCTTTTTCCTCCCACAGATGCTTTTAAAACAATACAGAGGAGAAATAAGATCAAAGCCTGAGCTGTTTAAGACAAGTCATCCACATCCCTGGTCCAGTTAGGCTTTGATTTTCACATCATTGCTTCCAGCTAATTGTAGTATTTTCAGAAAGACAGTGTAGCAGCATACTTGTTTGCAAGCAAAAGGAATGGATTATGGTTAACTTACATGAAATGAGAATTTATAAAGGATGGAGAGAAGTATGATTTAGGAGGACTCACGGAATTAAAGGGAAAACTGAGGAATAGGACTGACTGAGGAAAATAAAGGAAGCAAATTGTTTTAGAATTCCCAGTTTTGGCCAGGTGAGGTGGCTCAAGCCTGTAATCCCAGCACTTTGGGAGGCCAAGGCTGGTGAATCACCTGAGATGGGGAGTTCGAGACCAGAATGACCAACAGGGAGAAACCCCGTCTCTACTAAAAATACAAAAAATTAGCCGGGCATGGTGGTGCATGCCTGTAATCCCAGCTACCTGGGAGGCTGAGGCAGGAGAATCGCTTGAACCCGGAAGGCTGAGTTTGTGGTGAGCTGAAATCGCGCCATTGCACTCCAGCCTGGGCAACAAGAGCAAAACTTTGTCTCAAAAAAAAAAAAAAAAAAAAAAAAAAAAGCCCAGTTTCAAGATTTACCTAACTATCTCACCAGGCTCTGGTGCTAAGATGGGCAAGTGCCACTCTCAAGATATATAGGATGGAGGCTCCTTTGACATAGTGAGGTTTATAAAACTGCCTTTGCAAAAATTATAACTGAGAAAATTATGACAGTGAAAGACTTCTGACATAACTGACTCCACCTTGCTTCTAACCTCCAAGTTGTCCTTGTTCATTCCTGGGCATAGACTGAACTAACTATGGGAGGAAATTAGTTTATAGTTTAACTTTGAAACAAAGACAATAACAGCCCTTTCCCAAAACAAACCCCCTTCCTGCCTGGAGACTAGATTGCTTTTACAGGACTAACAAGTTAGCTACAAGATTAGAAAATATGGTTTAGGAGTCATGCAGCTGGAGGCTGCAAAATTCTGAACCTCTCTAGATTGCTCCTGGGGATAACATCACTATTGTAAAATCTAAGATCAGTGCTTGAGATATTTTGCAGATCCTGTACTCCATGGTTCAGCTGGTACCATGCAGAACAATAAACTAGCTCATCTGGTCTTGTGAACCCTACCCAGGAAATGACTCAGTGCAAAAGACAGCTTCCACTCCCTATAATTTCATCTCTGACCCAATTAATCAGTACTCCCCATTTTCCAACCCCTTATGCACCAAATTGTCCTTAAAACCCTGATCCCCAAGTTTTGGGGGAGATCGATTTGAGCAATAATAAAACTCTGGTCTCCCATACACCTGGCTCTGTATGAGTTGCAATTCTCTACTGAAATTCCCCTGTCTTGATAAATTGGCCCTGCCTAGACAGGGGGCAAGGAGAGCCTGTTGGGTGTTACACTTCCACCACTTATCAAGGGGATGGGGAGGAGCCTTCATTTATAATCCTACTCAGACTACACACCTTGTGGAAGATACATGTCCCCTAAAGGGAATTGGGTTTCTGTTGCGGAAAGAAGGGAGGATGGATTCTGTATAATAATAATAAAAGAACAATTATCCACTATACATCATTCCCAAATGCATTTTAAAGCGGGAGTATTTTATTTTACTTATTTTATTTTTATTTATTTTTGTGACAGAGTCTCATTCTGTTGCCTAGGCTGGAGGGCAGTTGTGCAATCTCAGCTCACTGCAACCTCTGCCTCCCAGGTTCAAGGAATTCTTTTGCCTCAACCTCCTGAGTAGTTGGGATTACAGGTGCCTGCCATGACACCCAGCTAATTTTTGTATTTTTAGTAGAGATGAGCTTTCATCATATTGGCCAGGCTGGTCTCAAACTCCTGACCTCAAGTGATCCACTAGCCTTGGCCTCCCAAAGTGCTGGGATTACAGGTGTGAGCCACTGCACCTGGCCAAAGTAAGGGTATTTTAAATCAAAAAGCCTCTTAATGAGCTCATGACTAAGTTTAAAAGTCAAATGTCAACAAGTCATGACTTAAAATTAGTGTTCTCTTATTCAAATTATTGGGACTAATTTGAAGAAATGCATAGTTTTTGTAGATTAGATTAAAAATAGGAGTGATGGTCGGGCGTGGTGGCTCACGCCTATAATCCCAGCACTTTGGGAGGCTGAGGTGGGCAGATTACCTGAGGTCAGGAGTTTGAGACCAGCCTGGCCAACATGGTGAAACCCCGTCTCTACTAAAAATACAAAAATTAGCCGGGCATGGTGGCACATGCTTGTAATCCCAGCTACTCAGGAGGCTGAGGCAGGAGAATCACTTGAGCCCAGGAGGCAGAGGTTGCAGTGAGCCAAGATCATGCCACTGCACTCCAGCCTGGCTGACAGAGTGAGACTCTGTCTAAAAAAAAAAAAAAAAAAAAGTAGAAGTGATTTCTCTGAAGAACAGTATCAGGTAGAGAGAAAAGATAGTAGTTGTAATGGTGAACAAGTGGACCTTCTGGGCTTCCCTACTAACCTATTTTATAATCAAAACTGAGTAATTCAATTTACCGGCTTGCAAATCATTAAAAAATAAATAAATAAAGGGGCTTGCAAAAAATCTGCCTGGCCGGCAAAATGTGCTTGGCTGTCATCTACATTTGCCAATATTCCTCTTGATCCCTATGGCTTCATGGACAAAGTTAGAACATACAAATTTTTAGATATGTAGCAAGCATACTCAAACATCTCTCCAACATGTCTTCCTGAGACCTAGGTCCCCTACCAATACACACACAAAACAAACAGAAATGTCGAGCTATAGGGAGAAGGAGGTGATTGCTTTCTCATGAGTCTTGACATATTTTCGTTCCACCCACAGCAGGAGGCAGGAGGTGATTTTTGCAAATAAATTAACCTTTGTGCTCTTCAGGGTCAATAATACTTTCTCATTTTACTGGGGAGTTTGAATTATTGACTAGCTTGTGACTTTATTCCCTAGAAGGTGAATTAGAGGGATTAATGTTTTGGAGTTGTGTTTAAGAAAAAAAAAACACTTATATCTTTATACCAAATAGTGAAAAATAATTCACTTATATCTTTATACCAAATAGTATTTTGCTAGTATTATTTTATTAGTCCTGGCAGCTTTTTGCAGAATGAGATAGTGATCAAAATTTCTACTAATATCACTATCTAGTGAGGCACAGGGAAGGTAAGTGGCTTTCAACATCACAGAGCAAACTGGTTTCAACCCATTCATAGAATCTTCTAGCACAAGCTGGCCCAAGATAGGACACATCAAGTGTCCTCTGGTTCAGCATCTACTTTCTCATGATAGCTAATTGCTAAGACCATGGGTGCCAATCTTAGCTTCCAAATCAAGTGCACGCCAACTTTTTAGGCCTATTTTAACTAATTGTGCCTTTAAAATCAAACTTATTTAGAGCACTCTGAAAAGGAGATAATACATGATTAGATATTTCAGTACTTTTTTGAGAGCTTTGAAACCTATTTAACTCAAGAAAAAAATATTTTGGAAGGCCATATTTGAATTCTTCATTAAGACAAACAGCAGCAACAACAAAATACCTCTGCAAGTTGAAAAAATCCTGGTGACGCAGAATAAAAAGTGGGAGGCTTGGAATTCTAAATGAAAAATTCCAGCTCTGTCTCTTGCTAGTTGTGGACAAATTACACATTTCCTCTTAAAGGTTCACTTTTCCCATCTATAAAATGAAGAAAATATATATTGCAGGTTTTGCAGTGAAAATTAAATAATGTTAATATATGCAAAGGACTTGCGAACTTTCCTGTATACAATTTGAATTCAACAAACAACAGCTATTAGAAAAGAGAACACAAACCTTGCTTACAGACTAAAATGACCTGGGACTTAATATCTGTTTGCTCTTTTACAGGAAGTAGATCTCCAAGTTCTTTTTCTTTTTGTGACGAGGAAATGGGTTCAAAATAAATCTCTGGTTCTTCCTACACTCTAAGAAAACCCCCCAGGAAAGAGGTTTTTTTCCCCTTCTTTCCAAGGTCAGATTATTTTCCTTTTCTCCCCCAAACCCCTCCCCCTATACCTACTTCTCTTTTACATATAAAAAATTTTGTTACTTTATACCTTTTCTCTATAGTATGTGTGTTATGCCTTCTTTCCTCCCATGAAAGAAAGATAGTTGATGTGATGATGCTTTTCATTCACTAAAGAAAGTGCTAAGTCACCCAGCTAGAGGGTCTGAAAAGGTGACACTCCTCCTATCAGAATAGCCAATGGCTAATAACCATCACTCTAACTTTAGGTATAGATTATTATTATTATTGAGCGTATTGCACCTTGGCTGTTTGCCCAGTATGTCCTTGCTAACTCAGGGTCACAAAAAAGAGTAATTCTCTGCCACAACTCGATAAGACATGAGATCTGCATGATTAAAATGACCTTAGCATTTGGAATCCTGAAATAATGGCACTCCAAATTAAATTAAGAATGGGTTAGATTGCTTTCAGTGAATAATTGCCATTACTACACACCATTCTTCTTGCTCCCCTCCAAAGTCTTTATTGATTTCATTGTTGCTCAGATGCTGAAGATATCTGTCCTATTGTTTGGAGGAATTTAAGATCCTTAGGAGGACTTAGCAAATTAATGGAGGGAGGCTGAAGGAACAAAGAAAATGAGGTGGTACACACACACACACACACACACACACACACACACACACACACACACACTGAAGAGAGGTTGTTGTAGTGGTAGACAATTTCTTTGATAAAGCCAGAGCAGAATTCTTTGTTCAACCATCCCTTTCTGGGTGAATGTGCTTAGTCAAGACATCAGGTCACTGGCCCTTGGACAGCTCCCAGTCATTTGCCCATCAGTGACTGCAGTGCCCACACAGACCACTTTCATAATTAAATTCCAAAAATTCCTGTTCTGAATCACCCAATAATTGACTACATTTGTATTTGGAAGTCTTTGCTGATGAGAATAAAGCAGCATGCAATAATGCTTTCAGTTTCACCATGGTTTTATTACCTTATTGGACCACTAGGGACCTACTACATTCCCGGGGGGGACACTTTTCTATTTAATTAACCTGCAGACATTTAGCCTAAACAGCAATAAATAATAGACAAATACTCCCCTTCCCCCTATTTGTCTCTTATGGAGAATTACTACTACTAATAACAAAATAATTGAAATCCAAAATAAAACCACACAGCCAGGG
Organism: Homo sapiens; assembly: GCF_000001405.40. NCBI lineage: Eukaryota > Metazoa > Chordata > Mammalia > Primates > Hominidae > Homo > Homo sapiens. Next base: position 207,008,552 of record NC_000002.12, on the reverse strand, counting down.
AGGTGGGTAGATGATGGGGAGGGTAGAGAGAGAAGCTTCAGATGGCTAATTGGGGACAAGTATATACTAGATATGGTGAAATAGTGTTTTCTTTTGCTTTAAGCTACTAACTTGGAGGCACAGAAGAGAATTAGCTACTTTCATAGGGAGGATTTCAGGAGTTCCAGGAAGGGACCCTGCCAGGCACAGCCTCCTTCTAACCAGCACACTGAGCCTTTAACCAGAAACAAAGCCATTCTTTCTATTGTTGCATAGAAGGCCTGGAATGTGAAGTCCCCCCAGGCACATGAAGGAGGGGATGATGTAAACTTAACAATGAGAGGCAAAGGACTGATGTCACATCCTCTCCTGAGAGCTGATTTTTGATGATGAAAAGAGGAAAGAAAGTCTTGGACTTTGAAGAGGCATGGGGAAGAAAATGGTCTAGCATTTTTTCATACTTTACAATTTTGCCTAATACTGTTTTGCTTGTAAATCAACCCTTCATCCTCTGAAAGGAAGGCTACAAATACATGGATATGTATTAAGCATTTATTGTATGCTAGGTTCTTTCCCACACAGTATTTCATAACACTACTGCAAGATAGGATTCCTAATCCCCTTTTGCTGAAGAAGAGATTGAGGCCAGGATGCATAAATAAACTTATCCAAGATCAACTGGCTTCTAAATGGCAGAGCAAGGATTGGAATCAAGGTCAGCCTGATTCCAAAACTCAGATGCTTTTTACTTCTACCATGATAGCTCATAATAGAGCCTGATCTAAACTTTGGAGATAATTATTTTCAAAATGCAAAGCAAGTCAAAAATTTGTCATTGGCCTTGGAATATTTTGTTGAAGGGAGTCAGAAGGATTAAATTCATTTTTATACATGAGACTTAAAAACGATATGTGGGGACCAACCCAAGTTTCTACTGCAAAGCAGAAAGTATTACTTTTAATGGCAAAAACTGCAATTACTTTTGTAACAACCTAATAAGGATTTAGTGGATCTGGATAATATGACCAGCTGCCTATTTGACCTCTCCTTTTGGGTTTCCCTTAGGCACTTAAACTCAATCTGTACACAACTGAACTCATCGTCTTTTATCAGCCCATCACCCGTTCGCCTTTCCTGTTCTAACTTATTGCCTGTTGTATTGTTTTTCTTATTTGATGGGCACTGACATTCATCTTTAGTCACTCAAGACAGGAACCTAGAATTACTTCTACTTTTCTCCTTCTACTGTACTGACCTACTCTGCCCACCATGGCTAATCAGTCCTATTGTATATACCATCAAATTTTCTAGCACTTTTCCTCTTCTCCATTACCAATGTCAACTCCTTGGTTGATATCCTGGTCATTTCTCCACTGTATTCGTGCTATAATAAACTAAACTGAACTGGCCACCGCATTTCACCCTCCCTTGCTTCTCTATTCATATTCAAATTGATGACAGGTTGGTTTTCTCTAAAACTTAAAAGGGATGAAAGAATGAATGACAAAACAAAAACGAGCAATTTAGAATGAAATCTACTCTCAAGTACAAATAGTATAATAGCAACAAATCAGCTAGAAAAAAATACAAGCTGTGTATACTCCTTTAAATTGAGGTAAAATGTACACACAGATATAAATCTTTTCTTTTTATTATACTTTAAGTTTTAGGGTACATGTGCACATTGTGCAGGTTAGTTACATATGTATACATGTGCCATGCTGGTGCGCTGCACCCACTAACTCGTCATCTAACATTAGGTATATCTCCCAATGCTATCCCTCCCCCCTCCCCCCACCCCACAACAGTCCCCAGAGTCTGATGTTCCCCTTCCTGTGTCCATGTGTTCTCATTGTTCAATTCCCACCTATGAGTGAGAATATGCGGTGTTTGGTTTTTTGTTCTTGCGATAGTTTACCGAGAATGATGATTTCCAATTTCATCCATGTCCCTACAAAGGACATGAACTCATCATTTTTTATGGCTGCATAGTATTCCATGGTGTATATGTGCCACATTTTCTTAATCCAGTCTATCATTGTTGGACATTTGGATTGGTTCCAAGTTTTTGCTATTGTGAATAATGCCACAATAAATATACATGTGCATGTGTCTTTATAGCAGCATGATTTATAGTCCTTTGAGTACATACCCAGTAATGGGATGGCTGGGTCAAATGGTATTTCTAGTTCTAGATCCCTGAGGAATCGCCACACTGACTTCCACAATGGTTGAACTAGTTTACAGTCCCACCAACAGTGTAAAAGTGTTCCTATTTCTCCACATCCTCTCCAGCACCTGTTGCTTCCTGACTTTTTAATGATTGCCATTCCAACTGGTGTGATATGATATCTCATTGTGGTTTTGATTTGCATGTCTCTGATGGCCAGTGATGGTGAGCATTTTTTCATGTGTTTTTTGGCTGCATAAATGTCTTCTTTTGAGAAGTGTCTGTTCATGTCCTTCGCCCACTTTTTGATGGGGTTGTTTGTTTTTTTCTTGTAAATTTGTTTGAGTTCATTGTAGATTCTGGATATTAGCCCTTTGTCAGATGAGTAGGTTGCAAAAATTTTCTCCCATTTTGTAGGTTGCCTGTTCACTCTGATGGTAGTTTCTTTTGCTGTGCAGAAGCTCTTTAGTTTAATTAGATCCCATTTGTCAATTTTGTCTTTTGTTGCCATTGCTTTTGGTGTTTTAGACATGAAGTCCTTGCCCATGCCTATGTCCTGAATGGTAATGCCTAGGTTTTCTTCTAGGGTTTTTATGGTTTTAGGTCTAACGTTTAAGTCTTTAATCCATCTTGAATTGATTTTTGTATAAGGTGTAAGGAAGGGATCCAGTTTCAGCTTTCTACATATGGCTAGCCAGTTTTCCCAGCACCATTTATTAAATAGGGAATCCTTTCCCCATTGCTTGTTTTTCTCAGGTTTGTCAAAGATCAGATAGTTGTAGATATGCGGCGTTATTTCTGAGGGCTCTGTTCTGTTCCATTGATCTATATGTCTGTTTTGGTACCAGTACCATGCTGTTTTGGTTACTGTAGCCTTGTAGTATAGTTTGAAGTCAGGTAGTGTGATGCCTCCAGCTTTGTTCTTTTGGCTTAGGATTGACTTGGCGATGCGGGCTCTTTTTTGGCTTCATGTAAACTTTAAAGTAGTTTTTTCCAATTCTGTGAAGAAAGTCATTGGTAGCTTGATGGGGATGACATTGAATCTGTAAATTACCTTGGGCAGTATGGCCATTTTCACGATATTGATTGTTCCTACCCATGAGCATGGAATGTTCTTCCATTTGTTTGTATCCTCTTTTATTTCCTTGAGCAGTGGTTTGTAGTTCTCCTTGAAGAGGTCCTTCACATCCCTTGTAAATTGGATTCCTAGGTATTTTATTCTCTTTGAAGCAATTGTGAATGGGAGTTCACTCATGATTTGGCCCTCTGTCTGTCTGTTGTTGGTGTATAAGAATGCTTGTGATTTTTGTACATTGATTTTGTATCCTGAGACTTTGCTGAAGTTGCTTATCAGCTTAAGGAGATTTTGGGCTGAGACAATGGGGTTTTCTAGATATACAATCATGTCATCTGCAAACAGGGACAATTTGACTTCCTCTTTTCCTAATTGAATACCCTTTATTTCCTTCTCCTGCCTAATTGCCCTGGCCAGAACTTCCAACACTATGTTGAATAGGAGTGGTGAGAGAGGGCATCCCTGTCTTGTGCCAGTTTTCAAAGGGAATGCTTCCAGTTTTTGCCCATTCAGTATGATATTGGCTGTGGGTTTGTCAGAGATAGTCTTATTATTTTGAAATACGTCCCATCAATACCTAATTTATTGAGAGTTTTTAGCATGAAGGGTTGTTGAATTTTGTCAAAGGGCTTTTCTGCATCTATTGAGATAATCATGTGGTTTTTGCCTTTGGTTCTGTTTATATGCTGGATTACATTTATTGATTTGCATATATTGAACCAGCCTTGCATCCCAGAGATGAAGCCCACTTGATCATGGTGGATAGGCTTTTTGATGTGCTGCTGGATTTGGTTTGCCAGTATTTTATTGAGGATTTTTGCATCAATGTTCACCAAGGATATTGGTCTAAAATTCTCTTTTTTGGTTGTGTCTTTGCCCGGCTTTGGTATCAGAATGATGCTGGCCTCATAAAATGAGGGAGGATTCCCTCTTTTTCTGTTGATTGGAATAGTTTCAATCAAATTTCAAGAAGGAATGGTACCAGTTCCTCCTTGTACCTCTGGTAGAATTCGGCTGTGAATCCATCTGGTCCTGGACTCTTTTTCGTTGGTAAGCTATTGATTATTGCCACAATTTGAGATCCTGTTATTGGTCTATTCAGAGATTCAACTTCTTCCTTGTTTAGTCTTGGGAGAGTGTATGTGTCGAGGAATGTATCCATTTCTTCTAGATTTTCTAGTTTATTTGCGTAGAGGTGTTTGTAGTATTCTCTGATGGTAGTTTGTATTTCTGTGGGATTGGTGGTGATATCCCCTTTATCATTTTTTATTGCGTCTATTTGATTCTTCTCTCTTTTTTTCTTTATTAGTCTTGCTAGCGGTCTATCAATTTTGTTGATCCTTTCAAAAAACCAGCTCCTGGATTAATTAATTTTTTGAATGGTTTTTTGTGTCTCTATTTCCTTCAGTTCTGCTCTGATTTTAGTTATTTCTTGCCTTCTGCTAGCTTTTGAATGTGTTTGCTCTTGCTTTTCTAGTTCTTTTAATTGTGATGTTAGGTGTCAATTTTGGATCTTTCCTGCTTTCTCTTGTGGGCATTTAGTGCTATAAATTTCCCTCTACACGCTGCTTTGAATGCGTCCCAGAGATTCTGGTATGTTATGTCTTTGTTCTTGTTGGTTTCAAAGAACATCTTTATTTCTGCCTTCATTTCGTTATGTACCTAGTAGTCATTCAGGAGGAGGTTGTTCAGTTTCCATGTAGTTGAGCAGTTTTGAGTGAGATTCTTAATCCTGAGTTCTAGTTTGATTGCACTGTGGTCTGAGAGATAGTTTGTTATAATCTCTGTTCTTTTACATTTGCTGAGGAGAGCTTTACTTCCAAGTATGTGGTCAATTTTGGAATAGGTGTGGTGTGGTGCTGAAAAAAATGTATAATCTGTTGATTTGGGGTAGAGAGTTCTGTAGATGTCTATTAGGTCCACTTGGTGCAGAGCTGAGTTCAATTCCTGGGTATCCTTGTTGACTTTCTGTCTTGTTGATCTGTCTAATGTTGACAGTGGGGTGTTAAAGTCTCCCATTATTAATGTGTGGGAGTCTAAGTCTCTTTGTAGGTCACTCAGGACTTGCTTTATGAATCTGGGTGCTCCTGTATTGGGTGTCTATATATTTAGGATAGTTAGCTCTTCTTGTTGAATTGATCCCTTTACCATTATGTAATGGCCTTCTTTGTCTCTTTTGATCTTTGTTGGTTTAAAGTCTGTTTTATCAGAGACGAGGATTGCAACCCCTGCCTTTTTTTGTTTTCCATTTGCTTGGTAGATCTTCCTCCATCCTTTTATTTTGAGCCTATGTGTGTCTGTGCATGTGAGATGGGTTTCCTGAATACAGCACACTGATGGGTCTTGACTCTTTATCCAATTTGCCAGTCTGTGCCTTTTAATTGGAGCATTTAGTCCATTTACATTTAAAGTTAGTATTGTTATGTGTGAATTTGATCCTGTCATTATGATGTTAGCTGGTTATTTTGCTCATTAGTTGAGGCAGTTTCTTCCTAGTCTCAATGGTCTTTACATTTTGGCATGATTTTGCAGTGGCTGGTACTTGTTGTTCCTTTCCATGTTTAGTGCTTCCTTTAGGAGCTCTTTTAGGGCAGGCCTGGTTGTGACAAAATCTCTCAGCATTTGCTTGTCTGTAAAGTATTTTATTTCTCCTTCACTTATGAAGCTTAGTTTGGCTGGATATGAAATTCTGGGTTGAAAATTCTTTTCTTTAAGAATGTTGAATATTGGCCCCACTCTCTTCTGGCTTGTAGAGTTTCTGCCGAGAGATCTGCGTTAGTCTGATGGGCTTCCCTTTGAGGGTAACCCGACCTTTCTCTCTGGCTGCCCTTAACATTTTTTCCTTCATTTCATCTTTGGTGAATCTGACAATTATGTGTCTTGGAGTTGCTCTTCTCGAGGATTATCTTTGTGGCGTTCTCTGTATTTCCTGAATCTGAATGTTGGCCTGCCTTGCTAGATTGGGGAAGTTCTCCTGGATAATATCCTGCAGAGTGTTTTCCAACTTGGTTCCATTCTCCCCATCACTTTCAGGTACACCAATCAGACATAGATTTGGTCTTTTCACGTAGTCCCATATTTCTTGGAGGCTTTGCTCATTTCTTTTTATTCTTTTTTCTCTAACCTTCCCTTCTCACTTCATTTCATTCATTTCATCTTCCATCACTGATACCCTTTCTTCCAGTTGATTGCATCGGCTCCTGAGGCTTCTGCATTCTTCACGTAGTTCTCGAGCCTTGGTTTTCAGCTCCATCAGCTCCTTTAAGCACTTTTCTGTATTGGTTATTCTAGTTATAAATTCTTCTAAATTTTTTTCACAGTTTTCCACTTCTTTGCCTTTGGTTTGCATGTCCTCCCGTAGCTCGGAGTAATTTGATCGTGTAAAGCCTTCTTCTCTTAGCTCGTCAAAGTCATTCTCCGTCCAGCTTTGTTCCATTGCTGGTGAGGAACTGCATTCCTTTGGAGGAGGAGAGGCGCTCTGCTTTTTAGAGTTTCGTTTTTCTGTTCTGTTTTTTCCCCATCTTTGTGGTTTTATCTACTTTTGGTCTTTGATGGCGGTGATGTACAGATGGGTTTTTGGTGTGGATGTCCTTTCTGTTTGTTAGTTTTCCTTCTAACAGACAGGACCCTCAGCTGCAGGTCTGTTGGAGTACCCGGCCATGTGAGCTGTAAGTCTGCCCCTGCTGGGGGGTGCCTCCCAGTTAGGCTGCTTGGGGGTCAGGGATCAGGGACCCACTTGAGGCAGTCTGCCAGTTCTCAGATCTCCAGCTGCATGCTGGGAGAACCACTGCTCTCTCCAAAGCTGTCAGACAGGGACATTTAAGTCTGCAGAGGTTACTGCTGTCTTTTTGTTTGTCTGTGCCCTGCCCCCAGAGGTGGAGCCTACAGAGGCAGGCAAGCCTCCTTGAGCTGTGGTGGGCTCCACCCAGTTCGAGCTTCCCAGCTGCTTTGTTTACCTAAGCAAGCCTGGGCAATGGCGGGCGCCCCTCCCCCAGCCTTGCTGCCGCCTTGCAGTTTGATCTCAGACTGCTGTGCTAGCAATCAGCGAGACTCCGTGGGCATAGGACCCTCTGAGCCAGGTGCGGGATATAATCTCCTGGTGCGCCATTTTTTAAGCCCATCGGAAAAGCGCAATATTCAGGTGGGAGTGACCCGATTTTCCAGGTGCCGTCTGTCACCCCTTTTTTGACTAGGAAAGGGAACTCCCTGACCCCTTGCGCTTCCTGAGTGAGGCAATGCCTCACCCTGCTTCGGCTCGCACACGGTGTGCGCACCCACTGACCTGGGCCCACTTTCTGGCACTCGCTAGTGAGATGAACCTGGTACCTCAGATGGAAATGCAGAAATCACCTGTCTTCTGCGTCGCTCACGCTGGGACCTGTAGACCGGAGCTGTTCCTATTCGGCCATCTTGGCTCCCGGGCCCAGATATAAATCTTAACTATAAATTTCAGTGAGTTTTGTGAAAATATACACCAAGGTAAATAATACTCCAATCAAGATATAGAACATTTCCATCATACTGGAAATTTCCTTATGCCTTTCCCTAATGACTAATGATTTTGAGCACTTTTCCACATGTGTATTGGCTATTTATAGATCTGCTTTTGTGAATTATCTGTTCATGTTTTTCACCTATTTTAAAATTTGGTTATCTTTGACTTGTGGATTTATAGAAATTTTGTTGTTGTTGTTGTTTGTAAATTATGGGCGATAATTTTTCAGATACAATTAATATGATTGTATTTTCCCAGACTTGCCTTTTCACTTACTTAATTGTGTTTTTTGAGGAGAAAAATGTGAATTTTGATGGCTACCATACTGCCAATTATTTTCTTTTATGATCAGTGCTTTTGAGTCTTGTCTAAATTTTTGCCAACACCTGGATTCAGTGTTTCTCTTCTATTTTCTTCTAGAAAACTATGTAATTTAAGCCCTTTTGTTTAGGTCTAGAGGCCGTTTTAACTTAATTTTGTGGAGGGTGAGAGGTAAGGGTCACAGTTTATTTTTCTTCCCTATATATAGCCGACACCATTTGTTGAAAAGATTTTCTTTCCCTATTGAATTGCCTTGGTTCCTTTGTTGAAAATCAGTTGACTTTATATGTGTCTATTTCTAAATTCTGCTCTGCTCTAGTGACCTATTTGTCTATCCTGATACCAATTCCATATCGTTGATTATTATACCTTCATAGTGAGTTTGGAAAACAATACACCTATTCCAACTTTCCAAAATTATTTTGGCTATTTTAAGTTTTAAAACATTTTTCAAATAATTAAGAAAAGAAAAGTCAGTTGAGATTTTGATTGATATTGTGTAGAATCTTTAAATTTGTTTGGGGAGAATTGACATCTTAACAATAGAGATTTTTCCAATCCATGAACATGGTGTATTTCTTCATTTTCAAAAGGTTTTGTTAATTTTCTTATAGGTGGAAGTCTTGCAGATCTTTAATTAGATTTATTATTACATTTTTAAATGCAATTTAAAATATTTATTTAAAAATTTTTAATTTTAGTTGTTGCTAGTATATGGAAATATACCTAGAATATTATACATTGTTATGTGAATATGTGAATATATGTAGTTTTGCTTTTCTTTCTTTCTAGTCACTATGCCCTTTATTTCTTTTTCTTGCCTTAAGACTTCTAGTTCAATTTGATTAGAAGTGGTGAGAATTTGCATTGCTTCCTATATTAAAGAAAAGGTCCAGCGATTCACCTCTGAGTATGATAGTAGCTTTGGCTCTTTTGTAGATGCCATTTATCAGGTTGAAAAAATTTCACTTATATATTTAGTTTACTGAAAGCTTTTATCATGAATGAGTGTTCAATTCTGTCAAATATTTTACTGCCTCTATTAAGATGAGCATAAAGTTATTCTCTATTTTCCTGTTAATGTGGTGAATTATGTTGATTGATTCTTAAAAATATTAAACCTGCCTTATATACCTGCACTAAACCTTACTTGGCCATGATGTATTATTCATTTTAGGTTCCACAGAATTTAATTTGCTCACATTTTATTAAGAAGGTTTGTAACTATGTTCATTAGAGATATTAGTCTACAATTCTCTGTACTTGTAATTAATATTCTTTGACAGGTTTTTGTGTCAGGGATATGTTGGCATCATAAAATGAGCTGAGAAGTATTTACTCCTATAGACATCTTTATTACTCTCTATTGCCTTAGAAAGATGTCTTTTATACATTTTTCTGTTTGCTTTTTTGTGACTCTAAGGTCTAGTGTTTCCCTAACCATCTGGGAAGCTTATTAAAACAAAAATTGATGGGACCTTTAACCAGAGCTCCTAATTTGGTAAGTCCAAGTAGAGGCCAATAGTTTTCATTTTGAACAAGTTCTCAGGTGATGCTGACACTTGGTCTGTGAGCCATGCTTTGAGAACCACTTTTCTGGGCATTAAAACATGCATTTTTAGTTCATCATAATGCACTTAGAGTTGATTTTCTACCAGTTCACATAAAATGTATGAATGTTACAATATTAAAATTTTATTTAATTGCTATCTTTTATTGCCATATATTGTTGTCATACGTGTGTGTATAGATAATGTATCTAAGTAATAAAAAATACAATTTTATTATTTTTCTTTTAAAAAGTGAATTGTTATTCAGCCAAACAGAGAAAAAATACATATTTTACATTAATCCTATATTTACCATTTTAGATTCTCTTCCTTTCTTCCTAAAGATCCAAATTTCTAATTGATATTATTTTATTCAAATTGAAAAGCTACCTTTAGCATTTCTTGTAGTGCCCACATGCTGGAATTCTCTCAACTTTCATCTACCTGAAAATGTTTTATTTCACCCTAATTTTTAAAGAACATTTTCACTGCATATATACTTCTGGTGGAGAGTTGTTCTTACTGTTTTTTTAGCACTTTAAAGGTGTCATTACATTGTCTTTTTACCTTAATTGTTTCCAGGGATAAGTCAGCCATTTTTTTCCACTTTATTATTCTCTTGGATGTAAGATGTCTTCTTTTTCCCTCTGGTTCCTTTAAATTTTTTTTTATATATTTGGTTTCAGTAGTTTGCTATGATCTATCTATGTGATTTTTTAAAAAAAAGTTTTGCTTGATGTATTAGTCAGAGTTCTACAGAGAAACAGAACCAACAAGAGACAGATATAGATGTAGAGATAGAGATAGATAGATATAGATAGATAGACATAGATGTATAGATATATTTATTATGAAAATTGGCTCACACAACTATAGAGGCTCAGAAGTCTTATGCTGCCATCTGCAAGCTAGAGATCCAGGAAGGCTGGTGGTGTAATTCAGTCCAAATCTGAGACCTAAGAACCAGAGGGCCAGGTGATGTAATTCCCAGTCCAAGCCCAGAGACGTGATATCGAGGAGTGGTGATGTCCAAGGGCAGGATCAAATGAACGTTTCAGCTGAAAAAGAAAGCAAATCTGCCCTTCTTCCACCTTTTTTGTTTTATTAAGGCTCTCAATTGGATGATGTCTATCCTCAATGGTAACAATGATCTTCTTTACTCTGTTTATTGTTTCAAATGCTAATCTCTTCCAAAACATTCTCACAAACACACCCAGAAATAATGTTTTACCAGCTATCTGAGCATCCTTTAGCCCTGTTAAGTTTACACATAAAATTTACCATTATTCTTGAGTTTGTCAAGTTTCTTAGATGTATATATTGATATTTTTCTCCAAATTGAGTAAACTTTTGCCAAAAATTATTCATGTATATCTTCATTTATTTTTCTGCCCAATTCTGTCTCTTCTTTTTTGGATCTCCACTTACACATATGTTATTGTATGTTAGACCACATAATATTGCCCTACAAATTAATAAATCTGTGTTCGTCTTTCTCCTCTGCTTTTCAGATTTGATAATTTCTCTTGATCTAGCTTCGTGTTCATTCACTCTTTCTTATATAGTCTCCAACGTGCTGGTAAGTCTATCCAGTGAATTTTTCATTTTAGATATAGTACTTTTCAGTTGCAGAAATGTATTCTTTTTTTTTTATAGTTTCCATTCCTAGGTTGAGATTTCCTATCTGTTCAATTACAGTGACAATCTTCTCCTTTAAGCCTTTGAACTTATTTACAATAGGTTTTTTTCATGTTCTTTTCTGTCTTGGCTAGGCATATTATTGCTTTTATTCTTTATTATGGGTCACATTTTTCTGCCTCTTCCAATATCTATTAATTTTTTGTTGTATAATGGACCTTGTGGATGATATGTTGTAGGAATCTGAATTGTTTCATCTTCTTTTAAAGAATGTTTAGTTTTGTTCTGGGAAGCAGTTAAATAACTATAGAAGTTTTTATGTTGAATTATTTTTAGGGCAATTTTATGGTGATTTTGACCTTAATCTTGTGCTGTGGTTCTTTTTCTATTAGGTTGGTGCAAAAGTAATTGTGGTTTTTGCCATTACTTTCAATGGCATTACTTTCATTACATTCCCTTTTTTTTTTTTTTTGCCATAACTTTCATTACTTTCTCTTCATCCTGGATGTGCTAGGACTCCAGTGTTCTCAGTACTGCACAACTTCCTATTTCTCCATTCAGCTGTCAGCCCCACAGCAGCTGTTCTCTACTAGACCTTGTTAGGTCTTGCCCTGAAAAAAATCTCAGTGCATTCTACAGCCATAGACCTATAGTGAATCCTCACACAGACTTCTGAGATATCTGCTTTTGGAGGTGTCTCTTTTCTGGTACCCTGCCCTGCAAATTCCAGTTACTTCTGCAGCCTGGAATCTTATTTTCTGCCTTTTCAACTTAGCAAGATTGCCGCTCCACTTGGGCCCCAGTTTTCTACATTGTGGAAGGAAAGTGCTTCCCCAGCAGAAAGCTAAGGAAACCTTGTTTGTTTCCCTTCTCTCAGGAATCATAATCTTTCACTACCTGTTGTTCAATGCTTGAAAACAGATGCCTCATATATTTTGACCATATTTATACTTGTTTATGGTGGGAAGGAAGATTCATTACTAGTTATTCCCTAATGATTGGAAGCAGAAGTATGAAAATCATTTGTACCTTTAAGATATTATGACAAACCACAATGGGTTTGATAAAAACAATGCATTAGGACCTGAAGTCTGTCTCACTACCATCCTCATCCCCCCAGTCATCTGAAGATTCTGAGCTCTGATTATTGCTGGATGTTCCAGTGTGGCTAAGACTGTGGGGATAAGACAGACCCCAGTGGTATTTTAAATTTTTTGCACAAGTTGCCATCAATTAAAAGTTTGAGAAGTTTCACATAAAAATTCAGAGTTTTTACTTTTTTTGTAAAATGGAAAGATAAGATGGCACTCAATGAGCATGGAAATAGTAGTCTGAAGCAGTATAGCAGTTTCCTTCTTTAGACAGGGTGTATATTTTCTGGTCTGCCCACAGTCCCATGCCAGTTCATTTTACTCAATCATGTTGCCTGTCTGAACCCTGTAGCTATTTGTATGTGTGACCTCAGCATGTGGGCAGAAAATTTTACACATAGATGGTGTCTTCGTCCATTTTGTGTTGCCATAAAGGAAAACTTGAGGCTGGGTAATTTATAAAGAAAGAGGTTTAGGCCAGGCGCGGCGGCTCATGCCTGTAATCCCAGCACTTTGGGAAGCTGAGGCGGGTGGATCATGAGGTCAGGAGATTGAGACCATCCTGGCTAACACAGTAAAACCCCGTCTCTACTAAAAATGCAAAAAAAATTAGCTGGGCGTGGTGGTGTGCACCTGTAGTCCCAGCTACTTGGGAGGCTGAGGCAGGAGAATGGTGTGAACCCGGGAGGCAGAGCTTGCAGTGAGCCGATATCGCACCACTGCACTCTAGCCTGGGTGACAGAGCAAGACTCCATCTCAAAAAAAAAAAAAGAAAGAAAGAAAGAAAGAGGTTTATTTGGCTCACAGTTCTGCAGACTGCAGAAGAAGCATAGTACTGGCATCTGTATCTGGTGAGGACTTCAGGCTACTTCCACTCATGGCAGAAGGTGAGGGGAGCCTATGTGTGCAGAAATCACGTTGTGGGAGAGGAAGCAAGACAGAGAGAGAGAGACAGAGAGACAGAGAGGTATCAGACTCTTTTTAAACAACCAGCTCTCAAAGGAACAAATATTCATGAGGAAATTCAAACATGATTCAAACACCTCCCATTAGGCCCCACTTCCAATACTGGGGATCAAATTTCAACATGAGTCTTAGAGGAGACAAACATTCAAACCATAGCTGGAAGAATGCTCACAATGTCCAAAATGATATACTCCATCACTGCCACATTCTCCATGATAACTTTATTGCATGAAAACACACAGTTTTCCTAAGCTCCTTTTGGGGATGTACTATCTCAGTAAGGAAGTGAAATAAAGGAACATGGAGTAGAGCTATGGAATGGAGTTAAATTTGACCAGTGTACCCTGGTCTTCATGCAGGTGGCAGTTCATTAGTAAGTGGTCAGAGGCCAGCTGTGCTATTTGCTCCCATTCTGATTCTGAGGTTGAGATGTGTTTATGTTTTTCAGCCAACAAATCTTGCTCTTCTTTAAAACTTTCTCAGGTATTGCTTTCCTGGAAATTCAGTTTGGCCCAGCTCTGAATTGTATACCCATAGTTTTACTTGAAAACTCAAAGAAATGAGAAACCGTATGTGTTTTGCTTATTGCTTATGCAATAGGGAAATTGGTCTTGGTGTCTTATAATCAAAACTTTGCTTTTAAAAAATTTATTCTGTATGTTTGCATGTGTGTTTGAAGGGATAATGACATTAATTAACATGTTTTATTACTAGGCACTCTGCTAAGCATTTTATATGAAAGATTTTTTTTTGTCTTCAACAACAATCCTGTGAAGTAGGAATGAACGTTATTCTCTTTTTACAGATCAGAAAGGGAAGTGCAGAGAGGTTAAATATCTTGCCTGAGATCAAATGGCAAATAAATAGTGAAGCTGGAATTTCAAATATCTGAATTAAAAATACCTGAACCAAGTGCTAACCAGTTTGTGCCCTCTGACACTCGTATAACAGTCCTGAGCAGCTGTGCCAAAGTCTGCCACAGACTGCACCGCTCCCTCCTCCCCAGTCCCCCCACCACTATAATAGGCCCTCAGGTTGCACAATCTAGAGGTATCTTTCATACCGGGAGTTGTGAAGCCTGGAGGCCCTGCTCACTCAAGTATTCTTTATGAAAAGGAACCTCTTAAAGTACATGCCTTTTTAGATAGACATCAGCAAAACATGCAGAATGAACCACAAAATGTCACAGTGAAATGTGCAAATGACATGGGAAGTGAATATCATCCGCTGTGCTCTTCTCTGTATATTGACCTCACATCTGTTAGGCTCAGAAAGCAGGAAGAACTAGGGCTTGAAAGAAAACCCATTAGTGTTCTCAGGGCCAAAAAGCCCTGGAAAGGATTGGCTGCAGAGACCAGGTAAACTTTGATGAATGTTGTCTCTTCTCATGCAAGGTGATAAAACACTAAAGCTGGAAGGGGCCTAGGAAGATATTTTTCTTTAGCTCTCTCATTTTACATAGGTAGATTGAAGGCCAAAGATAGGATCTGATTCGCCAGCTACCAAGTTGGTGATGGCAGAGTTGAGACTTCCAGTCCAGCCCAGGTCTTTCAACTCTCCAATATAGTGCTCTGTGCATAGCACTAGGGTGATTTGGCTGGGAAGAACTTCAGGTCTGCTCAGAAGATGACCCCACTCCACCTTCTGGCTGAAGAAGAAGGGAAGAGCAATGCATACAGAAAGGAGGAACCAGCAGTGGGAGAACAGTGATGATTCAATCACGAGCCAAAATACCAAGTTATTAAAAATAGAGCTAACTTTTTCCCTTCTATTACCACCCAAAGTTTCATAGACATCTCCAAGCTGTCTTTAGGAATTGGAAGTCAAGGGAAACAGAGGATGCTATTTTATTTTATTGGTTACCTCTCATACTAATCCAATGATTAGTGATAGGAAGCAGAGAAATTAACATTGTGGGGATACTGAGGAGGACCCACTGTCTGGTCTGTATAACATTTCATTTCAGTACTTTGACATGACACCTGCCGCTGGAAGCTCTTTTATGTGTAGTGAAGTGAAGAAAATGGGTTTGCAAAGTTGAACTGATTTTCCTAAGGTTGTAGAATTATTGATTTCAGAGGTAAGACCTAGAACTTCTAAGCATTTTGTTATTCTTTCTGTGGATATGCAATCATACATCATATAAATTATATATATACACATTTAAGGGAGACATCAGTGTGGGGAGGCAAATTTTGAGTGGTGGACAGAACTGGGTTATTGTACCCATGGACAAATACAGGCTCACTAGCTGTGTGACTATGACCAGCCACTCAAATTTCCTGGGCTTTAATGTTCTCATCTGCAAAATAATAACATAAATATCTGCCTCATGGGACTAATATAAGAATTAAGTGGTTATCCTTACATTAAATAAAATGATTTGCATGTAGCAAATGTTCAAGAAATGTTACGATTTGTTCTCTGCATTGATAATCAAAATATTGAAGAGTAACAAAAATAAAAGATCTATAATTGGTTAAGCATAATCAAGATATCAACAGAAATACCTAACCATGACTGTAATACGCCTTCTGATCAGACTTCTCTCTGGAATAATTATTTGTTTGCTTCCTTTTTTGATTTTTCAGATATTCCAATTGGCATGCAATAGATAGAATATAGCTCTTTAATCTTTCCCAACCTCTCTGTTTATCTAGAATTAGAAATCCTTTGGGTAAAACTTTGCCTATACTAATTTTGATATGCTAAGTTAGTATGTGTATGGTTCTAAAGGGAACAGTTGAAAAGAATAAAGATTATAGATAGGACTTTATTCTAAGGGTACAGACTTTATGTCAGCCATGATCTTAAGTTTTAGACATGGGACTTAGAGATCAAACATAAATTCTACCTCGAATAAGGATATCTCTTATGGCTTGCAACCACAGAAATGATCATAAGTGAAAGAATTTAATACATTGCCAGGAATGAATATAATGAATTGTAACCAAATTTGTAGTAGAAGACCTTTTGGTATATCTTCCCAGCCCCTTTTCTGGGAACTGTTCACCTACCCAAATGGGTGGACTCTTGTAGCTATTTCTGTACTGACCAACAGTTACTTTACTGGTCATAGCTGATTGGAAGAGATGGACACCTGCCCCAATCTGGGCCAATTAGATTCTCTGCTAGGAGTTTGGACCTAGTATGGTCATCAGTTACTTGGGGGTCTGGATGTTAGGAAGCAGTGTGATGCTAGGGCTGTGATAGAGCTGTCTCTCCATGTGCAAAAGGTGTGAAAAGAGAGAAAAATAAAGTAGGCACATGGAGGGAAGTAGAGGCAAGGAGCCCTAGTGCCACAGAAAGATTTGCAATAGCTCCCTTGGTCCCTACTGATTCTCCAGGCTCTGATTTCTTCTTTCCTAGAGATGAAGCGTTGTTGAGTTCTGTGTGATACACATGGGTCCTTCCAACAAATTCTCACTTTCACGCATTGGAGTCTGTTACTTGTATCAAAGATCTCTTTAATGAGACAGGGTCTATGTTGATTTAGTGGTCAAGGTTATTATTCAGCCACTCTGTATTAGAAATGTCTTATTGGGAAGGATGAGTTCCTTATGCCGCCATACAAGGAAGAAGGGCCTTGGCCAGAGCAGAGCCACAACAATCTCTTTATTTAAGTTGACCCACTGTGTATTTCTGTTTTTCCCTCCATGTACATGTATTCTCCCCAATTAAACTAGAATCTTCTTCTGGAAGATGACTCTCCCTGCTCATCTTGTCATCCCCTGTAGCACCTGCACTGTGATGTTATTGAATTTGTTGATGGTGTTTATGTTAAAAGAAATTTTTAAAAAACCTCAACTTTCTGCTTCAATAATTTTCCATTTGGACAAAACTTCTTTTGCTTCAATTTAGGAAATAATCACATTTCTTTCTCTTGTTGTTGTAACCAATCTCTCTTCGCAGCTTTGTGTCAATGAGGAGATAGGTTTATTTAGCCAGTAATTTCCACTGCAGAAATCTTGGGCCCAGATTGCCCTGCAAAAGCAATATGTTCTGTTTTATTTTTATATTACATTATATTTATTTTAATTGCATTCTCCATCTGGTCAAAGATGGCATTAGGCACCGTAAATGGAGAAAAGAAACAAAGAGATATCTAACTATGATAATAACTGGGACTATTATATTTAAAAATCATCTAGGGGCACCACAACCTCCAGGCATGAGGCAAATTCCACAGCCCTCATAGGAGAGAGCTCTAGAAGGGCTGCGGAGAGGAAGAAAAATGGACCAGATCATGATTCGCCGTGTCCCCTGTGCAGCTCTCCATGGACTCTTGTACCTAGCCCAGGCCTGGAATCAGTTCTAGGACAGCATAGGGCACAGTATGAAATGATACATGTAAATCCTAAGCTATCTGGAGCACTTTTACGATTTCCAAAGTGGTTGCAGAGGGACATTAATGCACAGTTTCAATCAAATGTTTTATTAATAAACTTTCAAAGAGACCCCTATGGGAGAGGTCATTTTCTTCTCATTTCAGGAGATGTTTCTGCAAAGCTCTGCTAACAATTGGAGGTCTTCCAAATGAAGCTGATGTTATTTCAATGGTTTAGTATACCAGAAACCAGATCCTAAAATCAGATGTCTGCAGTGGAAGGCTAGGCACTCAGCATTCAGGCCAGGATGCTTTATGAAGGGTTATAGGGGATGCTGAATCGTCTGTTCCAGCTTTTAAATCTGAACAAATTATGAGACTTAAGAGGAGAGTTTACACATGAAAGTTTGCCAAAAACAAGTGGGTGGTGACATTCCCCGAATGTAATCTATTCCTCCTCCCACTCGCTGCAGTCTATCACTTAGGATAGTTTATGTTTCAAAAAACAAAAACCCATTTGAAACTAGCTTAAGCAAATAATGGAATTTGTTGGTTCACATACTGACGGCTTCAAGGTATTTGGCTTCAGGTATGGTTTGAGGCAGAGATTCACCATATTCTCAGGGGCGCCATGGATTTGAGAGGCTTTCATCCACTTTGGGTGTCAGATCTTTTCTTCAGGTTGGTCCCAGGCTGAGGTTCCAGAAATGGTTATATGTCTCCAAACATCACATCCTTTCCCCACGCCGATCAGAAGATGAGAAAGCATCTTTCCTTAGTCTTCACCAAGAGCTAGGAATCATTTTCCCCCTGGAACTTCAAAGTCTCCCTGCATTTTATTGGTTCAAATTAGATTGTGTTCTCATCTCAAAGGTAATTGCGAGGCCTGGGAAGGGGTAGATGGACTTTGCAGATCAGCTTGCATCAATCAGAACTCACCCCTGGAACAAAGTCAGATCACTCCTATTGGAAGTGGGGCTTTTTCCCAAATGAAATCTGGGGTGCTGTCATCATGAAAGAGGGGGGAATGGACATAGGCAATAAAATCCCAGGTATCCACTGCAATGTGCAGAACCATGACGGGCACCACCACCCACCCCTGCCCTAATGGGCTTCGTATAATGGCTTCTACTCTTGATACTAATTTTAACATATTTTACAGAATAATAAAAAATATATATAACAACAAAGGGTAAAAAAGGACCACTGGGATTCATCAGGTGCTTTTTGTCCTAAGCAGTCTGAGAGGACCTGTCCCTGAAGTGGCCTGCTGGAAGAAGGAAGATGATGGAATAGGTAGAATGAAGAAAGCTGTGGTAGGCAGGGCGGGCACCCCACCCTCCTACCTTTCATCAGGCTGCAGAGCCCTTCCCCAGCCGCTAGAGGGCTGCTGGGGAGTTGCTAATAACTGACCGCATTGCCTTGCCCACCTCCCTCCCTGTCCCCATGTCAGTTGCTGACAGACAAGGCACAAAAATCCAGCCCCCTGTCCTCGAGCTGGGGCCGATCTGTGGTGCATTTGTCTTCTGATCCTCCTGGGCCTCAAGCCAAGTCTAGACTTCACCTGAAACCACTTCCTGGCTCAACCCTTTCCCTTCCTTTTGGTCCTCTCACTCCCGTACAGCCATTTCCTGAAGAGCAGCCCCTCCATAAATCAGATCACCTGAATCTCTACCTCAGGCTCTGGTTCTAGAGAACCTGGCTTTAAACAGAGGCTACTTGGGATAGAGAAAGAAAAACCAAAACAAAAGCTAACAAATAAATGGAACAGAAGTCAGAGCCTTGGTTCAAGGTGGGTTTGATGAGTAATGGGTTATAAGAATCAGAAGGTGCTTCAATTAATTAGGACTCAGTGGTTTCCCAGTAACAGACAGTCCTCTGAAGTGACTGAATGCAAAAAGATGATGTATTTCAAAGAATAAGGGTGCAGGCTGGGCACAGTGGCTCATACCTATAATCCCAGCACTTTGGAAGGCTGAGGCAGGTGGATCACTTGAAGTTGGGAGTTCAAGACCAGCCTGGCCAACATAGTAAAACCCCATCTCTACGAAAAATACAAAAATTAGCTGGGTGTGGTGGTGCACACCTGTAATCCCAGTTACTCGGGAGGCTGAGGCACACAGCCTGGACAACAGAGTAAGACTCTGTTAAAAAAAAAAAAAAAAAAAGAATTAGGTTGCCACAGAGGATCTATGGGCTGCAGGTCAGCCACAGTAGAAGGCCACCCACATTTTCCTCCTTTCTGTCACCTCTGCACCTGCTTCACTGTTTTCTTCTCTGCCCACCAGGCCCTGTGGAGGAAAGCACAGTCATGATAAAGCTCTGAATATTTCACTCGCTTCCACCTGGGAGATTGGACTGGACTCCATTGTCCCAATTTTTGGTTCCAGTAGAAGGAATTTTCATTGGTCCTGTGTCAAGTTAGCCCTGGACCAATCAATCTTAGCCAGTGTAGGATAAACATACCTGGGGGCAGTGGCTTAAGCACATCCTTAGAATGACCCTGGATGGCAGATGCATCTGAAGGTGTGCTCCAAGCTAGGGAACTTGAGACTGGGCAACATGGAGATTGTTCCTTGTCTATGAGAAACGTCAGAGCCCCAGACCCATCCCCTGGAACACAAGCTTTATGGAGATTGAGGCCCTGAGTTTTGGGTTAAATCAAGGTTGCCAGGTGGAGGTCGTTTAGGGGAGGGTGTTAAGTGAAAATGCTATATAAACTGCATGTTGTTTTCAAGTGGTTCCCCACTGGGCCATATGGATATCTTGTCCGGAACCCCTGGGCTATAGGTAAGGCAGATATCCTGTCCAGCTCAACCACTGCCACTGGACTCTCTCCTCTATATGTAAGCCTCTAATGAAACCCTATGTCTTGTTTGCTGGTTCTAGGTCTCTTCTTTGGCCTCTTGAACCTGGTGCCTTCCTCACTGAGGTAAATAGAAGTTTGGCACAGCAGCCAGGAGCAAAGGTTTGGGGCAAATGTAGCATTGTACAAACACACCCCAGAAGCCTACTTTTGTGGCCATATGAAAGAGAAAAGATGGTTCTCTAAGAAAGGCCACTGGCAGATAACATTATGGACGCCCACTATACTAGTGAAAGTAACATGCCCCAAGGGAATGTCACTTTATGAATTCTACCACCCTGAAAGTGATTTCTATCTTTGCCCTAGTCAAAACAATTATTAATGATGAGGGCAGCATACTGATTAGATTCAGGGGACACTTCAAACTGGGAGAAATAGCTAATAAGTTAGGTGACAGAAAAAGGACACTGAAAGTTTGGTAGACTTTCCTAGTGCCCAAAACAATAATATTACATATAATGGGATAAAGACTCTTTAATTAGGTTAACAATTGACTTGGCAATAACAGCATAGAAGAGCCCTGACTTGACAATTAGTTATTAAAAATCTAAGAATTTTAGTTGACCATGAGCTGGTTGTGGCATGACTTCGCTTTAAATAAAAGATTTGCCATCTCATGCTGCATTTACAAGTACAGTATCCAGATCAGATCAGAGTAGGGAGCAGGCAATGTGGGAGAAGGTGGCTCCTTCTGTGCTCTGTGCTTGTTAGATCAAAGGTGTGTTCAGCCCTAGGTGTCATATTAAAGGCCTCAGAAATCTGAACTCAGAAGTAGAGGAATGCATATTTATTTAGCAACTACTAATTACTAGATACTACAGAGAGATTTTAAAACACAGTCCCCAGGTTAGATGAGTTGTCTAGAAATTCAATTTTATGAAAACTGAAACTGAGAATGTTTTTCTGAGAGGAGAGAAGACCTCTAGAAGGAACAGGATAGCTGTGTTCAGATATATGATGTTGTCATGTGGACAACACTGAGCTACAATTGAGCTACAATTCAAGACTAAGACTGGTCCATGCTGTTCAAGAAGGTAAAAGAAGCACACCAAATGTCTAATAGAGAGAAGCTAAGGCAGATTTATGCTGAATAAGAAGGAGTTTGCTAGCAATTAGACATGTTCTGTGTGATGAAACTGGTTTGTTACCAAGTGATGAGTCTATGCTGCCTCTGGAAGTGTCCAAGAAGAGAAGGGAGGTTAACAACCACCATACTAGGTTGCTATATGCCAGTTTACATGATACGTGCTTTATATCTCAAATCCTCACAATAATCTGGCAAGGCAGAAAAAAATACTGCTCCTATTTTACAAATGAGGGACTTGAGGTCTAGAGGGGTTACATCACTTGCTTAGTATCTCATTACTTGTAAGTGGCACAGCCTGAATTCAAACCCATGTCTGTGTAGTTTCAAAGTAGGGATATAGCCAAGTGAATTCCTGCCTTAGAAGGTGTATTAGTCTGTTCTTATGCTGCTAATAAAGACATACCCGAGACTGGGTAATTTATAAAGGAAAAGAGGCTTAATGACTCATAGTTCTATGTGGCTGGGGAGGCCTCACAATGGTGGTAGAAGGTGAGGAGGGGCAAAGTCACGTCTTACATGGTGGCAGGAAAGAGAGTGTGGCAGGGGAACTGCCCTTTATACAACCATCACATCTCGTGAGACTTATTCACTATCATGAGAACAGCACGGGAAAGACCCACCTCCATGATTAAATTACCTCCCACT
Source organism: Homo sapiens (assembly GCF_000001405.40). Lineage (NCBI taxonomy): Eukaryota > Metazoa > Chordata > Mammalia > Primates > Hominidae > Homo > Homo sapiens. Next base: position 206,986,342 of record NC_000002.12, on the reverse strand, counting down.
AGGTCCCTCCCACCACACGTGGGAATTATGGGAGCTACAATTCAAGATGAGATTTGGGTGGGGACCCACAGCCAAACCATATCAGAAGGAGGTTGGAGAAGACAAATATTAAGGTTTAGTATACTAATTTTACTACTTTACTGAGCCTCAGTTTCTGCCCAGTAGTCCATGATCTCTGTATGGGTACAGAGTACCCATAATTCTAAGTATCTTTTTGGAAGAACAAACAAGATATTCTCCTTTTATGATATCAGAGTAAAAGAAAATAGATATATCAGTAAGGATCTGCTAAACTGCAGTAATAAACAATCCCTAAATCTCAGTGGCTTAACCCAATACCTTCTGCAGGGATCGGCAGGGGAGTCTTCCTACCATAGTCAGGGAGCCTGGCTGACGCAGGCTTTATCTCACCATGTGCTTACCTGATCACAGCAGCTGCAGACAGAAAGCATCACAAACTATGCACTGGCTCTTAACACTTCTGCCTGGAAGTCATGTACAACCCTTCCACTCACATTTCTTTGTACAACACCTGGTCACACCTAACTTCAAAGAAGTTGAAGAAGTACAATCATATCACGAGACCAGAGGTAGAAAGTCATACAGATTTGAGACTACACAAGTGATTTCCACAATCACATTTTGATAACAGTCAATATTGAGTTGATATTTAAATTATAACTATGATCATTAAGAATTTTTGAAGGAAATAGTGATGGAAAGATAGTGTGGAATGCATGCCCTGAAAATGTGGGGAATAATAAATTAGATCTCATGATACCAAATCTTCAGAAGACGAGTCACATTAATGGTTTCCATTCTGTGTCGTGGAATGTCCCAGACACTTTTATAATGGGTAAGGGGTTGGGCTCCAGGCTCCTTTCCTTTTCTGTCCTCAGCTTTGTTCATCTGCTTTATTTGGTGTGTGGGGTGCATGTTTGTGTGTGTGTGTGTGTGTTTTTGATGAATTTTTGTTTCTCAGCACCCATTCCTCTCTTCTAACAGCTCCCAAATTTCCATGTGAAGAATTACACCCTTCATATTGTATAAAGCCTCAAGATGTCCTGACTATAAGCCACACAGGCTATTGGTTTCTACGAGAAGCTCTCACCACCTAGGTACAGCCAAACATGTGACCCCAGCTTAATCAGACTCTCTCCCCTTAGAGTTTGACCCTCACACCAGCAACTACAATGGCAAAAGAAAAGGTAAAAGTTCGTTGCCACTTTGGTTGTGCAGTATTAAATTATTTTTCAAAATATGGCTTTATGTTTGATCCCCAATCTAAGGAATCAAGCATTTGCCTGATGGTCAAATATCTGAATCCAGATAGTTCCTATTGACTATTTGGCAGGAATGTTATATCATTAGCCGTATTTAAACTCATAAATATCAGCCATGAAGATTGAGGAGATGGTGCCAGGATGATACAAATTATTCGTGGAAAATGGTGTCACTGTTGTGCAGAAAGGGCACAACCCTAAAAAGCACCTTATTCAAAGTCAGTAAGTGTGTGAGACAATGTTCTTTCTCTTCATCACAGAGAGAATTACCTGTATATTCAAAGCCTCATGCTTACATCCTCCCTTCAATCAGGTGCAAGCATTAGTATCTTTCAAGTGAATTTCCTTATGCTTTAGTTAGCTCATTAATTTATCTTGCCTACAACGAAATAACCCTAAGTGTATAAAGATTTATCAAGGTACGTTTTTATTTTCTTGCTTGTTTTTTTGCAAAGAGTTCCATGCTAAAATATTAAAGTTTGGACCAAATGATTTTAGATATTGCTCCTAGTCTTATGCTTTTAAGCTTAAAAAACAACAGAAGAAAATGCGTTTTGCAGATCTGGCAGCTGACTCAATGCAAATGTTACCACCAACAGGAACCACAAAGAAACCTAGGTCAGTAATATGATCATGTAAAAGATGTCTCAATATCTTTCCCACCATCTTCCTGCACTGGCCTGTGAAATTTAACTCTTTCTTAATATTTCTTAAATGACATTTTTCTTAAATGTTTCTAAACATTTAAAAGCTGCAGCCTTGCTGCATGTTCTGGAGCTGTGTGATACGGGTTTTCCTTGTAAACCTCACTGTATGCTTCTCTCCGTGATGACGAATAGGAACATTATCTCCTGCACTTACTGACTTTGAATGAGGTGCTTTTTAGGGCTGCGCCCTTTCTGCACAACAATGACACCATTTTCCATGAATAATTTGTATCATCCTGGTACCACCTTTACAATCTTCATGGCTGTTATTTCTGAGTTTAAATATGGCTAATGATATAACATTCCTGCCAGACTGTAGGAAATACCTGGATTTAGATATTTTGGCATCAGGCAAACACTTGATTCCTTAGATTGGGACTCAAACAAAAAGCTGAAAAGCTATCTTTGGAAAACAATTGAATGCAGGAATCATAAACATCATAATGAGCTGAGGGTAGACCATGCATTCCTCTCACTAGAGTGGGTAGTTGGTATCTCATTAGGACTGTTGCATGTCTTAAGAGTTCTAGCTGTGTGCTCTGTTTGGGATTCCTGTTATTGTACGGGTTGCAAAGAGTTAACATGCATTTTCTCTGTGATCTATCCAATGTGTACTTATTTTGTTTATAGGACCTTGCCACCTCACCATAATGTTTATAGGTTTTCTTGATGATTTCATTGCCTCTAGGGAATGTACTGCATCTCACCTCTTGCACATTACTCTTCTGTGGGAATCTGAACATTCTGTGTCTTGCGCTGCCCAGAGGAGTCTACATTCCACTCCTGCCTTCTGCTGAGTCCCCATGCTGAAAGCCCACCTGCTTCAGTAATTCTCCAGTCTTCCCCTTCCTGCCCCCCTCACTTGATTATTGATGAGCTTTCTTGAGCTGCCACCACCCCATTAAATAACCCAGTTCTGCACTTGGTGAATGGTTTCCCACTCTCTGCAAAATAGGCACTTCTCCCTACTTGTCCAGAAAGCAGTCTGGTCGCTGCTAGGAAGGCCTGGCCTCTTGGCAGAGGGCCATAGGAAGAACATCACCCCAGCACTGAAAACCAGTTTTTTGGTGTGTAAATGTTTTGCTTGTTTGTCTGCTTTGTTTTTTAGCTTTAAAAACATCACTCGGCCATGGGAAAGGCAGGTATATTTTGATTGCTACCAGCAAGGCATGGAAACACTACTTCTGTGCGTTCTCAACATGGATCACTCTTAGAATTAGGTAAGAGAGCTGAATAAAGAGAGTTTTGCAGAAGAAGGGATTTGCGGAGAATATAGAACAAAGTTCCAGTGCAAGAGGGTTGAGGAAATCAGAAAGCAACTAGTTTTCTAAATTAAAGGGAAACCACATACAGACTCTGGATGAATTCAAAGGCATTTAAAGGCTGGGCTTTTTTTCTTTAAGTATCATTTTCATTTGCACAGATTTCCCAAGCAATCCACCTGGCTGACTTTACTCTTCTCTCATCCATATGGAGGTCTCTGGCTAAGTCCAAGGAGCTATAAACAAAAAAATACAAATAAGAACTGTGTAAACAGGAAGTCAGGCTCCCAAGCGAGAAATGTGTCTAGTAAACGATGTGACAACACTAAGGAGTCATTGTAGCACTCCTTGCTCTGATCTTATCCAGCTCTTTCATTTCTGTAAATGTGCCTGCGTAAACCAGCACCCCAGCCAACAGCCTATTGCAGGGGAAAGACACCTGCCTAGCCTCCCTCTTATTCCTCCATCACTTAGTCTGTCCCGAGATGTCATTGTCAGGCATTGGAAATTACAGAGTCAATCTGCCCTGCCTGTGATGGACTCCGTGTGAATACATCTCTTATGTGTGTTTCACACGCACGATCTGGTCAACACCCAGTGTTCTTTTTTCTCCTCCCTCCTCCCATCACCATCATCCACACGTGGCCATTCACCTCACAGTCTGGTATCTGGGGCCAACCTTACCTCTCAGGGGAGAGACTGATTTGATTTGCTCTTCACCCTGAACAAGGAGACCTTTCATTTAAAAAGGGAAGATGCTTTATTTCCCTGTGAATTAGAATAATGAAATATTTCTTGTAAACCTGGGAATTAAAATGGAGACAATATGAGTCCTTCAGTTTCTTTTATTGGTCTTCAGAGGTGAACGTGGGAGCAGTTGTAAATATGCATCAGGGTATCTCCTGGTCTGATGGTATTGAAACTCCATTCACAGCAATGCTAAGTGTCGCTGCCGGATTTGTCTCCAAGAGCTCCCTCCCATTTCTTCCCACCCTCTACCTCGCTTCCAGCTCCCTACCCTGGTTACAGTGACTTTGAAACTAGTAAGAAGCATTTTGAGGTGACACTCGAGTAGCTGTGTGGTCTGGAATGCATTATAATGTTATGTCTCAATTACAATATTCTTTGGTTGATACACAAGGCAGGCACAGCCAAGATCCAGCCTTAGGGCGCACTGCCACCTCCTGGAAAACCCTCTGTGTGCGGCGCCTGCTATCATCCTTCCTCCAATGCCACCAACCAGAAAACAAGCACTTGTTCATGGCCTTCTGTCTTTAGAATCCAAGATCTGGGCACACCTAGCCATCTTCTCCTGTCCCTTCAAATTGGAATGTACTAATTCCTGAAGGAAGTGAAAATGTGTTGCATTGTCTTTTCTTTTTTTCTTTTTTTTGGAGACAGAGCCTCGCTCTGTCGCCCAGACTGGAGTACAGTGGCATGATCTCGGCTTATTACAACCTCCACCTCCTGGGTTCAAGCGATTCTACTGCTTCAGCCTCCCGAGTAGCTGAGATTACAGGCATGAGCCACCACACCTGGCTCACCTGGCTCATCTTTTATATTTTTGGTAGAGAAAGGGTTTCACCATGTTGGCCAGGCCGGTCTCCAATCCTGACCTCAAGTGATCTGCCCGCCTCAGCCTCCCAAAGAGCTGGGATTACAGGCATGAGCCACCGCACCCGGCTGCATTGTCATCTTAATTACAAACAAGTAACTAGGTTGGGGAAGCCACTGGTGCAGAGATCCGTGATCATTACTCTCACCTTCTGCTCCTGAGGCTGGTAACAGACGCTGCTTACTGTAAATGAGTGCCTGGCACCAGTAGGATCCTGCCCTCGGGATCTCTGGAAGAAGTGCCAACATTATTTACATCATTATGCCTAGCGTTCCATTATTGCAACGCTAACCATGTGGAAGTTATTTATATCCCACTGCTCAAGGTCATTGCCAAGGTCTGATGGCAAAAATTCAAAAAATTGCAACCTCAGGCATAAATGGGTTAAGGACTGGACCAAGGACTTGGAGCAGAAGTCACATGCACAGGCAGAGTGTTGGAGTGGAGGAAGCCCTGAGTTCTTCGGCCCTATTGCTATGTGGTGATTGTTTGAGATTCCACCTTACCAGCATGTTGAGATGTCTAATGAGATATTTTCAGAAAACACCAAAGACACAGAAAAGCACCTATAGGTTTCCATTTAGACTCACAGCAAATGAAGACCAGCACACACAACTGTGTCTTCGAAGCAACCCTGCTGACTAGAGGAGGCTAGCTGTCAGGTTTTGGCTAGAAAAGCAAAAATACATCTGGGGAGATATCAGTCCCATCATCATGAAAAATAATGGGATAACATTTCTCTATCAACAGCTTTCCTTTAAAATAACAAAAATATGATTATCAGGCAAATAAGAACATATTCTCATTAATTGAATTGATTGATTTCAGTTAATTACCTGAATTGCTTAAATTCAACTAGTATCCCTCTGAGTCAGCAGTTCTTATCTTTTGAAAGGGGGGTTACAGACTCTTTGAAAAATATTTTTAAAATGTGAAAATGTCTGTATGCTTCTTCCAGAAAAATGTATACACATTTTTTCTATTATTTAATAATATCTGTGAAACCCCATCACCACTGCCAAAGTGATCTTAACAGCACTTAATTAAAAATGCCTCTTGTAGCTAGTTTTCTTTGCAAGCCTGGGTTCAAGTTTTGGGCATCCTGGTTAATTTGGGGAGAAAGGAGGGGCCACAGGAATATTTGCAATAAGCAGATCCCTGGGTTGGGCACCTACAAGAAATGGCCAAGGATATTTCCACTTCTCTTCTGTTCCCTGGCCTCACACTGAAAGTAGATTTAAACGTTCATCTTTTGAAAATCCTGGACCTTCAGAGACACACATCTGAAAAGCTCAGATAACACCTTGCTTCAGCTCAGCTCCGGGAAAACAAAGCTGAATCAGGGTTCTGCCATAGCACCTGTTTGGACATGCTCTCTGTATTTAGCCCTAGAGAAAAACCCTAATGAAAGTGATTTGGGAACATAGGCTTTCTTGTGGCAGGAGCATCAGACACCACATTTTCTGACAGTATCATTAGTATTAATAGTCTTAACTCCTAATATTTACTAAGCTCTTACATTGTGATTAGAGTAGGTGGTCTAGGGTGGACAAGTCACTCTGTCATGGAAAATCATCATTCAAAGCACTTTACAAACGTTAACCTACCTAATCTCCCCAACAGCAGTGTAAGGTAGGTCCTCTTATCCACAGTTTATCAATGAGGCAGTTGAGACACAAACATGTTCTGCGACTTGCCCAGGTACACAGCCATGAAGTGACTGGGCGGAGCTTTACCTGGGCAATATGGCTTCAGAGTTTTTGATGTTAACGCTTCCCTAGAGTGTCTCTCACTTACCTGAATCCTGGGAATGGTTCATGAAAATAGATTCCTGAAGATTTTGTGTAAGGGCACAGAGGCATGGTTGCTACAATTAAGCAGACACAGTGAGTAGAATGGACTTTGGCTTTGCTCTGGGGAATCCTGAACCTAATTTTGAATGTATGCCCAGCACATAGTTGAGAAATAAATGATTTTACCTTCTTTTTGAGAATATGACACTTAGAATCTGCTAGGGTGAACTCTGAGACTTGTAGAAAGGCCCTGTGCTTTTTCTGGGTTAGGGGGAAGCTGTTGCTTTTTTTTTTTTCTTGAGATGGAGGTTCGCTCTTGTTGCCCAAGCTGGAGTGCAATGGTGCAATCTCGGCTCACTGCAACCTCTGCCTCCCAGGTTCAAGCGATTCTCCTGCCTCAGCCTCCCAAGTAGCTGGGATTACAGGCACTTGCCACCACGCCCGGCTAGTTTTTTGTATTTTTAGTAGAAACAGGATTTCACCATGTTAGCCAGTCTGGTCTCGAACTCCTGACCTCAGGCGATCCACCCACCTTGGCCTCCCAAAGTGTTGGGATTACAGGCGTGAGCCACCGCACCCAGCCAGTTGTTGCTTTTTAACTGACCAGTGTCTACTCACTCTTCTTCCAACATAAGCGGCCTGATTTTATTTCCTATCTCAACCTACGTGGTTTGGGAAGCTGGTCTATGAGTGAACATGTGACCTGGGCTGGGACAACAGCATATTCCAACTTCTTGACTCATGGAGGCCCATTCAGTCCCTCTTTGGGAATTGTACTGGAATCACTACAAAAGAGAAACACTTTTTTTCCAGGGTTGTGGAGAGGATAGGATCCAGGACTAGAGCTGCAGGGGATGGGCGGAAGGACAATAAGAGCAGGGGTTGCATTTTGCTCTCACATGGAAAGAGCCTGCTTCAATAAAACCAACAGAAAAAGATCTGATGCAAAATTAAAATAGGGAAACTCATTAAACTCTGATAACATCTTTGGAATCTCTGGATTCTTTTATTCTTGAACTCCCTTCAGATCTTTTAGTTATATGAACCAATGAATTTGGGAACAGGAGCTAACATCAGATGCTTGACTTTCTGAGAAGTAAAGAGCCAGAGACATCCAGGTTATTTCTTTTTTTTTTTTTTTTTTTTTTTGAGACAGAGTCTGGCTCTGTTGCCCAGGCTGGAGTGCAGTGGTGCAATCTTGGCTCACTGCAAGCGCTGCCTCCCAGGTTCACGCCATTCTCCTTCCTCAGTCTCCTGTATAGCTGGGACTACAGGCGCCCACCACCACGCCCAGCTAATTTTTTGTATTTTTAGTAGCGATGGGGTTTCACCGTGTTAGCCAGGATGGTCTCGATCTCCTGACCTCGTGATCTGCCCGCCTCGGCCTCCCAAAGTGCTGAGATTACAGGCGTGAGCCACCGCGCCTGGCTGGTTGTTTCTTGACTATGATTTAATTCCAGCCTCTTCCCCACTCTGAGGGAGGGCATGTTCAGGTTTAGCCCCTTCTCCATTGCTTCTGCTGCAAACCCCTGATTCTCAACACTCCTCCCCAACTACCGCATCCTGCCTCATAAAAGATGCTGAGATTATTTTTAATTACAAATGTAAAATTAACTGGTATGTCCATGGCTATTATCAGGATCTCAAATTGAAGATTGTGTCTTGTACAGAGTGCAGATCATTTAAGCAATCAGACTACTTCCAAGTTTTTCTCACATTCTAAGAAAACTAATGAACCCTTCCCTAGCCCGCTCCTATGCCCGCCCCACAGAGGTTGAGTTAATGGCTCTTCTCCGCTAGTTGCTTGCACGTGCTCTTCATTTTAGTACTTACCATTTTGTGAGGTGTTTGTTTACTTTTCTGCATTTTGAACTAGACTCTAAGATCCTTAAGGGCAGAAACTTTTGTCTTTCTTTTGTATTTTACTTCTTTTTATTCGAAAACTAAATCAAGATACCTCTGCTTACCTAGTGGCAACTTTTCCTAATTATGAGCCAAATGCTCTATTGCGTTCCCCAGAGAAACAGCATCAACATTGCCTGGGAACTTGTTAGATATGAAGATTCTCCACATTCCCGCCTTCTGTCCCACTGCTGAATCAGAAACTCTGATGGGGAGATGGAACCCACCAGCTCAGGTTTTAACAAGCCTTCCAGATGATTTTGATGCCCACTAACAGTGGAGAATCACTACTCTAGCTTCTTGCCACTTGATGTGCAGTAGTCTGAGGACCAGCAATATCAGCATCACCTGGGAGCTTGTTAAACATGCAGACTCTCATGCTCTACCACTGATCTATTGATATGGACAAGAATCTGTGTTTTAACAAACTTTCCAGGTGATGTCTGCACTCTAAAGCTGTGCTACCTAAATTTTCAAGAGCATCAAATTACCTAGGGATTTTGTTAAATGCAAGTTCTGATGTTGAAAAATTTGATTTTTGAGCAAGCTTTCATCTAAAACTAATGCCACTGGCCCTGGACCACAATTTGAGTAGTAAGTGCTTCAGGTCTGCAGGGAAATTGGGGGACAGGTAGTATCTTTAGACCCATTACCCAGCCTTCCCAAATCAGAGCAGTTCTGTTTTTATCTGACTTATATTTTATGCTTCAAGGTAAATTTTTATTTGAAATAAGAATTCTCCTGCACAACAAATCTTTGAAGCAACAGCCTTTGAGAAAATAGTCAACCTTTAAAGTGATAGACTTGCAAACCTAATTATAAAGGAAATGCCATAGGGTGAATTAGCGTATGTCTAAGAGGAAACTGATGGAGATTATAGTTTTTAATTTTTTAAAAGCTTTTTCAAGTTTCCATATTGAATGAGGTTTGAAATATGAGCTTGAAATGAAGGTTGCATGTGACTCAACACCTGACTATAAGATTGAAAACTAACCCTGAATTTCAACTGACACCTCAGCGTGACAATTCTGCATTTCCTATTTCCTATCTGAAAACACATGGCTCCTCATTTTTCCATTCTGCTTCCCTTCTGGCTTCTGTAGGTCTATAAGTCAATTTTCAGCATTATTATACTTTCTCAGGGATGAAACAAAGATGATTGAAGACAAGTTCTCATGATCTTATAATACTTGAATCCTTCTGAATAACCTCTCTGATTTCTGTCCCTTTGTGGGGAAAGAATGGAAATTTCTGTGGCCACCAACTCAACTTAGTTGTTATTCAATTCATGTGTGTATGAAACCACCTTGGCAAAAATCATAATAGTGAGAAAATTATGGCAGTGAAAGGGGTTTCATCTAACTAACTCCATCTTGCCTTTAACTTCCAAAATGCCCTTGGTCATTCCTGGGCCAAGCTAACTTTGGGAAAAATTTAGTTTATAGTTTAAATGATAATAGCCCTTCCCCAACTAAACCACCTTTGTAAAACTAATGGAAGGCCACCATATTAGGAGTATGAGGGGCCTGATTTATGCTAAGATGTAGGCCTTAGATTACCAGCCATTATTTTGAAGGTCGTAAGGTTTTCAACTTCCCCAATTACTTCTGTAAATAACACCTCTATTGTAAAACTTAAGATTGGCCCTTCGAGATGTCTTTTCAGGCTTTTGCATTTCTGATGATGCCTCACCTGGACTAGTGACTCCTCTGTGGCCCCCACCCAGAAGTAGACTCAGCACGTGGGGGCCATTTTCCATACCCCTATGATTGCATGCCCAACCAATCAGCATTCCCCTTGTCCTAGCCTCCTGCCTCCCAAACTATCCTTGAAAAACTCTAGCCTCCAAATTTTCAGGGTGGCTGCTTTGAGTAATAATAAAACTCCCATTTCCCGTTTAGCCAGCTCTATGTATATTAAGCTCTTTCTCTATTGTAATTCCCCTGTCTTGGTAAAGGAGCTCTATCTAGGCAGGGGGCAAAATGAACCCATTGGGTGGTTACATGCCCAGCATAATATTTTCTGAACTGTTTTTCCTGACTTCTTCCCTCTAATTATTTCACCTTAGATCATCCTTCCAGAGTAATCCTTACTCTTTACTCCCTCTGCCTCTTTACTGCTTTACTACTTCTGCTAGTACTCACCACAGCCTATAGGGAGAATGTTTAGACTCTGGTCTGGCATTCAGGCTCTTCAACCACCTGATCCTAACCTGACTTTACACCTCACCTTCTCAAGATCCTCTATCTAGTCAACTGGGTTTTTGTGGGTTCAAACTCATAATGGGAAGACACATTACTCTTTGCCTCCTTTGTGTCTCTGTGGTTGCTTTTGCACCATCTATGTAAATAAAAAGGACACTGTTCATCTTTTATTGGAAGCATCATTTTGGAGCTGACTTTCAAAAATGTTTTTCTTTTTCTTAAATCCTCAGCAAAAACATAATAAGAGCTCTGTAGGAAAGGAACATGTTGGCAGGATAAGACTTAATACACTCAGCATTAAAGCTCTTTGGAGCTTTATTTTTTAATTATTTTAAATGAATAAATCCTGAGACAGAAATAAAAGTCCTTTTTCAGAGTAGCTGAGAAAAGACTATGCAGTCTTGATTACAGTAGAGTGGAAAACTATAATAAGTGGCTATTATTTTCTCATAAAGTCTTATCATAACACCAAATACTTTAAAATTTACAAGTCCATAAAGACTAATCTTTTTTTTACTGTGCCTTCAACAAGAGGTTCAACTAAAAATATATGTTATGCTGAAATGAAAGTCTTATCTGGAAGAAGACTTCATATTCTAGAATGAGAAAATATTCAAAATAGATTCATACAACATTTGTAATCTCCAGGCATATTCTGAATATTGAATAATAGTAATACTTGTATTAAAGGTTATTTTAGGAAATTAAAAACTTATGATGTTTTGGTAATAATTCTAAAACACTGACAATTACATTGGGTTCCCTAGAGGCAGGTCCAGATGTGAGGAGTCATGCATAAGTGATTTATTAAGGAGGTACTCCCAAAATAAACTAGTACGGGAGTGAGGAAGCAAGACAAAGAAAGGGAGGAAGCCAAGCAAGGGTGCAACCTCAAGGCAAGTTCTTTGGAGAGTAAGTTTAACCTTATCCCACACTATCTCTGGAAATAGTTACACTTCCCACTGCAAGAGAACTGGGCTTTCACACCCCTGGACTCATCCGTTACCCTCTAAGCAGAGACTGGGGGTTTCTGGTGGTGGATGTATTAAATCAAGTTTAGCCTAAAGCTGCTTTCTTACATATTTTAAGTTCATCCTAAAGGTTTCTTTGTACATAGTGAGCCATAACCTAAATGGAGGTATAAACAGACTGTAACCTACTCTTGTGCCAATCACAGAGTTTTGGCCAATCAAAGGGGGCCAACTGTTCAAACTGTGTTCAAATAAGGCAAAGGACATGCTGTAACCAATCTGACTGTTTCTGTACCTCACTTTGGGTTTTCTATATGTCACTTTCCTTTTTCTGTCTATAAATCTTTTTCCACTATGTGACTTTGCCAGAGTCTCTCTGAGCCTACTCTAGCTCAGGAGTCTGCCTGATTCGTGAATCATTCCTTGCTCACTTAAAATCTGTTAACTTTAATCTGACTAAAGATTTTCTTCTAACAGGTGTCACTGTCACACACTTCTAACTCCCTGTAGCTGCAGGCAAAGTACATGCAGTAGCTCAAGGGTAGCCACTGGAAAAAGTCATGAGTATGAGCCATTGGAGGCAAAAACACGTCAAAGATGGAGAGCGATGCAGGAGAAGTTACCTGAAGGAGTTTTGGCAAAGCACTGGCAGTATCCATTAGAGAGTACTTCTGACATCCTAAAACTGGAAAATCCCTATTCCAATAAAATTAATCAATCATTAAGAACAGTGTTATCAGCCGGGTGCAGTGGCTCACGCCTGTAATCCCAGCACTTTGGGAGGCTGAGGTAGGAGGATTGCTTGAGGCCAGGAGTTCAAGACCAGCCTGGGCAACATAGCTGTCTCTACAAAAAAATAAAAAATTAGCCACATGTGGTGGTGTGCACCTACAGTCACAGCTACTCAGGAGGCTGAGGATGGAGGATCACTTGAGCCCAAGGGTTTGAGGCTGCAGCGGGCTATGATTGTGCTACTGCACTCTAGCCTGGGGCAATAGAGTGAGATCCTGTCTCTAAAAACAAACAAACAAACAAACGTGTGCCCGTGGGTGGGCATATTCTTAACCTCTCTGTCTCAGTTTCTTCATCAAATAAATAAAATATCTAACTCAAGATTCTTATGAGTATTGTCAGAGGTGTGTGAACCAGAGCAACTCCATCTTGAATAGGGTCTGAGTAAAATAAGGCTGAGACCTACTGGGCTGCATTCCCAGAAGGTTAAGGCATTCTAAGTCACAGGATGAGATAGGAGGTCTGCACAAGGTACAGGTCATAAAGACCTTGCTAATAAAACAGGTTGCAATAAAGAAGCTAGCCAAAACCCACCAAAACCAAGATGGCGACGAGAGTGACCGCTGGTCGTCCTCACTGCTATACTCCCACCAGCACCATGACAGTTTACAAATGCCATAGCAACATCAGGAAGGTACCCTACATGGTCTAAAAAGGGGAGGCATGAATAATCCACCCCTTGTTTAGCATATCATCAAGAAATAACCATAAAAATGGGCAACCAGCAGTCTTTGGGGCTGCTCTGTCTATGGAGTAGCCATTCTTTTGTTCCTTCACTTTCTTAATAAACTTGCTTTCACTTTACTCTATGGACTTGCCCTAAATTCTTTCTTGCGTGAGATCCAGGAACCCTCTCTTGGGGTCTGGATTGGGACTTTCTGGTAACATCTTCACACAAGATAATACACATAAAATATTTCAATCGCTGCACATCATAAAATAAATTAATAATTATTAATAGTTTTTTTTTAAACTCTGTATTTAGTACTGCAATTTTATGTTCTTGGGCAGTGGGCTTCTCTTAGTGACATAATAAATTTATACCAGATTCAAATGATATACATAAGATATGAATAATACTGGGGTGGTGTAAAGAATATATTTTTAATAACATATCAGGAGACTGATAAACTGCATAAGGAAGAGAAATAGGAGCTTGGTCATACATAGTGAAAACAAAAATATAACTCACTTTGACAGTGCTGTAAAAAAAAAAAAAACCCTAGAGCTAGAAGCTTGTATATCACCTGCATTTATTATTTTGCATCATTTTAAACTCTAAATTCACCTGTAAGTCAAGAAGATCTAGATCCTTTGTAGGAATAGTTATGGAAAAAGCACTGATAGAGTTTGGTGGAAAGACAGAAATAGTAACAGAAAAGGCAGAATAGTCAAACTTCCTAAAAATAAAAAAGGAGGCATTATAAACATACTTTGATTAGCACTGAGAGAATCTTAAATTGAACCATGTAAAATCACCAATACTTGAATTTTGTTGACCCACAAAAGCAGCAATTTCATAGGATTCAAACTGGCACATAAAACCTACTGGGAGACAGTCCTTTAGAACCTCTTTTTCTCCTGCACATCTTCCTAGCTGGGCCAAGGATGCAAGGCCCTGACCACTTTTACCTGGGCCATTTCTCAGTTTTATTTGCAGTAAGCAAGCAACCTTGAGTGATGGGGACATGTCTTCTTCTGGGATAAGATCAGGCTTGCTTATTGCTTGCTGTAGAAGCAGTGAATTCCAAAGTTTAGTGTTTCTCTCGGTTGCACAACTCGCTGCATGTGCACGTGGCATCTGGGCTCTTTGCATCATCCTCTTGGTGCTTGGGAGAAGGAGGAATCCCTGTAAATATGCTGATGCTCATGCTGCTTCATGTGCTTTGGGAAATAGTGTCCTTTGACTCTGACTGGGAGTTTCTTGCCTTCTACTAACATACATGAAGCATTAACAAACTAACTTCTTAGCTTTAAAGTAGGATGAAATCAAATCCCAGACCTAACCAAACTACAAACAGGATACTCTCAAGAATGCATTAGTAGCATCAGCTGTGAAGTTTTCCCAGCCAAATATCATTTTCCACCACGAAGCTGAAAACATTCTTAGAAAGATCAGTGTGGTCATTCACCATCTTTCTATCCCTGTTCTTAGGATTCTTTCACAGGAAGTAAAAAAACTTCCAGAAGCAGTAAAAAATGTGTCATGTGTCCCAGTATCCTATTCCCCCAGAGACAGGCGAAGCCCCTCAAGGAAGCTATGATCACATCCTGAAATCTGGAAAAATCCATGTGGGAGGTTTCAGGCAAGCTGATTGATTAACTGAGTTTCTCTCTATTCTCTTCTGACTTTATTTGCCCATGAGCTCCATCTCTAGACATGAATTAAACTTTGTAGATCAGAGCTCCCATAGTACTCAGAGGTCTGAATTATTTTTAAAATAGCCTTGGAGATAAAACCCAAGCTAGATGAACACTGATAACCAGTGTCTCTAAGCACAGCTCCCCTGCTTTCTTCTTGAATATAGCATTGGGTGGTCACACTAGTTTTCTTCCCTTCTAGCCTGACCGTTGATGAAACCAAACCATTTCCTCCTGACAATACCACAATTGTGGAGTTGGCATTTTTATGTTAATAGCAGTTCCCTGATTCATTAAACCCTATTGCCTCTGACATTTTCCTTTCTGACCCTTATCAGCCACACACTAGCAAAACATGAAGAAATAAAGACGACAAAGAAAGGCAATAAAAGGGTTACAACCAAGAAGTGTATTGTGACTGTGACCAACAAGGAAATTTGGCAATGGGTGACTGAACACCCAAGGATGCCCTGTCAGCTGGTCACAACTACATTTATTCGAAGCCTGACAACTGCTTAGCACCATTTCAAGGTGTCACATAGAGATACATAGGAAATGACAGTCATGGCTGCTACTTTAACAGCACTCACAGTTTAATAGATGAGATAGCACAATTAAATGCCTAGATATCCGTACACGTACAATGTGGGCCTTCCTCTCCTCTCTACTGACTTTTCATAGTATGTGTCACAAACCGCAATATTTAGTTTCTTTATTTGTGTTCTTGCTTATTGTACTCCCCTAGAGCTGGGATTCACCTGGTATGAAACAGCATGTCCATTCCAATTATTTATGGCTTCTAGTCCTGATTTCACCCACTGGAATATAAATTTCAAATAGACGGGGACTATGTCTATCTTATTCACCATTGTAACCCCAGAACCTATCAAAATGCACCTAGTAGATCCTTAATTTTTTTAATGAATAAATAAGTAAATAAAACCAGCAACAGTCATCAAGAGAGATTGTATAACTTATCCTCTGAATGCTGCTACTAACTCATTAACACAAAATTAAGAAAGCAAGACCCTGGTTCAAAAGTATAAGCAAAATTTTTGAAGAATACAGATGAGAAAAAATCCCCAGACCCCCAGGCAGAAGACCTATTCCTACTTCATTTTCCTTAGTGAATGTTGAGATCATAAATCACAAAAATTAGTAGAACACAAAAGGCCCTATCAGAATCTCATTGTGTGACTTTTAGTTAGATTTCAAGAGCAGTGGGGTTCCACTGGAACTCACAGGCTTCTCCACGTTTAAAGCTGAATAGGATAATAGCCATCTAGTTGAGTTGCCTCGAATTGTAGCTGAGCTACCGACTATGAAGCTAAGCCAGTGAAGCTCAAGGGTGTGATATAAACACCAGATAGAGTCATTTCACTGATGGCCCCAATTCTTCACTCACCACCTTCTGTTCTGCTCCACCCCTTGATGCAGAGCTCAGCCATGTGACTTCCTTTGGCAAATGGGATGTTAGCAAATAGGATGCAAGCAGAGGTTTGAAAAGCACCCGCACATTGAGACTTGCTCTGCTGCTTTTGCTCCTTCACCATGGCCATGAGTGCATAGTACTAATGTGCTGGACGAGAAGATACATGGAGCACAGCCCCCGTTCCTCATTGCAGCTGAGGCTATCCTATACTAGCCTACAGTAGCCAACCCCCAGAGTGAGTTCATCCGAGATCTACCAGCTGCCCTGAAACTGACCATGGATGCCTAAGCGAGAACAACAAAGATCACTGCATCGTGACCTGTAGATTTGCACCACTTGGTTTTAGAGAGGTTTGGTTTGTAGCATTATTGTAGCAATAACTAACTAATACCTAACTAATTCCTCGTATAAAGGAATAAAGCTCAACTCACAGAAAAACAAATATTAAAACGCAGACATGATTTTTCCTTATTGAAATAGGAAGTATTTTTAGTTAAATTATTTGGTTTCTTTACAACCATAACACACCGTTCCTCCAGCCACACTCATGCCACTGGGGTTGAGCAGGCCTGGGCAGAATGCACTTAGAGAAGAGACATGCAGGACACCAGCAGGCCCAGCAGCATAGTGGCAGATGTCACCCTTCCAGCACTGTCCGAGTGCCAGTGTTTCGCATACACATCATCCAGGACTGACAGCACAGCCTCCATGGTCTCCTCACAGGTGGGCTGGATCTGAGCTTCTGGCAGAACAAACCCATATGTTCCACTGTCCCTCAGCTCAAACGTATATGAGAAGGGAATCCCAATGTCTCGGGCCCAATCTCTTGAAGACCCTGATGAGGCATCTACAGGTGAAAACATGAAGGCAGAGGTAGAAGTCATACTTTGGAAGAATGGATTTCTATAGCCATTTCAGGAACTAAAGGTTCACTTAGTAAAATAAAGAAGCTCTTTTAGATCAGGGTCTCAGAAATAGCTGTCTTCTCTTTCTTCTTGGTTGTAAGCCCCTGCAGGGTGGGAACCACGTCTTATTCAGTATCTCTGTCCCCCATCATACCTGGCACTGTGTCTGGCACATAGAAAGGTTTGGCTAAAGTTTCTTAGCTGAGTCACTGACTGACTTGGCAACCTAATATTGCCTGGCAAGAGTGAACTGAGTCATTTAAAGAAAGGAACAGAAACAAAATGACCCATAAGAAAAATATTATACAGGTATTTAGAGGGGGGCTCATAGAGGGTGGAGATTGGGGTTGGGAGAAACAGAGCGCTCTCCTTTCAACTAAATTCTTGTCTTTAGATTTTTTTCTCCAGGGCTTTCTTAGCCTGATGGGTCCTCTGGGAACTGAATTGACTGACCAAAGGTCAGTGGACAATGTCCTTCCTGTTAACTCTTGTGCCTTCTAGCTTGCCAGCTCTTTTTAACTGAAGCCAGGAGAAGTTCTGGTCTGAGCCAACGCATTAATTCTTTTTCTTTTAGTTCATACCTTATCCCTAGAGAGTATAATTCCGGATTTGTACAGACTCCCTTTTATCCTTGGTCATTTTGATTTGTACAACTCCCTGTTGATCCCAGGAACTCTTCTGTTCCTCTCCCGCCTATCTCACCATCCAAAGTCCACTGACTTCTTTTGTGCCTTAGATACTATTGAAGAGGCAAAAAAAGATACTTACATAAAATATCTGCACTCGATCCAACTCTATAATTGGTTCCATACTTTGCTTTCAATGCATTTGCTGCCTTCTGTCCAACTTGAATCTGTAGGTGGGAAATGCAGAGACAGATATCTGGTGTTTAAAATAAATCCAACAATCCAACCATTTGGTGTTTTGTCCAGATTCATCTCCAGAGTTTTAGGCCACCTTTCCAACTTCCCATCGGACATCTACATCTAGGTAGCCTGCTGGTAACTCAGATTCAGCACACTTTATCCAGTTTCACCATCTCTCCCACTAATAAGGCTGCTCTGACTTTCATATTTCTGGGCTTGCATTCTCTTCCAAACACACACGTAGAATTCTGCAGGCATCTCTGATATTCCCTCTCTAAAACAGTTTCCAAGTTGCATTTCCAGTGCCATCATTCTATGTCAGACTCTACCTCTGAAATGGTCTGTTGCATCTTCTAATAGATTTCTCTCACCAATCCTTCTTTCAAGTGATCCCACCTGGCTTCCAGATGAAATTTGGTAGCATACAGCTGTGATCATGATCCTGTGGAAAAGTCTTCAAGAGCTCCTCATTGCTCACTGAATTAAGTACAAACTTCTCAGCCTAGTTTTTGAGATCCTCTCCAATATGACTCTAACCCACCTTCCCAACACCATATTTTGTCATCCCTCCTAGATGATAGTCAAAAACTCATTTTCCTACCATTCCTCAGCCTTACCCTACATTCCTCAGCCTCTATCTTTCCTCAGGATATTTCCTCCACATGGGACCCCTACCTCTTATCTCTGCCTGCTGAAATTCTGCCCAGCTTCAAAGGATTTTTTCAAATGCCAGCTTCTCCAAGAGGCCTTACCTGATCCCTCCAACTGGATTCTATCTCTCCCCACTTTGAATCCCCATAGCTGTTTCTTCATTCCTCTCTCTGACCCCCCTCTTCTTTTTCCTTATAGTGTTTAATCTCATTATCTATATCTATATCTATATCTATATCTATATATCTATATATATATATATATATAGCATTTCAGAGCTGGAAGTCATACCCATCCCCACACCTACCACCACTTCACCTCTGCAGCCCCTTTCCAGAGATAAGAGTCATTAACTGAGGCCCAAGTCTACTGGCTGGGCTTATTGACCTTCTGTTGCATGTCGCCTAGGTTTGCTGACAGATGCTCTAGGTATTCCCCAGCCTAAACATGTGTGTTCTACCTGTCGGACGGAATATCCCACTGCTTCCCCTGACAGTCTCCCTCCCTGCCTGGACTGTGATCTGCCAAAGCCTTACCCCTCAGGGCTTCCTGACTGCACTCCAGGTGCACCAGCTCCCCGGATGCCTGACTAGGGACAGGTCTCATTTTAGATTCTCCTTCTCCCAGCTCTGTATTGTCCAGCTGAACCCTAAGATGTTGCAGAGTAGTGCTTGTCTAGAGAGGGAACTGGCCCAGCGAAATTCAAAAGGAACAACATTTATGTTGGCCAAAAGGCAGTAAGGAAGTTGGGGGGATCATACTGGACGGTTGTGGGCAGTGTTCTTAAGGCACTTGGGGCTTTCTGTGTCTGACTAAAATCAAAGGAAAAACACTCTGTCAAACATACTTGCAAGTCACTTGCTTTCTCTCCACTCAATACTAAGAATGCCATCTTTGGCCATTCACCTCCCTCACTTCCTAAAAAGGGATTCTGAGTCTGCCTCAGTTCCTGGGTTTGTGTTATCCAGAATTGAGATAATGGGTAGGAGAGGCTAAAAACGCTGATTTAATCATTTACACTGGGAGGCGGTACAAGAATGGTCTGCTGGAGAGAGAAATTCTGGTAAGGAAATGAGAGGGAGGGGTGGGCAGGATTCAGGGTAGCTGCTGTATGTGATGAAGTTGAGAGAAGGGGCCTGGGAAAAGCATTGTGATTTACCAACCACACTCCCTTCTGAAGTTCTTTAAGAGTCTCTAGCAGAGATACGAATTGCTTTTAATTATTTTTAATTCCCATTTTTTTTTTTAAATGGAACTCCATGCTAACTGGTCCATGTGGGGCCTTACCTTTCATTGGGATATATGCATCAGACCAGACTACACTTGCCATCCCAGTGGTTCCTTGCTTTTTTTTTTTCTTTCCTGCAGCTTGCCCTAGACAACAAATTTTTTTTTTTTCACATTGCCAGCTATCATTTATTTTATCCGATATCATTGCCTTTCCTCGAATCCTGGCTGTGGGGTAGGAAACAGTCTTTCCAGTTTACCCTTCTTTGTTGATAAAATAACTTTTGAGCTCTATTTTAATAATTCCATGAGGAATTACTATGCGGAAGCAGAGAGGAGTAAGAGATAGACATGAGAAGCATTCAGTTGTGATCCTCAGCTTAGCAATTTGGGCATTTCTGAGAAGATAAAATGGAAATCCCCCAGACTACCGAATTCAACTTCTGTCTCTGGAGGTGGAACTCCTGATTGTACTTCTCTCTCCTTCGACACTACATTGCAAGGCTATAATAGAGCCAGTTTCTCTGCCGCCTTTTTTTCTCAGCTTATAGGTACTTCCTAATAAAAATAATAAAAACTCATTTGCCAATAGTACATAATACACATTTGTAAAAACCTCCGGCCCGCTTAACAACTCCTTCTCTGGGCCCAGAGAATTTCCTGTAAGCATATATTCAGAGGCAGGCCCACAGAATGGTTGAATAAAGCTCTGGCCTAGTAGGGGTGGGGGCAGCAGAGCTTGGGATGGAGTACAGAGGTTGATACAAAGAGAGTTCAAATGGAAAGAATGTAAGCATGTAAAACATTAGAATTCTTATAGCTATTCTCATTTCCAGAGCAGTTTAGAAAGAGGCTATATATAGTTATGTTTCTCCTACACAGTGATTGCCAAGCTGTCTATCATGTAGTATAATATTTACCATGATTTCTATAAACTTTTGGTTTTTGTAAATAATAGAGATTAATTACTAGTCTCTGTGGCTTGTAAATAGTACTAGAAATGGAAATCTCCTTGGAGCAGTTGGCTTGATTCTGTGTCTTTGCGCACTCTATCAAAGCTTGCCCCCAAGAACCTAAAAACACTGCTAAGTAGCTTCAATGAGGTAGACGTGTGGTAGTAAAATATTCACAGTCTTTTTATCGAAAAGTCTTGGAGACGACTGTTTATGTGAACTCTTCAGCACCTGAGACTGTAAGAGATACAGAATTGAAGCCATCTTTCTCAATTTGATTTACTGGTTTCTGTATATAGTGCTATGGAGTTGCCAGTTATTCTCTTCTTAGAGTTACTGTCCAGTAGTGATGGTGCCATTGCCTCAGGTCCCTCCTGCTGTCTTGCTCCTTCTAGCCTCTGGCCACAGCACAGGGCTCTAACCAGACAGCCAATCAGCAGTACAAGACCCTCCAATCTTTGAATACAAACTTTGCAAAATGGTCACAGAGCATCTGTTTTCCTGAACCAATTAGAGAATGAAGTAGCCAAGAAAAATACTGGAATATACTAGCCTCCTTTTTCTGCTGGCGGAAGACCCCTTTCCATCAAAGATCTCTAATTACCTGTCTTCGGAGATTCATTTGTGTTTGTCACAGATCCCTTTAAGCAGAAAGTAGGAATCTACAACAAATATCCCTGAAACTGGGAAAAAGGAGCATTCTGGGCTTCTTGACTGAAATATCTGATTCTGTAGATTTCTTTATTGAAGAAATAGAACTTCCAGGGCTCACAAACGAGAAGGAAATAGTGCATAGTTGACTGGGAATCTAGCTGATAATGACTCCTAGAAGTTGCACATCCTTTCTGAGCAGAGAGAGGCGTGCGAGGTAGTGGGATGATGAATGTGGCCTCTGGAGTCTAAAGACATGAGTTCTAGCCTGGGCCCCACCACTTCCTATTTATAGAGTTCTGATGATAAAGTTAACTCAGAGTTTCAATTTCTATACTCCAAAGTGAATGTAATATATTATCATGAGGGTCAAAGGAGATAACAGCTATAAATCTCTCTGTAAATTGTAAAGATCTAGGCAGATGTTAGTTATTTCCACATGTTACAAAATGATCATATAGTGCAAGTGTTCCTGGACCAAGAAAAGAAAGAATAATTGCAAGAAAGGTACTTGAGTGTTGTTGGACATTTTTGACTGTTGGGAGAAGGGCTCCTTCCAACAAAGGTCTACAGTGGTTTTTCTTTTAGTGTTCAGGCCTTGTGTCTTCTGGGTCGTGCTCCGGAGGGAGATGTGCAAAAGGTATAACCTAACCAATAGGTCATCAGGCCTCTGTGATATTAAGAACAGAGCAAGCTTAGCCCCACTTCTTCTCAGCATTTGCATAGAAAGAGGAGCATGTTTAAAAAAATAAAAAGATAAACAGAAAATAACAAGTGTTGGCAAGAATGTGGAGAAACCCTTATGTACTGTTGGTGGGAATATCAAATGGAGCAGCCTCTATTAAAGACAGTATGGTGGTTCCCCAAAAAATTAAAAATAGAATTGCCATGTGATCCAGCAATTACATTTTGGATATGAATCAAAAAAACTGAAAGCAGAGTCTTAGAAGTGCACACCCATATTCATAGCAGCATTGTTCGTAATAGCCAAAAGGTGAAAGCAACCCAAGTGTGTCCGTTGACAGATAAGAGGATGGGATGAACGAAATGTAGTATATACACAAAATGGAATATTGTTTGGCTTTACAAAGGAAGAAAATTTGGATACACCCTACAACATGAGGAAACTTGGGATAATATGCTTAGTGAAAGCCAGTCATAAAAAGATAAATACTGCATGGTTCCCTTATATGAGGTATGTAGAGTGGTCAGATTCATAGAAACAGACAGTAGAGTGATGGTTGTGAGGGACTCGTGTAGGAAGAAATGGAAAGTTGTTTAATAGGCATAGTTTCAATTATGCAAGATGAAGAAGTTCCAGTGATTGGCTGCATAACCATATGAATATACTTAACACTACTGAACTGTATACTTTAACAATGGTTAAGATAGTAAATTTTATGTTTATTTTACCACAATTAAAACGGAAAAAAAATAAAAATAAAAGGAAAACAAATATTACAATTTGCAATTCTAAATTTATCCTCTCTTTGACTTGTGTCTGTTGTCCTCTGGTTCACAAAAGGGCAAAGAGCCCAGTCCTTCTCAGTAATTCTGCCCAACAGTGCTTGGGTAAACACAGCTTCAGAGAAGGACACGGATAAGACCAAACAGTTTCCCTGCTCCAGCTTGCATTTCGCTGGCACTTCCCCTTACAAATAATCCTAGGCAAATACTGAAGGAAGAGTTTAGAAGAAAATAGAGCATTGTGTTTAGCAGAGAAGAGAGCAGATATTATTTAGCCATGTTATTTTAGATATGCCATATTCCACTAACAGCTGGCAAGTTCTTGAAAGCACGGTTCAAAAGCTGTAATTGCTGAACGGAGCTCCAAGAGAATTTACAGAAATGAAAGTGCATTCCTGCAGATTATTAACATAATCATCTCATTTATATTATAGATGAATACCTAAGATGTCTCCCAACTTGACACTTTATGAAACAGGTAGTTAATTAATGTAGGTAAAGCAGCATTTAACCCGAAGCCTTCCCAGCAGGCGTCTGGCAAGGTGCAAAAGCAGGAAAAAGAATATAGGGATAAGCAGAGAGAACAAAAGGGTGGCTGGAGCCAAAATCTTGGAAATGGAAATCAGAAAAAGGAAGGCAGAGGTCTTGCTGAGGTTTTTCTGGAGGCCTTGGTGCTATGGACTCACCATTTCTGGGTGGTTACTTGATTTATTTTTGGTGTAGCCGTAAGGTGTGAGAATTAACTGCCCATAAGAGTGCATGGTCAGGAAGCACAAAATATCATCCTTCTTGCTCTCTATGAAGCTGGCAACAGCTTTAGTCTCTGGTTCAGACACTGGCCCTGTCCCACAGAATGTTTGATCTTGGCAGTTTCTAGAGGCACCAATACCTAGAATATGGAAGAAACCACAAAGAAGGCTGCATGATCTCAGTTTGGAAATGACCAATGGCAAGGAGTCATCCATACTCAGGGCCTCTGTGAGTAGAATCAGCGCTTGCCCTTGGTTGTCTGAGTTAGTCCAGGCTAAATTAGTCAACTTGGATAGTCACTGAAGGATAACCATTCTAGAAGGAACTCAGAATAGCAGAAAGGGATAACGTTAGGATTTAGAAACAAACTCCATGCTTCCATGGCCCGGGAAAGGGGATACAAAATGAAATGGCATTTTAGTATACTTGTATTTTTTTTTTTTTTTTTTTTGAGACAGAGTCTCGCTCTGTCGCCCAGGCTGGAGTGCAGTGGTGCCATCTCTGCTCACTGCAAGCTCCACCTCCTGGGTTCATGCCATTCTCCTGCCTCAGCCTCCCCAGTAGCTGGGACTACAGGCACCCGCCACCACGCGAGGCTAATTTTTTTTTTTTTGGTATTTTTAGTAGAGATGGGGTTTCACTGTGTTAGCCAGGATGGTCTCAATCTCCTGACCTTGAGATCTGCCCACCTCGGCCTCCCCAAAGTGCTGGGATTACAGGCATGAGCCACCGTGCCCTGCCAGTATGCTTTTACTTAAACCTGTGGTGGGCCCTGAAACAAATGCCTGGAAAGCAGTTCTTGGGTTCCTGGGTAAGGTTCTGACATTGTCTTTTTGATTTAAGTTTTTCCTTCATGTCTTACTAGCTTGAGTCTCATTAGAGCTATTTAGCAAGGACATAAGTAGTCTGTAATCCTCATTAATAATAATAAGAATGATCAGCTGAGCACCTCCTATCTGCTAGGTACTGTGCCCAACACTTCCCATGTAGCATCCCATTTAATCCCTACAACAACCTACTGATAAGGTAGGGCTACTGTGGCTCACATTTTACGTAAAAGAAAACTAAAGCAGAGAGATGAAGCAATTTTTTCAAGACCACACAGCTGCCAAGTCTCAATTTTAACCCTTCCCATCTGGTTAATGGCAACGTTCTCAGCCATTCCTCCTTCTTTATTTGCTTCCAATTCACTGGGCATATTGAGATTTGGAAACATGAAAATGCCATAAGGAGAGAAAAATGTTTGCTTTGTTTACTGCCTGCCCCCTGCTATGAAATAATCTGCAAGGATAAGTCTCTGATTTTTCTTTTCTTTATGATAATTCATATATTTAAAAACAAAGGGATGGATTTGAAATATATTCACACTGGTCTAGGTCTACTTTTTTCTTGTTTAGCCAGCTTCACTTGGAGTCCTGTACTTGAATGCTGATAGCTCTTACTATGTAGATAATATTATCCTGTTAGAGGGAATAAAACTCATTAGGAAGCCCAGAAAGCTGTACCATATTAGATGTTATTTTCAAAAATTATACATTTAGTAATTCACCTCTTTTCTTACTTCTCAGCTTTATTTGTTCATAATTCATCTACTAAGCATGTACTTACTACACCAAGATGCATTGAAATTTCGATTGAGATCCGTCCCAAAACATGTGCCATTATTATGGGGTGAACGGGATTTCCTCCAAAGACGATCCTGTAGCAGAGGAACATACGGATGTTGCTGTTCTAAGGTTTCATAAATCACAGTGTTAGTGATGATAGGTGGTCCTTGAACATGAAAAATGTTTCCTAGGATTATCTGGAAGAACTTCCCTTTAACATTAGGCAGCTTGTGTGTGTAATTTTTAGTCTTACAGATGGGCTAGCAGCCCCCAATACTAGGAACATCTGTACAACCAAAAGTATACATACATGTAAACAATTAAATTGGAGGAAGTAGTTTGGCCTTTTCCTCATGAGCAGATTAGCAGTGCCTGTGGACGTGATCTGCTTACTCAGGGAACGTTTGCTTTGGAGTCATTTTCTACATTCAAGTGATACAGGATGAAAGGGAAATAGCTTGACAGATGGAAAAAGACCATTCCAGGTGTGTCAGAGATGGTCTCTGCACATTTCTGGAAGCTGAGGACTGATGAGTGGAGATGGGAATAAAGACAAGTGTCATCAGACAAGCTCAGAGGGAAAACTCGATTCACACACCAGGCCAGAAAGGCTGTTCCAGAGAAAGGGGCCCCTGAAGTCCTTAGGGGAGCAATGGAAAAGGGGAGGCAATGCATACTCTCTAGAAATAGGGGCTCTTATTTGAAGAGTGATAGGCTTTAGGAACATTTTAAAGAGACAGTTGTCTGCTGCATAAAAAGACTTTATGTGATGTTTGCCCCCTGTGTGAATGATTGCATTGAAAAATGTAGGCTGGTTTTGTGTTTATACATTATTCATTGCCTTCATGCTTCTAGAACTGATTTGACATGGATGCAAGTTGGTACATGAATTTTTATCAATATAATCCTAATTGGGTGGCAGGCAATCCACAAACATTAAGAAGATGGAAGAGGAGAGTAAAAAACAAAGAAAAAACCTGTAATGGACTTCAACTCTAAAAAGGCCTTAGGCTTCCTTAGGCCTAAACTTAATGTAGATGGTTTGATTAAAAATGTTAAGCTGATTTTTATCCCAAATGGGGTTCCTTTCTTTACATAGGTATGAAATATTTTTAGAGCCGGAATGGATAACATTGGAAAAATTAACCTGAATTGAGCTTTAGTTCATGAACTCATCCCAGGACCAAACATGGTGTACTCACAGTTGTCCAAGTGTAGATATAACCATCTATGTTAAGAACTGGAAGGACATAGAAGTCCAGGTTCCTAAGGAGCTTGCGTATACTTGAGTTGTCTTTATGGTTTTGTAGAATCTGGAAATTTAAGAAAGAAATGTTCAGAATTATTTTGAGATCTTTTCTCTCTTAATTTTCTACCAATTTCAACTTAATTATAAGAGGTGACTGTACATCACACCTCCACCCTCCAGTCCCCAAGCCCTCCTCCGTGTCTTATTACAGTAGTTGTTCCCAAACTTTATCACACATCAGAATCACTGAGGGACCTGTTAAGACACAGATTGCTGGCATCCACTCTCCCTTACCCCATTCACCTCCTGCCATCCCTGTCTCCGCACATTTCTAATTTACTAGGTTTGAAATGGAGCCCAAGACTTTGTATTTCTAGTAAGTTTGCAGTTGGTATTGATACTGTTGATCTGGGGACAACACTCCGAGAACTACTCTTTATGAGTTTCTCTGTGTTTGGGTTTCTGAAAAAACTGACCAAGAAAGTATTCTATATTACTTTTAAAGATTTCTTATTCCCTCAAGGGAGGATTATAAGTAATACACAAAAATTCACTGTGCTGGGTATTTTCCATATGCTAAGTCTCTTAATCCACACTACAGACCCATGAAGTAGTTATTTCGTACTCTTTTTACAGATGAAAAACTAGAAAACTGGCTGGGCATGGTGGCTCATGCCTGTAATCCCAGCACTTTGGGAGACCGAGGTAGGTGGATCACCTGAGGTCGGGGGTTCCAGACCAGTCTGACCAACATGGAGAAACCCCATCTCTACTAAAAATACAAAATTAGCTGGGCATGGTGGTGCATGCCTGTAATCCCAGCTACTCAAGAGGCTGAGGCAGGAGAATCGCTTGAACCCAGGAGGCGGAGGTTGCAGTGAGCTGAGATCGTGCCATTACACTCCAGCCTGGGCAACAAGAGCAAAACTCTGTCTTAAAAAAAAAAAAAAAAAAAAAAAAAAAAAACTAGAAAATTTGCCAAATACTATTAGAAAGAGGCACAGCCAGGATTCAAACTCATCTCTGACTCCATAGACATATGTTCTTCTACATTTAGATATGTTTACCCTCCAATAAAAATTATTTTGGATGCACTAGAAAGAGATCAGAATATTAATTCAGTTTTCAGTGAAGTTCCTCATTAATTTTATTTCACTTGAGGTGAAGGATTAGCACAGTAAAGAGTTGCATCACTAACATGTGAAAGAAGCGTGGTTTGTAAGCAGCCAAGAAGTGACAGATATTTTATGGGGGTGATTTACCAGTATGAGAAAGCTAAAGACACTTACTTCTTTGACGAACCATTGGCAAAAAGCAGGAGCAATCCATTCTCTGGCGTGAATTCCACAGTCCATCCAAATGATTTTCTTGGGATTACCAGATGGTTGGCTGATCTGGAGAAGATATCCATGCCCCATTACTAAACAATTGCTGATTATTGTAAGCCACTGTGCAAAGTTATGAGATTTTTAATTCCCCTAGAGGTTCCTTTTTCACTCCACTCTGTGGTTTCAAGAGGGAGGCAAGGATGCTAATGAGACACCCATCAACATGATTCTTTCCTCTGCTACTCTTGTTCTCCTGCCAGTTACCTTGATGGTTGTTCTCAGGACTGCACACTGGCTCCCCATAGTACCCACCCAAAGAATGATCTTCCCTATACCTTAAATTACTCCCTAACTATAGATAAAGGCATAACCCCTAATCCACAAGCTAAAAGGCTAAATATGGATAAACCTTATAAAACCTTTGCACTTAGAGTTCACTTAGAGCGGTGAAGTGCACAAGAGGTAATATTCAAGAATCATAGGTCTTTAAAATGAATCCCAATCTCCACTCAAAATTCTTGAAATTTCAAATGGATTCAATTACACAAATTCCCCTTCCCCTCAGAGACTCCCTGACTCCCTGCCAGCCCAATCTTCTTTCCTTCTCCCCATTTGCTATTCTTGTACATGAGTGCAGCCTCACTCTAAGGAAGATTCCCCTCTTTCAGAGCGGTAGGTGGGTGGGAATTAACTGCTAATTGTGGATTCTCTTTGGTGGAGAAGAGGCTGTTAACACTCCCATGCTTGGAACAGTCACATCTGTTTTGGATTTGTAAATAGCCTAGACCAAGGCTATTTGTTGAAAACCATTGGAAGCTGAGGTGATGAAGGCCCCCTTCCTCTCTATGAGAAACTTACAAAATGAGATAAATACATGGCTGGATCTATCATATTCAAGGAATCTTCTCCTTTTAGCCTCATCTATTTTTCAAATTGTCAGGACAATTCCTAATCCACCTCTTACCTTAATGTTCTCTTTTTTTTTTTTTTTGAGACAGAGTCTCGCTCTGTCACCCAGGCTGGAGTGCTGTGGCATGATCTCGGCTCACTGCAACCTCCACCTCTCGGGTTCAAGCAATTCTTCTGCCTCAGCCTCCCAAGTAGCTGGGACTACAGGCACATGCCACCACGCCCAGCTAATGTATTTATTTTTAGTAGAGACGGGGTTTTACCGTGTTAGCTAGGATGGTCTTGATCTCCTGATCTCGTGTTCCACCCGCCTCAGCCTCCCAAAGTGCTGGGATTACAGGCATGAGCCACCGCACCCGCCAATGTCCTCCTATAATTAGCCTTTTTATGAGTACGTGTATGCTAGTTACATGTTTATCTTTATCAACTCTTTATTATGTGCAACTCTTTATTATGTTCTATTCTTTTTAATATGCCCTAGGCAGAGGATATTTAGATGTCTTTTTGACTGCTTTGGCGTAGACTTGGATTGCCTATGGAAAATCAGGTAGGCAGGTGGCCCATGCTTAATACATCAACCAGTTGCTCACATAATCCCTGGGTAAATTCCATTTCAGAGCCAATAATTTTTTAAGAGTTGTAGTTAACTCTCAAATTTAGGGCTGTACTTTGTAAATTAACACACCTACACTAAGTAGTAAGAGGGCAGTAAACTAAGTAATGCTGGTTCTTAATGCCATACTACTTTAGTAGTGGTTCTTAATTAAAGAGTGGTCCTGGACCAGTGGTATCAGCATCACCTAGGAACTTGTTAGAAATGCACTGTGGTATCGCTTCTCAGCCTTTTGGCTATGATCAAGTGTAAAAATGCACTCTGGTTCTGAAACTTGAATGTGTATCAGAATCACCTGGAAGAAGCCTTGTTAAAATAGACTGTTGGGCTCCAGCCTCCGAGTTTCTGACTTAGTAGACCTTTGCAGGGACCTGAGAGTGTGCATTTGTAACAAGCCCTCAGGTGGTGATGCTGCTGCTGCTGCTGCTGATGATGATGATGATTTAAGTGCTGCCCTTTGAAAACCACTGGTTTGGTGCAGAGATTGTCAACTCTGGTTACACATTAGGATCACCTAGAGAGTGTTCGAAGTATGCCTGGTCCCATCCTGAAACAATTAGGTCAAAATCTCTAACCAAATTAGGTGGGGTCTAGGCATAAGGATTATTGGCAGCTCTCTGGTGATTTTAATGTGCAGCCTGAATTGAAAATCACTGGTGCAGAACCAGGAGCTCAGGGGTCCTGGCCCTGTGGAAAAATGGTTTTTCGGTCCCAAATACTTTTGGTCATGTTGCATGCAAAAGGGGTAGGAGACGCTGGAGACCTGGTTATCCCCCTGGCTGTGCTGACATCTGGCTGTGTGGCCTTTCACAAGTCACCTCACTTCTCTGGATCTTTGTTCCCTTAACCATAAAAGGAAGAAGCTAAAAATGAAGATTATCTGTGGTTTTTAAACATTTTTCTTTTTTTAAAAAAGAACATTTTAAAATTTAAAAATATAAACAAAATAACAACTTAAAATACAGGTGAGAAGTGAACTAGCTCTAGTTGAAGCATGAGTGGGCATTGTCCACTTCTGGGCCCTGCTGTTTTTCAGCCCTACCCCCATGGTCCCACTCAGTTCTCCAAAATTCTCTTCACTCCTGAACTTGATTTCACCCAGATAATTAAGGCAAGAGCATCTATGAGTTTTGAACTTTAAGAGCCCCATTTGGGGTGGAAAAAGCAAACTGATTCTGCATAGCCTCTTTTCCACACTTCTGATTAGAGTCCCTGAATAGTAAACACATATCCTCCTGGATAATTCTCCTGGTAAGGTAATTCTCAGCCTTCTCACTCACCTTCAGATAATACATGGGGTGGGTCTCATAGGTCACTCCTAGGAAATGCTGTGTCACCACTTCCTTGTACTTCTCACTGATCTCTCTCATCCACTCATAGATCTGAAACAGCAAGGGAGGACTGTGGCTATCAGTAGGAAGATTGTTTGCATGCCTCTGATTAAGATAACTGCTTCTTTCACTGACACATTGAACTCTGTTATCTTTGCTCTAGATTGCAACAGCTGTGTGGTAAAAGAAACAGAAAACAACCTCCCATCTTTCCCTTTCTTTAACAATTTATTCTGTCACCAAGTCTTAGGTTCTACCACTGCACTTTACCAATAAGTTATTAAGAATTAACAGTTTGAATAACCCACCAGTAACACTTCAGAAATATTGTATAACAGTACATCCTTCAATTGACCACCAGCCTTAGCTTTCATGTGGCACACAATCATGCCAGAAATTTCAGGTGAGGCTTATTTTGTGAGATTTTCTTCCATCTTTACAGATCCCGGTGATATCTTTTGCTGATGTCCATGTGATATGGTTTGGCTGGGTCTCTACCCAAATCTCATCTTGAATTCTATAATCCCCACATGTCATGGGAGGGACTCTGTGG
The DNA here is from genome assembly GCF_000001405.40 of Homo sapiens. NCBI lineage: Eukaryota > Metazoa > Chordata > Mammalia > Primates > Hominidae > Homo > Homo sapiens. Next base: position 206,954,960 of record NC_000002.12, on the reverse strand, counting down.
GAGGTAATTGAATCATGGGGGTGGGCTTTTCCCATGCTGTTCTCATGATAGTGAATAAGTCTCACAAGATCTGATGGATTTAGAAGGTGCCACCCCCAACCCCTTTCACTCTGCACTTCTCCTTGCTGCCGCCATGTGAAGAAGGACTTGTTTCCCCTTCCACCATGATTGTAAGTTTCCTGAGGCCTCCCCAGCCCTGCTGAACTGTGAGTCAATTAAATCTCTTTCCTTTATGAATTACCCAGTCTTGTGTATGTTTTCATAGCATTATGAAAATGGACTACTACAGTATATTGGTACTAGTAGAGTACGGTGCTTCTATAAGGATACCTGAAAATGTGGACATGACTTTGGAACTGGGTAAAAGGCAGAGGTTGGAACAGTTTGAAGGGCCCAGTAGAAGACAGGAAAATGTGGAAAAGTTTGGAACTTCCTAGAGACTCGTTGAATGGCTTTGACCAAAATACTGATAGTGATATGGACAATAAAGTCCAGGCTAAGCTGGTCTCAGATGGAGATGAGGAACTTGCTGAGAACTGAAGCAAAGGTGACTCGTTATGCTTTAGCAAAGAGACTGGAGGCATTTTGTCCCTGCCCTAGAGATCTGTGGAACTTTGAACTTGAGAGAGATAATTTAGGGTATCTGGAGGAAGAAATTTCTAAGGAGCAAAGCATTCACGAGGGGACAGAGCATAAAGTTTTGGAAAATTTGCAGCCTGACAATGCGATAGAAAAGAAAAACTAATTTTCTGGGGAGAAATTCAAGCCTGCTGCAGAAATTTGCATAAGTAATGAGGAGTCAATTATTAATCACCAAGACAATGGGAAAATGTCTCCAGGGCATGTGAGAGACCTTCACAGCAGCCCCTCCCATCACAGGCCTGGAGGCCTAGGAGGAAAAATTGGTTTCATGGGCTGGATTCAGGGCCCCCTTGTTCTGTGCAGCATAGGAACTTGGTGCTCTGTGTCCTAGCTTCTCCAGCCATGGCTAAATGGGGCCAAGGTACAGCTCAGGCCATGGCTTCAGAGGGTGAAAGCCCAAAGCCTTGGCAGCTTCCCCATAGTGTTGAGCCTGCAGGTGCACAGAAGTCAAGAACTGAGGTTTGGGAACCTCCACCTAGATTTCAGATGATGTATGTAAATGTCTGGGTGTCCAGGCAGAAGTGTGCCGCAAGGGCAGAGCCCTCATGAAGAACTTCATGAAGAACTGCTAAGGCAGTTCAGAAAGGAAATGTGGGGTTGGAACTCCACTTAGAGTCCCCACTGGGGCACTGCCTAGTAGAGCTGTGAGAAGAGGGTCACCATTCTCCAGACCCCAGAATGGTAGATCCACTGACAGCTTGCACTGTGCACCTGGAAGAACTGCAGACACTCAATGCCAGCCTATGAAAGCAGCCAGGAGTGGGGCTATACCTTGCAAAGGCACAGGGACAGAATGTCCAAGGTTGTAGGAGCCCACCTCTTGCATCAGCATGACCTGGATGTGAGACATGGAGTCAAGGGAGATTATTTTGGAGCTTTAAGATTTAATTACTGCTCTATTGGATTTCGGACTTGCTTGGGGCCTGTGGCCCCTTTGTTTTAGCCATTTTTTTTGCATTTGGAATGGGTGTATTTACCCAATGCCTGTACCCCCATTGTATCTAGGAAGTAACTAACTTGCTTTTGATTTTACAGGCTTATAGGTGGAAGGGGCTTGCCTCATCTCAGATGAGACTTTCAACTGTGGACTTTTGAGTTAATGCTGAAATGAGTTAAGACTTTGGGGGACTGTTGGGAAGGCATGATTAGTTTTGAAATGTGATGACATGAGATTTGGGAAGGGCCAGCGGTGGAATATATGGTTTGGTTGTGTCCCCTCTCAAAACTCATCATGAATTGTAGTTTCTATAGTCCCCAGATATCATGGGAGGAAGCTGGTGGGAGGTAATTGAATCATGGGGTGGGAGACAAGTTTTCCTGAGCTGTTCTCGTGATAGTGAATAAGTCTCAGGAGACCTGATGGTTTTATAAAGGGCAGCTCCCTTGCACACACTCTCTTGCCTGCTGCCATGTCAGACATACCTTTGCTCCTCCTTCACATTCCACCATGATTTTGAGGCCTCCCCAGCCATGTGGAACTATGAGTCCATTAAACCTCTTTCCTTTATAAATTACCCAGTCTCGGGTATGTCCTTACAGCAGCATGAGAACAGACTAATACACCATGGTTCCAAGATTAGAGAAGACCTGATTATGGCCTTCTCACATGTTCTCACATGCCAACAGAAGTTTCTGAATCAAGTCCTAGGCTAGGTGTTTTGATTCAATTGAGTAGACCTGAATAGCAGCTGATTTAATTACAAGTCTTATGTTGTGCTACAAAGAGTCTTATACCTTGGTCTGGAAGTCCGTAATTTGGGGTTCCATAACAATTAATGCAATAAGAAAATTCACAAACATAAGACATATTCAGACAATCATCAGCATTTCACACCTCTTACAATCAATTTCTATATAGTTGATGTCTCTGACAACAACCAAGAGTTATAGTAAATAATAGTTAATTGGCTGGGCATGGTGGCTCATGGCTGTAATCCCAGCACTTTGGGAGGCCAAGGTGGGTGGATCACGAGGTCAGGAGTTCAAGACCAACCTGGCCAAGATGGTGAAACCCTGTCTGTACTAAAAATACAAAAAAATTAGCTGGGCATGGTGGTGAGTGCCTGTAATCTCAGCTACTCAGGAGGCTGAGGCAGAGAATTGCTTGAACCCAGGAGGTGGAGGTTGCAGTGAGCCAAGATTGCCCACTGCACTCCAGCCTGGGCAACAGAGCAAGACTCTGTCTCAAAAAAAAAAAAGTTAATTGAGGGATAACAAATATCCTATTTGAAAATTGTTATATCTCAATTGACATTCATTTTAGCATGGGCTAGGTATAGATAAAATGTATTATAACAGTAGTAATACTTACTCAAGTGAGGGTATTTTCATTTCAGTCTATTCACTGAAAAGAATAACAGCTTACCACATGGGTAGTTATGTTTATATCTGTGATGGGACTAGGTGAGATGCAGATGCCTTATGTCTTGAGAGAGCTACAAATAGCAGCCAGTAGCAGCAACAAATATTCTTTATTTATTGCTTGTTCAGTACACAGTAGTAGTGTTTATTTCATTTACTCTCACAACAATGCTACAAGATAGATACTACTATTTCTGTTTCACAGATGAGGAAGCTGAGGATTAAAAAGTTTAAGTGTCTTTGTGAAAGTCACACTGCCAGCAAGTGGTCAAGCCATGTGTGAACTCATCTCTGATACCAGGTCATAAAGTGTCCATGGGCCATACTGGACCTTTACAAAATTGTAGAACTTTCAGTACTTTGGGGTGACTGCTATATAAGAAAGTATAAATCTTTTCTTGTACTTGTTGAAAAAAAGTCTGGAAAATATGAATATATTCCTAAATGCTGAGAGAATAAATTGGTAAAGGTCATTTGAAGGGCAAATTGTGCATTTATATAAAAATGTAGACATGTGTATTCTTTGACCCAGCAACTCTATTTTTAGAAATTTATACCTCAAAAAAGATTTGCATAATGTCACATACATACACACACGTACATAAGTAGAAGCTAATTTTTCACTGTATCCAATTTTGGAAACCACCAAACTTATCTTAATAGCAATACAAATATTTCTTTTTTTGGAGGGGAAGCTACAATTCAGTTTATTCTCATATAAATTGTAAAGCATTAAATAATATTCTGACCTTTCCAGTTTTACTGTATGGAGATTATAGAGGGTGTAGTTGTAAGGTATAATTTACATGGTCTTGTCTATTTATACTTAAAAGGTACATGCAAGATAATTTTTTTTGGTTCCACCCCTTTTTTTTTTAATTATACTTTAAGTTCTAGGATACATGTGTACAACATGCAGGTTTGTTACATAGGTATACATGTGCCATGTTCGTTTGCTTCACCCATCAACTTGTCATTTACATTAGGTATTTCTCCTAATGCTATCCCTCCCCCAGGCCCCCACCCCACCCACAACTGGCCCCGGTGTGTGATGTTCCCCCTCCCTGTGACCATGTGTTCTCACTATTCAACTCCCACTTATGGGTGAGAACATGCAGCGTTTGGTTTTCTGTCCTTGTGATAGCATGCTTAGAATGATGGTTTCCAGCTTCATCCATGTCCCTGCAAAGGACATGAACTCATCCTTTTTTATGGCTGCATAGTATTCCATGGTGTATATGTGCCACATTTTCTTAATGCAATCTATCATTGATGGACATTTGGTTGGTTCCAAGTCTGCTATTGTGAATAGTGCCACAATAAACATACATGTGCATGTGTCTTTATCATAGAATGATTTATAATCCTTTGGGTATATGCCCAGTAATGGGATTGCTGGGTCAAATAGTATTTCTAGTTCTAGATCCTTGAGGAATCGCCACACTGTCTTCCACAATGGTTGAACTAATTTACACTCCTACCAACAGTGTAAAAGCGTTCCTATTTCTCCACATCCTCTCCAACATCTGTTGTTTTCTGACTTTTTAATGATCGCCATTCTAGACGTGAGATGGTATTTCATTGTTGTTTTGATTTGCATTTCTCTGATGACCAGCAGTTTTGCATATGTCTGTTGGCTTCATAATTGTCTTCTTTTGAGAGGTGTCTGTTCATATCCTTTGCCCACTTTTTGATGGGGTTGTTTGTTTTTTCTTGTAAATTTGTTTGAGTTCTTTGTAGATTCTGGATATTAGTCCTTTGTCAGATGGACAGATTATAAAAATTTTAAAAAGTTTTCCCCTCTTGAGAACTACTGCATGTGTCCTGTAAATCCTACAATAAATACATTTTCAGCTAAATATGATTCAATCAGAAGGCTTCTCCACCTCACACCCATATAAACAGCAATGCTGCCCAGCTTAAACTTGCTAAGAACTTGACAAACAAAAATAAGAGTTAATTCTGGTTCATGTTCAGAGCAGCAAAACTGGCTCGTTGGGATGTTCTTGTTCATTTTCTTTTTGTTATTAATTTTTTAAAATTTCATATCACCAGCTTTTACAGCTTCAATGGTGGTGGCGGGTGGGGAGATGTTCAGGAATCCCTTGAACTCAATGTATTGGCAGATCTTAACACCACATTTTCAGCCTCTCTAATGCATGGATATTACTAGTGAACCATTCTTTGCCCATCCTAAAGTAGGTTGTGACAACCACCAACCTCCTGCCATGTGTCCTTCCTTACCTCTCCCATGGGGTGGTATATGTTATAGGAATACGTCTCCAGGCTCCATGGACTCACTGACTTGTCCACAATCTCTTGTCTGTGTTGGGCTAAGGATCTGCAAAGGGAAGAAAGTAAGAGGAAAAGCAGTGGTGAAACTGGGATATCCTGAGGGTTGGCGGGTTGTTGAAAAAGGTAGTAGAATCAGTGTGCACAGGACTTGGAGGACAAAAGCCTGTGTTGGAGTCTTTGGCTCTGTGACTTACTAATTATGAGACCTTGGGCAGCCACTGAGCCACTCTGAGCTGAAGTTTCTTCATCTGTAGAGTGAGAACAATTATTCCAACCTTGCAGGGAGGCTAGGATAATTCAATAAAATGTTGTAGATAAAAATACTTTAAAATTTGTATATGAAATAATAACTAAGATTTATTGAAGTGAAACTTACGAGACATGCACTGTTCTAAGCAATTTAAATCTCATTTATTTCTCTCTAAAACTCTGAGATAGGTACTCTTATTATCTCCATTTCAGAGATGAAGAAACTGAATCACAGGGAAGTGTTATTAGGGCTTTAAACCCTGACAGTCTGACTGAAGACCTTGCAATATTAACCACTGTACTGCATATAATGGTGAGAACTAATCTTTTTTTTTTTTTTGCAATGGTTTATCTTTTTAAAAATAAACTTTATTATTTAGCACACTTTTAGGTTCACATAAAAATTAAGCAGAAAATGCAGATAGTTCCCATTTACCTGCTATTCTCACACATGCACAATCTTCCCTGCTATAGACATCCCACACAACAGTGGTACATTGGTTAGAATCAATGAACTTTGATACATCATTATCACCCAAAGTCCATTGTTTATATTAGGGCTCACTCTTCATACATTGAATGGATTCTGACATATGTTTGGTGACACATATTTACCATTACAGTATAATACTAAATTGTTTTGTTTTGTTTTTGAAACAAGGTCTTACTTTGTCACCCAAACTGGACTGCAATGGTATGATTATAGCTCACTGCAGCCTTGGGCTCTGGGCTCAGAATATCCTCCTACTTCAGCCTCTCAATTAATTGGCACTACAGGTCCCAGCCACTACACTCCGCTAATTTTTAATTTTTGTAGAGACAAGGTCTCACTGTGTTGCTCAGGCTGTTCTCAAACTCCCGGCCTCAAGCAATCCTCCTGCCTCAGCCTCCTAAAGTGCTGGGATTGTAAGTGTGAGCCGCTGAGCCAGGCACAAAATAGTTTTAATGCCTTAGAAATCCTCTGCATTCTTCCAATTTATCCCTCCCTTTCCCTAACCCCTGGCAACTACTGCCCTGTTTACTTCTCCATAGTTTTGTCTTTTCAGAATGTAACATAGTTGGACTCATACAGTATGCAACATTTTCAGGTTGACTTCTTTCACTGAATAGTATGCATTTAAGTTTCCTCCATGTCTTGTCATGGCTTAATAAGCTAATTTCTTTATTAGCACTGTGTAATATTCCATTGTCTGGATATACCACAGTTTATTTACCCTTACTCATCTACTGAAGAACACCCTGGTTGCTTCCAAGATATGGCAGTTATGAATAAAGCTGCTATAATCATCCCTGTACAGATTTTTATGTTGACATGTTTTCAATTCATTTGGATAAATACTAAAGAGTGCAATGGTTGGATAATATGGTAAGAGTTTGTTTAGTTTTGTAAGAAATTGCCAAACTGTCTTCCAAAGTGGCTGTACCATTTTGAATTCTCATCAGCAACGAATGAGAGTTCCTGTTGCTCCACATCCTTGTCAGCATTTAGTGTTGTCAGTGTTTTGGATTTTGGACATTCTAATAGGTGTGAAGTATATTATCTTCTTGTTTTATTAACAAGTATTATCATCTTATTTTAATTTGTGATTCCCTAGTGACATATGATGTGGAATATCTTTTTTATGTTTTCTCGCTGTCTCTATATTTTCTTTGATGAGGTGTCTGTTCAAGTCTTTTGCCAATTTTTTATTCAAGTTATTCCTTTTCTTGTTGTTGAGTTTTAAGAGTTATTTATATATTTTGGATAACAGTCCTTTATCAGATGTGTGTTTTGAAAATATACTCTGTCAGTTTGTGGCTTGTCTTTTTGTTTCTTAACATTGTCTTTTGCAAAGTAGAAGTTTCCAATTTTAATGAAGTCTAGCTTATCAATTCTTACTTTCGAGGATTGTGCCATGTGTGTTGTATCTAAAAACTCATCACCATACCCATAGTCATCTAGGTTTTCTCTTATGCTATCTTCTAGAGTTTTATAGTTTTGCATTTTCTATTCAGGTCTATGATACATTTTGAATTAATATTTGTGAAGGTGCGATGTCTATGTCTAGATTTACTTATTTTGCATTTGGATGTCTAGTTGTTCCAGCACTATTTGCTGAAAAGACTGTTTTGTTCCTTTGTCAAAGATCTTTTGACTATATTTATGTAGGTTTATTTATGGGATCCCTATTTTCTCCCTTTGATTTATTTGTTAATTTTGTTACCAATAACACCTGTCTTGATTACTGTAGCTTTATATTAAGTCTTGAGGTTGGGTACTGTCAGTCCTTTGACTTTGTTCTTCTCTTTCAATATTGAGTTGAATATTTTCGGTCTTTCACTTTTCCATAAAAACTTTAGAATCAGTTTGTCAATAACCACAAAGTAACTTGCTATCAAGTTGGGAGGAACTGACATCTTAACAATACTCAGTCTTCCTGTCTGTGAACATGGACTTTCCATTTATTTAGTTCTTCTTTGATCTCTTTCATTAGAGTTTTTTAGTTTTCCTCATATAGATCTTGTATAAATTTTGTTAGAATTATACCTAAGTATTTTATTTTGAGGGGTGCTAATGTAAATGGTAACTTGTTTTTAATTTCATATTTTACTTGTCCATTGATGTTACATAGGAAATCAATTGACTTTCTAATATTAACTTTGTATCCTGCAACTTTGCTATAATTGCTTATTCCAGGAGACTTTCTTGTGGTTGATTCTTTCTGATTTCTACATTGATAATCATGTCATCTTCAAACAAATACAGTATTATTTCTTTCTTCCCAATCTGTATACTTTTTATTTTATTTTCTTGTCTTATTACATTAGCTAGGACTTTCAGTATAATGTTGAAAAAGAGTGCTGAGAGGGAACATCCTTGCCTTCACCTTAGTAGGAAAGCTTCTAGTTTCTCATCATTAAGTATAATGTAAACTGTAGATTTTTTGGAGATGTTGTTTATCAAGTTGAGGAAGTTCCCTACTACCTTTTTAATCACAAATGTGTGTTAGATTTTGTCAAATGCTTTTTCTACATCTATTTATATAATCATGTTATGTTTCTTCTTCAGCCTGTGGGTAGAACAGATAGTACTAATTGATTTTTGAACGTTGAACCAGCTTTGCATACCTGGGACAAATTCCACTTGGTTGTGGTGTCTAATTCTTTTTATACATTGTTGAATTTGATTTGCTACTATTTCATTGAAGATTTTTCTATCTGTGTTCATGAGAGATATTGGTCTGTAATTTTTTTTTCTTTTAATTCTTTGATTTTGGCATTAAGATAATACTGATCTCATAAAATGAGTTAGGAAGCATTCTCTCTGCTTCTATTTCTGGAAGACATTGCAGAGAATTGGTATAATTTTTTCCTTAAATATTTGGCAGAATTCACCAGTGAACCTATCTTGGCCTGGTGCTTTCTGTTTTAGAAGATTATTAACTATCTTTTTTTTTAATTTAAAAAAATTTTTTTAAATATTTATTTATTTATTTTGAGTCGGAGTTTTGCTCTTGTTGCCCAGGCTGGGGTGCAATGGCATGATCTCGGCTGACTGCAACCTCCGCCTCCCAGGTTCAAGCAATCCTCCTGCCTCAGCCTCCCGAGTAGCTGGGATTACAGGCATGTGCCACCATGCCTGGCTAATTAACTATCTATTCAATTTTTAATAGATATGGGCTTATTCCAAATGTCTATTTATGCTTTATTTTTTAACAAACAGCTTAATAAAGCTACTCAGTGCCTCCTCTTTGCCAGATATTGTGCTCACACCTAAGAGAAACATTCATGCAGAGTATATAATTTTATTCTCACTACAACTCTGTAAATTGTTATTCTCCATATGTTACAAATGAGGAAACTGAGACCAAGAGAAATTAGGTAATTAGCAAAGAGTCACAGAGCTAGTAAGTCATACAGCGAATATTCTATCTCTAAGCCGCACAAACATTTGTTGAATGACTTAGTTTCCTAGTTTAAATGCCCTATGTAAGCAAGAAATGGGGTTATATTTTTATTGTCAGGGCATATTAAGTGGTAATTCATTTACCCAGCAAATATGTATAGAATGGCTACTATGTTAATGGCATTGGAGTATGAACTTTTGGAGCTGTTGGGGTACAAACTTTTGTATAGTGATACTGAGTTGCAATGAAGTGTGTTAGAGATCTAATTAGCTAACATTTCTATGACTTTTACCTATTCTTCTACATTTTCTTGAGCATTCAAAAAATGCTCAAAATAGTATTGTGTCTTCTCTTTCTCTAAGTCTTCATTTCTTTATTTGTAAAATGGGAATAATAATAGTACCTTCCCAAAGGATTTTTATGAGGATTAAATAAGATAATCTGTGTTTAACAATAAGCACAATTTCTGACATATAGTCAATTCCTAGTAAGTGTTAAAATACAATTCAAAACAAAGCATAAGCCCTATTTTGCTGCATGATATTAAAAATAAAAATTGTACAAAGAATAATTTAGCCATCCAACTAGTATTATCCTCAAACAATGCCAAACTACAAAATGTTTTGATAGAATTAATTAAAATGCAAGTTCCAGTCATATCTATGTAAGTCCTAATTTTATTTTTTTTCTGGTTCACTTAGCATCATGTACCACATTAAGCTACTCGAATGGAAATCAATTTCTCCAGACAATTCCACTACTTTAAACTTAGAGTTAGATTTATTATTATTAATTGTTAGTAATATTAATAATAATTTTAACAGAAGCTCTTTGTCCTCAAAATTAAAGATGTTTTATTACATTGTTCAATGAAGTTTGCCCTATTAGCTTGTCCAAATGAAAAGACAATCTCAGTGTCTTCATGAGATAGAATTGTCCAAATAATTGGTTAAAACAATGAAAATGAATTTTAAAAGAAGATTAAAAGAAATAAATGTTATTTACATTGTAATAGCTGAGAAACAATCATCTTCATGTTATTCACAAATCTATTTATAATATTTACCATTCATTTGATTTTTTAATAAACAAGGGTGCTTCAGAGTGAGAAATTTTAATATAAAAATATATACTGGTGCAAGTAATATGTTGAGGCTGCTTGCTTTACAAAAGATGATCATTTTGTAAAGAAAATACATGTATTTTCTAGTGTATTTAAAATTCATAAAAATTCATTCTTAACATACATTTTCAGGAGCAAATTTCGTGTCTTTATAAAGTAATCAGCAAATATGTATATTTTATACTAACAATAGTTAACCCTTACTGAGCACTACATGCTAGGCACTGGTCAAAGCACTTTATATTATTATCTTATTTAAGTCACTCAACCACCCAGTGGGTATATATTCTTACTACTCTATGCAAAAGTAGTAATAGGTAGTAGTAATTGAAAAGAAGATTTATTTCTTGCAGAATTAAAAATCTACTTAAGACAATAAGACATAAACACATCAAAAGCAAAAAAACTTTGTCATTAAATAACAAGGCATGAGGTATGATAAGCTAGTGCCTGATTAACTATCAATTAAATGGTGCACAAACTGTTTTAAGGTCAGGAGAGAGAGAATTCCAAACTCAAGCATAGCCAATAATAACAACCAATATTTTACTAGCAATTATGTATGCTAGAAACTGTTCTAAAAACCTGATATCTATATCATGTCTGTCCATCTATCTGCTTATCATCTATCTATCTATCTATCTATCTATCTATCTATCTATCTATCTATCTATCATCTATCCATCATCTATCTATCTATCTATCTATCTATCTATCTATCTATCTATCATCTATCTATCTTCATTTGATCGTAACAATAATTCTTAAGGTAAATACTATTATCCCAGTTTTTTTTTTCCTGAAGACTTTGTTACATAGGCTTAACTATTCTTTTATGACATCCTAGAAAATAAGGACGAAGTATTAATTAGTCCACTTTTAGGGGCTAAAAAATCGTCCAAATTGTCTACCTCTGATTGGGACTATAAAGAGAATAAAAATAAGTATTATAAAGTCACTGAAAAATCATTTTAACCCTTTCTCAGAATGGAAAGAGGAGAGGGAATGAAGCAAATGAAGAGGATATCCTTTTAACTCCTCCCAACCCCCCACTCCCTGTCTCTCATTCCTCACACTGGCTGTTTGGCCCATCCTGTCCTGCCATGAAGTGAGATTATTGACAATGCTTCCCCAACAGTATTGAGAACAAGGAAGCTGGCTGTTCTTCCTTCCTTCACATAGTTTAGCAAATGTTTGGGTTTTTCCTTATCACAGTTATCTACTCAGTGGTCTAGGAAAGGGAGTACACTAAAAAGTGGGGTTTGCACCTGGTGCATTCTTGTTTCAATTGGGCTGGGATTCCCTGGCAATGCCATAACACTGAGGGGAATAAATTAAATAAAGATAACCTAACACCCTCAGGCATTTGCCTTACTCTTGGCTACAATGTCTACAAAATGTGAGTCTGTTACTTCCTAAGCCCAGCATTGAGCAACTGGGTCCATTTCATATGCAAAAAAAGTGAATGGTCTGGGATTTAAGTGAAAGCCCCGATATTAAAAATGCTTATCACTTGTATATGAAACTGAAACACAATATGTAAACCTCAGAAACTCGAATACTTTGTTCAAATGAATGCTTAAACCATATACTTAGAAAAGGCTATTCTCTGTTTCTAGGCAATTTCTTGGGTGATGCATAAAACATGTAGAGAGGGGAGGAAAAAGCTGGCTAATCTCCCAAATTATCACCAGTCTCATCTCACTGATCAAATGAAAAGATTATTGTACTTTGTGTATTCTTTTTGAACAGGAATTCATAAAATGTTTAATAGAGAAAATGATCCTTTGGGGTACATTATTAATAAAGTCTGCAGATCAAAGATGATGGTCTGATAGCATTTTGACTGGAATGTATAAAGAGGCAAAAAAATCCTAATGAATATTGAGGCAAATTTTGTATTTTAAATACTTGGTGAAGAAATAGTTACATGAATATTTCATGATAGTTCTGTATTTTCAAACTTTATTTTTCTGCTTACAAAATTAACATATGCCTAACATGGAAAACGTAGAAGGTATGGAGAGGTAAAAAAGGAGGAGAAAAATAGAAAAGAGAAGAATTATCAATAATTCCACCTCCCTGAGTTAACTGCTACTGATATTTTGGCATGTTTCCTTCCAGACTTTTATCTGTGCATTTATTTTTCTTAAATGCAGGGCAGATTATATCTATATATAATTTTGTATTCGTTTCTTTGTATTCTGTATTCTACCAAAGACATTTCCTCAAACCAATGAAAACTCTTTAATGGTTGCACACTATTTGACAGTAAGTATATGTTACATAGTATCATTTATTTAAATATTTTCTTCTATGCTGGATATTAAAGCTATGTCCCTTTTGGTTTTTATACTATTATAAATAATTCTAGAGATAATACCTTATTGTGTAAATCTTTGTTCTTATTTTTTATTGTTTCCTTGAGCTACGTTCCAGAAAGAAGAATTAGTAGATCAAAGAAGATGAACATTTTCAAGCCATTTGATTGATATTGCTAAATCCCAAATGATTATACAGAGTTACACTTTTTCAGGATGTATGCAATATATAACATATGGGAGATTACCTCCCTAAATGCTCAAGAGAAATATTACAAAGCTTGTAATCTTTATTAATTTTAAATTTTCTAGACTATTATCACATGTAGTGAATAAAGATTATCAAAAATTGCAGCTAACATGTTTTGAGTTGGCGAGAGTTACATAAAAGTGACCATTATTTTTTATATCAATAACTAATAATTTAAATAAAAACAGCCAATAAAGACAAGCACGGTCAAGTGCAGTCATGAGGAACCATCCAATGGAAGCTGTCTCATCTGAGTCCCACTGCCTGAGCCTAGTCACTTCAATAATTTAACCTGGGCTTGGAATCTAATTTTTTAAATTAAAGTTTTATGTCATGTTCATTGTACGATATTTGCAAAATGAATAATAGTTGAGGGAAGGGAGAAAATATCACCAACCAAAGATAACAATTACCATTTTAGTACATATTTTTATTTTATTTTTTAAAGTACTCCATTAGATTTATATACAGCCTCTTTCCTTTAGCATAAAACATACATTTTCCTATGCCATTAAAAAGTTTTATACTTATTTTTCTATTGCATGAATAATATCCCATTGTCCTATATCACATATCAGCATTTACATAACCTAACATAGACATTCAAGTTGTTTCCAAATATTAGAATATATATATTATAAATAAAGTTGTATCCCAGAGCTGCATAAAACTCTTTCAGACTTTAGTTTATTTCCTCAGTATAGATGTCCAGAGGCAGGAACACTAGGCCAAAAGATTTATGTTTTAAGGCTCTTGATATTTTTAAGCAGCATAATTTTTTTTGTATTTCCTGTAAAATATGTAAGAGTCTTCATTTCCAATTTATGGATGAGGAATTTCAGAAAGGAAAATAAATGCCCTATGTACATGAAACCAAGTAAACTAATGGAAAAATGAGAAAGAAATATTCAAACAGGTTTTTGATATCACAGAGATCCTGGACTCTGTAAGTATCTGAAATTGAACTGAAGATAAGGAACAAGCTGAGGTCACACAATTATTGTGGGACAAAAATTGGAGTGGGTTTCTATGTTATGTGAGAGCAAGTTCATTGCAAGATTTCTTTAACCATGAAGCAAAAGAGGAAATACCAATTATAACCACATATACTTCATGAGATATGCTAAATGAGCAAAATAATGATTTGCATATGAACAAGGGAAAAACACACTTTATATGGAAACTATACACACACACATACACACACACAGATTTCAATAGAATGTATTTAGAGAACTTATGATTCATTAAGAGTAGGGAGAGACCACAAAAATGGGCAAATGACATTAATGGGCAATTTATAAAATGATAAAATTAGTAATAAAATATTTACTCTTATAAATCAACAAAATACAAAGGAAGTCAACAATGTGTATTTTTTACTTGTCAATTTGCCAAACACTTAAAAAGTGCTTTCATACACTGTTATTGGAAGTGTAGACTGATGTAATCTTTCTAGAGGGTAATTGGGCAATGTGTAGCAAGATCCTTACATTTTCCTCAGTTACTGACCCAGTAATTCCACTTCTTAGAGAAATAATTAAAGATTTGCAAAAAGCAAAAAAAATTATGTAGCTGGTTGCTCATCACAGCATTATTTGTAAAAATGAAAAAGCAGGAATTGACTAAATGACAGAATATTATTAGCAATTTCAACTGTTTTAAATAAATTGCTAATGCCATAGGAAAATTTCTGTAATACAATTTAAGTGAAATATTTCAGAAATAGTGCTGCATACATAATCAGGTAGCTATCTGAAAACATTAATAGTACTTATCTCTAGGTGAAATTATTTGGTCATTTTAACATTTTTCTTAATAATTAGGATAATGTGATTTACCAAATGAGATACTATGAAAATGAAGGATATAGAATTTGTATTACAATTTTCTTTTTCCAATCACAAAACATGACATGTCTATTTGTATATCTCATGCATTGTGTTAGGAAATGTTTGCTAGATATTTATTCATTTATTCAAGGATTATTAGAGGATTATGATTATTCAGTGATAAATTTCAGTGGTCTTTATTATTCTCATCTCATGGTGGTATATATGAGTAGCAAGGAAGGAGAAGCCAGCTGCATTGGTCTTAAAAAGAAACCATTCAATTTAGACAATCTAAATTATAATAATCAGTTCCTCTTCCCACTTTACACTCACCTATCATATCCCAGCCCTCCAGGAACCAGCATCCCCAAAAGATAAAGGGTTTCAAGCAGAGGCTTCATTCTGCCACACAGTAAGTTAGAAAATTCTGGGCCTCTCTGGCAGTGGATCAAGTGTCCTTGAGAATGAATGCATCAAGACTGTGGCTCCCACAATCAAGATGAGATAAATCAGTTAGTGGATGTCTCAGCAGAAAGTCACGGGCAATTGCTTTATTAACTCTCTCATGTCCTCAAACACCTTTTCCAGTGTGGGAAATGCTGTACCATTTGATATTTCATTTCTTCTCTAAAACCAAATTTACGTGAGCTCTCAACTTCACCAGATCCTGAAATAAATTTCCTCCCTATGTAAAGTCACCTTGGAGTATTTCTAGGAACCCCCATCACTCGTGCTCAGGAGCAATCATTCCTGCTCTTCCCCTCACACAGGTTGAATGGGAATAGTAGGCTAGTCTTTGTGAATCATGAGCCTGTTCATGAGACCAGAAAGAACACTCTGCTCTGGTCAAAATGGACATGGTCATTATTCAGAATCTCCACTTCCTCCTTCAATCTAAGGCTTTGATTGGGGTCAAATGCCTTCTCTTTTTCTGATGAACCACATCACCAGCTTCTTAAACAAACCCAGATCTCTTCAAATCTGAGCAGTGAAGACAGTTTCAATCCTTTCCCATGTGGATTTTACCCCACGCCCCTCTTACATGAAGGACTCTGTCAGATACTCCGCCATGTTTTCAGACATAGCCAAGTTATGCTTGAATCTCATTGACCAGTAAAATTAAAGACTCATGTTAAGACCATTGCTAATAGTCTAACTGAGCAAGGCAAACTTTAGCGCAGAGCAGGTAGAGTATTTAAATGGAGTCCTTGGCATTTAGGGACCCAGTTTAAATCTTCTGCCCTGTATTCATGTATTCATTCTACAAAAATCTCATGAGTACCACTGTATACCAGACACTATGCTAGATACTTAAGATACAAGGGTGAACAAGGCAGAGTCCCTTCTTTTATGGAACTCACAGTAGAGTTGAGAGAAAAATAAACGAGTATACAAACAAATGTTACAGTTTCAAGTAAAGAGAATGCAGTTAAAAAACTAGAGGAGATAAGCGCTTCCATGCTGTCTCCAGGCATGCCATCCACCCAGTCCCTCCATGTGTTTAGCAACCCAGAGGCTCTCCAAACTCTGTTCCCTTGTGTTTTTATGAAGACTTCATTACATAGGTATGATTGATCATATCATTGGTCATTGGTGATTAAATAAATCTCCAGTCCCTCTTTCCTCCCCAGAGATGGGAGGGGATTACTGAATAACATGGCTGATTCTCCTGGCAACCAGCCGCTATCCTTAGAAACTTTCCAAAAGTTACCTGTTCACTTAAACTTAGACATAGTCAAAAGGGACGTCATGAATAACAAAAATGGCCCTTTCACCTTTATTGATCTTATCACTGAGGAAATTCCAAGGGTTTTAGGAGCTCTGTGTCAGGAACCAGGGACAAAGACAAAATATGTATTTCCTATTGTATCACAATATCACGATGGTGTTTAAAGCCACTGGGCTAGAGGAGTTCATCTAGGGTGTGGGTATAGACAGAGAAAGACAAAGACTGAGACCTGGGCTGACCTAACATTTAGAGGACTTGGTAGAAGAGAAGAATCCAGCGAGGGAATTGTGAAGAACAGCCAGTGAGGTAGTTAAAAAATGGGTGACTATTGTGTCCCAGAAGCCAAATGAGGAAAGCATTAAAAACAAAAAAAATGGGAGTTACCCACTGGTCAAACGAGGACGAAGAACTAACCAATCATAACCAGCAGGATAGAGGCTCCTGGAGACCTTGAAAAGAGCAATTTCAGTAGATAACGTGGTGGGGACAAACGCCTGCCTGGAGCTGGTTAAAGAAGGAAAGGGAAGTGAGAAAGTGGAGGCGGTGAGTATAGAAAACTCAGCATAGCTTGCCTACGATAATGGCACCTTAAAGAAAACTGCATTGTTAGCATTTTGCATCCTTCCCTTGGGATTTAGTTAATTCAAAAATCCTGAATTTGAATTTTGCTGTTCAGAATGAGGGGTAAAATGCAACACTCATGCCACTCTCTTCCTCACCCAAGTGAGGGGACTGGCAGGAACCTTGGTAGTACTAATTTTGGAGCAAGGGTTCTAATGGTGCTGTCAGTTCCACAGAAAGAGAGGGGGACCTGGAAGTTAAGGGTGTCATCTTTCCATACTCTTGCTAATTGGAATGGGCTGAGATGGATTCATGGCAAAGGGACGTATGGGTAGTCTAAATAAAAAGAAAGACTGCAAAAGGCTTCCCCTGCTACCAATATGTAGTTCCATACAGTTATTCTGAAACAAAAGAATATAAATAAAAGTTTAAAAACACATAAAAATGTAGTCAAATAATACACACAAATTGTTAGTAAAAACCTGCAAATAATTTTTTAAATGTGTTGTGAGGACATTTGATATTACTACACAGGATTTTCTTAACTGTCACTGATAATTGGATTTTCCTCAATCCCCACGTCCAATTTCACTGTAATATGTGGTCTCCTGCCAACCCCCCTGGCCAAAGATTATCTTTCTGTAACCTTATGGAATGCAAGCAGTAACCCAGGGAACTCAGGGCCAATGAAGTGGAACCATGGGCTCCTCACTAACAAGGGTGAATTATTATCACATCTTTCCTGGTGATTAGATTATTTCTTATCGTTGTGTTTTATAGCTTTCTAGTTAGTCATCTCCACACAATTTATTCACAATAATAGTGTTTTATTATTGCTGTTTTATAGTTCCTATAACAGTAAAATTTGTTCTCAACTCTATTATTACAATATTCAACTACTAATGGATATTCTTATTTTTATTTGATTGTGTTTTAAAGCCATAACAATAAAATTTACTCCCAAAAATATTACTGCAAGTTTTATGCTCTTTAAACTACTTGATAGAATGCCTGCAAACACATGTGGTCCTTTAAGCCACATGAGAGAAAGCCTGCCAACACATAAACATTGTTCTAGGGGAAAAAGGGGGGGGAATTGGTTTCAATTATGGTGAAACTTGCGTTCTTTGATGGAGTAAGTAATGGGATGAAAGAAATGAAAGGACCTTAGAGATAGCTGATTTCAAAGAGAATTATATTCTAATTGGTAGAATTATTTGTTTAAAAAATCAACCTCTTTTTATTACCTGCCAAGCCCTACACATTTCCACCGACTTCATCCTCCAAAATAATGTGCTCTCAAAAGGCCCAAGATTTCTCTGGGCTCAAAATTGCATGGCTTGTTGCCACATTAGTTGGATAGAGGCTGCTATGAAATATTATTACCAAAAGCCAGGGTCATGTTGAAGGTGAACAGCTTCAGTGACTTAAGAACTGGAAGGCACACAGCCAAGTCAGGTCACTACCTCTGCTGCTTGTCAGTTGCTCTCATTGACCCTGAACCCAAGGACATTGCAATAAACTTCATCACTTGCTTGGTGTGCATTGTTTGTGCCTGGAACACTGAATCAAAGGGACTATAACATGAATTATGACCCACCTAGTGGAGCAAAGTACCAGTGGGATTCAAATAATTGGTATATCAGACTGGCAGCAATTAAGGTGTGGTTAAGGGCTTGGTCTCAGATGGATAATACATTGACTTATGGTCACAAGGAGAGCTGGAGGCAGGTTGGGTGGAGATATAAGCTGGTTGACACTCAGAACTTACAGCCTTACTAGCAGAAGAGGCAAAATCTAGATTTGATTTCTGAGGCAGCACCAAGGAGAGGTTCTTCTGACAGAAGCTTCAGCAGATTGCTGCCATCATCTAAAGCAAGAAATGAGCAGATGGATAGATGGATGGATGGATGGATGGATGGATGGGTGGATGGATGGATGGATACATGGGTCCACAGATGCACGGATGCATGGATGAATCTGTATCTATGTTCTAGTCAGATGGCATAAATCCACTGACTAGATGTAGCCCTCATATACACAGGTAGGGACTTAGCTTGCTGTGACCATCTTCTTTCCTTTGCCCAGCTGTGGAAGTGTGCAAGTCAGCTCTACCTTCAAGAAAGAAACCGCTGTCAATTTCTCGCTATGGGTAGCTTCAGAATCTGACTCTGTATTCAAGCTGGGACTATGTGCTACCTGGACATCCTCTAACCAATGACTGAGCACAGAACTGGCATAAATGCTCACCATTGAACCAATGCAAGGTGCCTCTAGGAGCAAATTTCTTGTGGCTGTACCACAGTCTGAGGCCTTTCTGGCCAATCTTCCTTTCCTCCTTCTATCTTTTCACAGGTGTCAGATCTGGGTGTAAGGCTCTCCTTGCTTTCTCTTGCTTTTTCTCCCCTTTATCTTTCACAAAAATTACACCCCTAAAATCTCTTCTACTTTCAACTCCATCTTGGTATCTGCTTTTCAGATGATCCAGCCAACACACCAGCCAGATCCCAGAAAACATGAAAATAAATGAATGTAATTGATCTTGAGCTATGTGGATCTTTCTGAAACTTTGTGGATAATTAAATTCAGAAACAAAACTGAAGTTTGGAAGTAACAGGGATAATCCTACATGGCTAGGCCTTAACAGGCTTGTGACACCCAGCCAGAAAGCTACAGAAAATTACATGGTAGCTTAGTAACATTCCTTACCAGTTGGCTTTTTGAAAAAAGTGTTTTCTCTTTCACTGCTTGCTCACCCTGGCCAACATGTGGTAGGCGCAGGGTCCTCAGCCTTTCCGTGAAGACGATCAACGTTGCTCTTTCCCACGTGCTGATGTATTTTCTATTTGGATCATCTGGGGAGGGAAGAGGAGCAAAGACGAAATGTACACTCTCAAGTGCTAAGAGTAGAGATGGAGGGTGAGGAAATGGAGGAGGTTTTAAAGAGGAGTTGGATTTCCACCAGAAACCCCAGCAATCTGCAGGGCATGAGGTGGGGATAGAACTGAGGTAGGGTAGGGCCATCAGCTTGGGAATTAGCCACCGGATAATTTTCCATCTCTTTCTCAGCTGGACAGTATTTCATTGTGCATCAACTACCAACTAGTTTTCAAAGAGAATGCTTCCAAACCATCACCCTGAATCATCATCCTGAAAAACTTGATCAAGAGGGTTATCATCCTGAGTCTCTGCTTCCATCCATTGCTCAGGTACTTAAAGGAAAGACAACCCAATTAGGACAGGTTTCCTTTCCTTATCTGCATTTTGCCCCAGGTTGTTGTCCTACATCTTCTCATTTCTGCTTAATATATTCAGCAAGGTCATCACAGATCACTGCCTTCCTTGTCAGAGTCTCAGTGCAACGTTAGATGGGCTGGGTGCAGAGTAATGAGTTAGAATTCAGAAGCCTCGCGTTCTGAATCATGTTCCTCCATTTCTCAACCATGCAATTTTCAGCAAATCTCACTTGTCTTCTGTTGTAAAAAAAGAAAAAAAATTATACCTGTTCTGCATTCCTCTCAGGTTGTGGAGCACATTAACTGAAGTAATGTATGGAAAAACCCTTTGAAGACTGTGATGCCATCAAAATGTATGGTGTAATTATCACTGACACTAATAACAATGATCTGTGACTAGATTACAGTGCTATGCAGGATTACTCTAACATAAGACCACACAATACCAAAGAGAAAAACCAAACTCCCCAAAGAGCATAATATCAAGCTGTTTTTTTTTTCTTTTACTGTGAAATATCTTAATGTAAAGTTCATCAGAGGATTTTCCTAAAAAAGGGGGGTGGGTGAAGTTTCTCAGCTTTATATATATTGAAAAAACAGATTTCTGAAATGCATTTCTGAAATACAGCATCTGTTTAAAATAAGCTATATCTTAGCTTCTAAAACCAACCGTATATAATCTACATAATCCTAGCTCTCTGTTTATAAAATAATAACATTTTCCAGCATAATTGGCTTTTTAAATAAAATATACATAATTTAATGCAATTTGTATATTCCTATTCCTGAGGGTTTACCCTATATCTCTAAAATAATTTCTATAAAAGGATAGACATGAAATTTCTACTTTATTTTATAAATTGAGATTAATTTTACACTCAGAGAAGTAATTGCTACTAAAATTATTATGGGGTTTAATAAACCCAAATACTGTATATTCAGAAGTCCAATTCCACATTTATACACTGAGACCTCCCAGATTTCACAAAATTTCTACTTGTTATTACCATTCCTGGAAATAATATTGTCAGTGGAGGGTGGATGTCCTTTACCTTAACTTTCCTATCTCCTTCTTGCTTCTATTATCATTTTCTTAACTCCTTAGAAGGATGCCATGCTGTTCTGCAGGGAAGTCTTTTAAAAATTAAAGTAAGTGATACAGTTATTAAAAAAAAGGTATAGAATTATTACTGTGTCCAAGATACTGTACTTTAATGTACAAACACCCTTTATGCAGCAGGATCAATTAATAACCCCAATTACAGAAAAGGAGACTGAGTCACAGAGAGATCTTCATTGACCATGCTATTTGCTGTGGTCTAAATGTCTGTGTCCTCCCCCAGTTCATTTGTGGAAACTTAGTCCCCAGTGCAGTTGTGTGGTGGCGGGGGGTGGGTACATCTGGGAGGTGATTAGGTTATGAGGGTGGAGCCCTCATGGATGGGGATTCGTGCTTTTATAAAAGAGGCCCAAGAGAGCTTGTTTGCACCTTCCTCCATGTGAGAATGTCCATGTGAGGATGCTGCAAGAAGGCACGAGCTGTAAAGCAAAGCCCTCACCAAACACCGAATCTGCTTGCGCCTTTCTTGGACTTCCAAGCCTCTGGAAGTGTGAGCCATACATTTCTGTTGTTTATAACTTTGTTATAGTAGCCTGAACAGACTAAGGTATTTTTGTTATCATAGCCCAAACAGACTAAGACACTATCTAAAACCTAATATCTAAAATTAAATTAAATGTGAGCTCAAGACCAGCCACATCAGTATGACCCCGTTAGATGTGTTAGGGCACTGTTAGAAAGGTAGAATCTCAGCCTCCATTTTAACAAGATCCCCAGGTGATTCACATTTTAAAATCTTTGTACTCATTTGTTTATTGTGGGTCCTGTTTCTTAGAATGATGGCTTCCAGCTTTATCCATGTCCCTGCAAAGGACATGTTCCTTTTTATGGTTGCATAGTATTCCATGGAGTGTATGTACCACATTTTCTTTATCCAGTCTATCACTGATGGACCTTTAGGTTGATTCCATATCTTTACTATTGTGAATAGTGCTGCAATGAACCTATGCCTGCATGTATCTTTAAGATAGAATGATTTATATTCCTTTGGGTATATACCCAGTAATGGGATTGCTGGGTCAAATGGTATTTCTAATTCTAAATCTTTGAGGAATTTTCCTACTCTTCTTCACAATGGTTGAACTAATTTACATTCCCATCAACAGTGTAAAAGCATTCCTATTTCTCTGCAACCTTGCCAGCATTTGTTGTTTCTTGACCTTTTAATAATTGCCATTCTGACTGGCGTGAGATGGTATCTCATTGTGGTTTTGATTTTCATTTCTCTAACGATCAGTGATGTTGAGCTATTTTTCATATGTTTGTTGGCTGCATGTCTTTTTTTGAGAAGTGTCTGTTCGTATACTTTGCCTACATTTTAATGGGGTTGTTTGTTTTTTTCTTGTAAATTTGCTTAATTTCTTTGTAGATTCTGGATACTAGCCCTTTGTCAGTTGAATAGATTGCAGAAAACTTATCCTACTCTGTAGGTTGTCTGTTCACTCTGATGATAGTTCCATTTGCTGTGCAGAAGCTCTTTAGTTTAATTAGATCCCATTTGTCAATTTTTGCTTTCATTGCAATTGCTTTTGGCAATTTCTTCATAAAATCTTTGCCCATGCCTATGTTCTGAATGGTATTGCCTAGATTTTCTTCTAGGGTTTTTATACTTTTGGGTTTTATGTTTAAGTCTTTAATCCATCTTGAGTTAATTTTTGTATAAGGTGTAAGGAAGGGATCCAGTTTCAATTTTCTGCACATAGCTAGCCAGTTCTCCCAGCATCATTTATTAGGTAGAGAATCCTATTCCCATTGCTTGTTTTTGTTGGGTTTGTTGAACATCAGATGGTTGTAGATGTGCAGTTTTATTTCTGAGTTCTCTATCTGTTCCATTTGTCTATGTGCCTGTTTTTGTACCAGTACCATGCTGTTTTGGTTACTGTGGCCTTGTAGTATAATTTGAAGTTGGGTAGTGTGATGCCTCCAGCTTTGTTTTTTTTGGTTGTTTTTTGTTTTTGTTTTTGTTTTTTTTTTGCTTAGGATTGCCTTGGCTATGTGATTTCTTTTTTGGTTCCATATAAATTTTAAAATACTTGTTTTCTTTTTTTTGAGATGGAGTCTCACTCTGTCACCCAGACTGGAGTGCAGTGACACGATCTCAGCTCACTGCAAGCTCCACCTCCCGGGTTCATGCCATTCTCCTGCCTCAGCCTCTGAGTAGCTGGAACTACAGGTGCCTGCCACCCATGCCTGGCTAATTTTTTGTATTTTTAGTAGAGATGGGGTTTCACCATGTTAGCCAGGATGGTCTTGATCTCCTGACCTCGTGATCCACCTCGGCCTCCCAAAGTGCTGGGATTACATGTGTGAGCCGCCATGCCCAGCCAGTTTTTTTTCTAATTCTGTGAAGAATATCAATGATAGTTTAATGGGAATAGCATTGAATCTATAAATTGCTTTGGGCACTATGGCCATTTTCATGATATTAATTCTTCCTATCCATGAGCATGGAATGTTTTTCCATCTGCTTGTGCCCTCTTTGATTTCCTTGAGCAGTGCTTTATAGTTCTCCTTGAAGAGGTCCTTCACTTCCTTTGATAGCTGTATTCCTAGATATTTTATTCTTTTTGTGGCAATCGTGAATGGGAGTTCATTCATGATTTAGGTTTCTGCTTGTCTGTTGTTGGTGTATAGGAATGCTTGTGATTTCTGCACATTAATTTTGTATCCTGAGACTTTGCTAAAGTTGATTACCAGCTTAAGAAGTTTTTGGGCTGAAATGATGGGGTTTTCTAGATATAGGATTATGCCACCTGCAAAAAACACACTTTGACTTCCTCTCTTCCTATTTGAATGTACTTTATTTCTTTCTCTTGCCTAGTTGCCCTGGTCAGAGCTTCTTCCAACACTATGTTGAATAGGAGTGGTGAGAGAGGGAATCCTTGTCTTGTGTCAGTTTTTACGGGGAATGCTTTCAGGTTTTGCCTATTCAGTATGATATTGGCTGTGGGTTTGTCATAAATGGCTCTTATTATTTTGAGATACATTCCTTCAATATCTAGTTTACTGAGAGTTTTTAACATGAAGAGATGTTGAATTTTATCAAAGGCCTTTTCTCTGTGTATTGAAATAATTGTGTGGTTTTTGTCTTTAGTTCTGTTTATGTGATAAATTATGTTTATTGATTTGTGTATGTTGAACCAGCCTTGCATCCCAGGGATGAAGCCAACTTGATCGTGGTTGATACGTGTTTTGATGTGCTGCTGGATTTGGTTTGCCAGTATTTTATTGAGGATTTTTACATCGATATTCATCAGAGATATTGGCCTGAAGTTTTTTTGTTGTTGTTGTATCTCTGGCAGGTTTTGGTATCAGGATGATTCTGGCCTCATAAAAAGAGTTAGGGAGGAGTCCTTCCTTTTCAATTGTTTGGAATAGTTTCAGAAGAAATGGTACCAGCTCCTCTTTGTACCTCTGGTAGAATTCAACTGTAAATCTATCTGGACCTGGACTCTTTCTTTTTGTTGGTAGGCTATTTATTACTGCCTCAATTTCAGAACTTGTTATTGGTCTATATAGGGATTCAGTCTTGGGAGGGTTATGTGTCCAGGAATTCATCCATTTCTTCTAGATTTTCCAGTTTATTCACATAGATGTGTTTATAGTATTATCTGATGGTTGTTTATATTTCTGTGGGGTCAGTAGTGGTATCCCCCTTATCATTTCTGATTGTGTTTATTTGAATCTTCTCTCTTTTCTTCATTACTAGTCTTACTAGTGGTCTGTCCATTTTACTGATTTTTTTTCAAAAAACCAGCTCCTGGACTCATTGATTTTTTGAAGGGTTTTTTGTGTCTCTGTCTCCTTCAATTCTGCTCTGAGCTTAGTTATTTCTTGTCTTCCGCTAGCGGTGGGGTTTGTTTGCTCTTGGTTCTCTAGTTCTTTTAGCTGTGATCTTAGGGTGTTGATTTGAGATATTTCTACATTTTTGATATGGGCATTTAGTGCTATAAATTTCCCTCTCAACACTGCTTTAGCTGCATCCCAGAGATTCTGATACATTGTCTCTTTGTTCTCATTGTTTTCAAAGAACTTCTTAATTTCTGCCTTAATTTTATTATTTACCCAGGAGTCATTCAGGAGCAGGCTGTTCAATTTCCATGTAGTTGTGTGGTTTGGGGTAGGCTTTTTAATCTTGAGTTCTAATTTGATTACACTGTGGTCTGAGAGACTGTTTGTTATTATTTCAGTTCTTTTGCATTTGCTGAGGAGTGCTTTACTTCCAATTATGTGATCAATTTTAGAGTAAGTGCCACGTGGTGCTGAAAAAAATGTATACTATATTGTTTTGGGGTGAAGAGTTCTGTAGATATCTATCAGGTCCACTTGGTCTAGAGCTGAGTTCAAATCCTGAATATCTTTGTTAATTTTTCTGTCTTGATGATCTGTGTAGTACTGACAGTGGGGTATCAAAGTCTTCCACTATTATTTTGTGGGGGTCTAAGTCTCTTTGTAGGTCTCTAAGAACTCGTTTTGTGAATCTGGGTACTCCTGTATTGAGTACATATATATTTAGGATAGTTAGCTCTTCTTGATGAATTGAACCCTTTAGCATTATGTAATGCCCTTCTTTGTCTTTTTTTGACCTTTGTTGGTTTAAAGTCTATTTTTTCAGAAACTAGGATTGCAACCCCTTCTTTTTTCTGCTTTCCATTTGCTTGGCAAATTTTCCTACAGCCCTTTATTTTGAGCCTATGTACGTCTTTGCACATAAGATGTGCCTCTTGAATACAGCACCATTATGGGTCTTGTCTTTGTATCCAGCTTGCCATTCTGTGCTTTTAATTGGAGCATTTAGTCCATTTACATTTAAGGTTAATATTGTTATGTGTGAATTTGATCCTGTCATCATGATGCTGACTGGTTAGTTTTGCAGACTTGTTAATATAGTTGCTTCATAGTGTCACTAGTCTGTGTAGTTCAATGTGTTTTTGTAGTGATTTTCCTATCCATGTTTAGTGCTTCTTTCAGGAGCTCTTGCAAGACAGGCCTGGTGGTGACAAAATCCCTCAGCATTTGCTTGTCTGGAGAAGATTTTATTTCTCCTTTGCTTATGAAGCTTAGTTTGGTCAGATATGAAATTCTTGGTTGGAATTTCTTTTCTTCAAGAATATTGAACATTGGCCCCCGGTGTCTTCTGGCTTGTAGGGTTTCTGCTGAGAGGTCAGCTGTTAGTCTGATGGGCTTCCCTTTGTAGGTGACCTGGCCTTTCTCTCTGGCTGCCTTTAACATTTTTTCCTTCATTTTGACCTTGGAGAATCTGAGGATTATCTGTCTTGGGGTAGATCTTTTCATGGAGTATCTTACTGGGGTTCTCTGGATTTCCTGAATTTGAGTATTGGCCTGTCTTGCTAGGTTGGGGAGTTTCTCCTGGATGACATCCTGCAGTGTGTTTTCCAACTTGGTTCCATTCTCCCCATCTTTTTCAGCTACTCCAGTTAGTCGTAGGTTTGGTCTTTTCACATAGTCCCATAGTTCCTGGAGATTTTGTTCTTTCCATTTCATTCTTTTTTCTCTAATCTTGTCTGCTTGCCTTATTTCAGGAAGATAGTCTTCAAGCTCTGATATTCTCTCTTTCGCTTGGTCAATTCAGCTATTGATAGTTGTCTTTGCATCACAAAGTTCTCGTTCTGTGTTTTTCAGCTCCATCATGTCATTCTCTAAACTGGTTATTCTAGTTAACAGCTCCTGTAATCTTTTATCATGGTTCTTAGCTTCTTTGCATTGGGTTAGAACATAATCCTTTAGCTCAGCAAAATCTGTTATTACTCACTTTCTGAAGCCCACTTTAATCAGTTCATCCATCTCAGCTTCAGCCCTATTCTGTGCCCTTGCTGGAGAAGTGTTGTGATCATTTGGAGGAAAAGAGGCTTTCTGGCTTTTGGAATTTTCAGCATTTTTGCGTTGGTTTTTGCTCATCTTCATGGATTTATCTACCTTTGATCTTTGAGGCTGATGACCTTTGGATGGAGTTTTTGTGTTGGGGGTCTTTTTTGTTGATGTTGTTGTTGCTTTCTGTTTGTCAGCTTTTCTTCTAAGAGTCAGGCCCCTCTTCTGTAGGTCTGCTGCAGTTTGCGGGGGGTCCACTCCAGACCCTCTTCACCTGGGTATCACCAGTGGAGGCTGCAGAACAGCAAAGATTGCAGCCTCCTGCTTCCTCTGGAAGCTTTACCCCAGAGGGGCACTGTCCTGATGCCAGCTGGAGCTCTCCTGTATGAGGTGTCTGTTGACCCCTGTTGGGAGGTCTCACCCAGTCAGGAGGCACAGGATCAGAGACTCGCTTGAGGAGGCAGTCTGTCCCTTAGCAGAGCTGGTGCGCTGTCCTGAGAGAATCCCTCTTGTCAGGATCAGCTGAAGAGCTGGTGCACTGTGCTGGGAGACTCCCCCTTGTCAGGATTAGCCACTCTCAAAGGATCATTTTTTAATATAAAATCAAGACTCTCATATAAAATGAACATGGGTCAAAGACTTTAATGCATTAATTAATGAGATCCAGTAAGATGTTATGATCAGTTCAAAAGAGAATTCAGAGAATCACATATATACATAGGTAATACAAAATGTTAAAATAAATTTATAAATACCTACAAAATTAGTCCATTGCATCCCACCGAACATTGTTCACTTCCATTTTTATGGAAAAGAATCATTTGAATTATCAGTCATTTTCTACAATGTGGAGAGTTGAAAAATAGATCAAAGGCAATGAAAGACAGAGATAACCACAAACAATGCTCTAGACAATGTCTAGGTTTTCCATAGTAGATGCCCCATAATCTTTGTGGTGCCTTGTACATTTTTTCCTGACAGCACTCAGTGTTTTTGAGGTCTAGCAACAGATTCTTGTTGGGATAGATAGAACGGCTAGATGAAAACCACGTAAGAAGTCGCACTTAGGAATTTGAGTGAGATTAGTTCAGCTAATTGCATCCTCAAATACCTGCAGCCACAGTGAAGCCAAAATCCAAGCTTCATATGGGGTAGCCTGACTCCAGAGATGTCTATACACATTTTTCTGATGAGGAGGTCAAATTTCCAATGTTGCTTGGAAAGGTGTTGCTTTAGTCGTCAAGCTGGCTAAGCTGGGAAAGAGGAAGAAAATGCACCAAGAAACTCATTCAAGTCTGAAAGATAAGGAAGGGGCTCTAATATTCTAATTGAGTGTTCCTCAGCTGCTTGCATATACAATACCTCATTTAAATTTCCTATCAACCCTGAAAGATAGTTACTTTTATCCCTGTTTTTCCTACAAGGAAGCTGCAATTTCAAAGGGTAATGGGATTTTCCCAACTGAGGGAAGGAATTTGAACCATACCTGTCTTTTCAAGGTCCATACTCTTTCCTATAGTTTAATTTTGCTGATTAGGTTAGTTCATTTATCTGTCATTTTTAGGAGCCTCCAAAACTTTCTTATGGAAGCTATAGTTGTCACTCTGAAAGAGAAAAACAATTACATGTCAATGCAGTCTAGGTTTATTCTAGGAGATTCAGCAGCAACTTGAAATTTCATTTTTAGTCACCAATTTCACTAATATTTTAAAAATTGCTTTGTGGATATCTGAATGTTTCTCAGATCTACCTTTAACTTCTTGCATTTTTTATTAAGCTATTTAAAATACAAACACTTCCCACAGGCACTTTACAGTTGTAGAAAAAAAAGTGCTATAAAGTACCAAAAACTTGGAATGTACAGTTATTATCATGAAGACGCTGAAGTTGAGAGTCTCATTTGAAGATCTGTATGTTTACTTATTTCTAAGAATCTATGACTAGTGGATCAAGCTACAATTACACAGTGCAGGGAGCACAGTCTCTCAACTTTCTTTGGGAAGCAATGCGATTGAGCCCCTTCGGTGATGAATAAGTAGACTCCACTCCCAACACCGTTAAACTCAAGTGTTACTCTTAAGTCTTTTTAAACCAAGTACCCGAGCCTCAGGAAATATTTCAGTTTCTCTTCTGAACTTTGCTCATGAGTTTTTCCTAATAATCAGTGTGCTGCTAATAATTTGTATTCAGCTTGTTTAACACTTAACATCTTCACGTCATCTACACTTTCCTGCCGTACTTTGCAGCTGTGCAGGATCTCTTCATATTGAAATATCACAGCCTACTTAATATTTCTCCCTGCAATGTGACACTAGGGTAGGGACAACCTGGCTAGGTATATGGATTTTTAAAATTGGTAACGATAAAGTAAATATGGCCCTGTTCGTTCTTAAGGACCAATACACATGGATTTTACAATAACTTAGCCGTCTAAAACCCATTTAGTCAATAATTTCATTCTAAAATGTACTATTAGTGGTCTGATGTTAGTCACTGACCAGTTCTGATCAATGTACAAATATTTGGGGTATATTTCCTTAGGATGTATGCTTCACAAAGTAGAATTAACAGGTCTACCATTACTTTATTTTTTTAAAGGAAATAATCAGTGAATTGCAATTCCAATAATCTTCCAATTATTGGAATTCCAATTGTATTTCTAATAATCTTCTGGTAATTTAGCTGCATCCACTTCTTCCCTGCTCTAATCTGTTCTCCACCCTGATCCCAGAGAAAGCTTTCCAAATCTCAACCTTGCTCATACCCTTCTATGACTTCCAATTGCCTAGGGTTAATATAATCTCCTTGTCATTCCCCAGAGACCACATGGCTTGGCCCCTTATAACCCCAGCGTGATCTAGATGAAATAATCACTGTCCCCTTCATACCTCAACTCACTCATCCATTTATCAAGGAGACCCTTCCTGGCCCCCTCCTACTCTTAATTGGGTCACATATTTCAATTATATGGTCTCCTACTAAAACTAACCAAGGGCATTGTACAGCACTAATTAATGTGATCATTTGGTTATTGTCTGTTTTTGACATTAGATTCTAAGCTTCATGAGGGTAGGAATCTGCCTCTTTCTGTTTACCACTGCATTCCCAATGCCTAGCACAGTGTCAAGTCCAGTAGAGGCACTCAATAATTGCTGGGTGAATGAACAACAGAATGAACAGTCACCAGTTAAACACAAAAATTGCAGTTTCTTCTTAGTCCCTATAGTTTTATCTATTTATTTGCTAGTTTGTTTTGTCTGGGCTTTTCTGATTTTGCTTTATTTTGTAGCTGGTTTCACAAAATTGCATCAGAAAGAAAAAGAGGAGGTATGAATTGAACAGGTACCAAGACCTTCAAAGAATGTTTTCACATGATCTCACTTAGTTCTCGTAATCTGTGAGGTAGATATTATTTCTCTCTCTTTTTTTTTTTTTTTTTTTTTGGAGACAGAGTCTCGCTCTGTCGCCTAGGCTAGAGTGCAGTGGCGTGATCTCGGCTCACTACAAGCTCTGCCTCCTGGGTTCACACCATTCTCCTGCCTCAGCCTCCCAAGTAGCTGGGACTACAGGTGCCGGCCACCATGCCCAGCTAATTTTTTGTATTTTTTTTTTTTTTAGTAGAGACGGGATTTCACCATGTTAGCCAGGACGGTCTCAATCTCCTGACCTTGTGATCCACCACCTTGGCCTTCCAAAGTGCTGGGATTACAGGCGTGAGCCCCCACATCCTGCGTATTGCTCTCATTTTACAGAGGTGAAATTGAGTCATAGAAATGTTATACAAAGTTATACTACTAAGACATGGTAGAGCCAGAGTATGAATCGAGACTTGCCTTTGGCTGCTGAACTTGGAGCTGGGGATCTTGCTTGGTCTGCAGGCTGGGTAGTCATAGTCATCTACCCATCATCTTAGCAAGGCTTTGAGCCTCCAGTTTTCTCTTCTACAAAATGAGGACTAGAAGCCCATATTAATGTATATTTCTTTAATCACTAGTAATAATAGGAAGTCTCCCACTATGACCTACTATGAATATGTGATGACCTACTGTGATGACCTTCTATTTGTTGTGTAACTTACTATCTGTTTCCTTTATCAATTAGCAAGGAGTGGTAGGTTACAAAAATGGGTACAAGTCTGCCCCTTCCCTGATTCCACACACTGTAGCGGTGCTCTCTTGCACTGACTCTGAGATTGGCACTGTGACTTGTTTGGCTCATGGAATAGTATCCAATGCAACACAAGCAGAAGCGTGAAAAAATGCATGTGCACTGGGGTTTGCCCTCAGGCTGTGCTTATGCCACATAGGAACAAGCATGGACTAGAGTTTCAGATGATGAGAGCAAGTGTCCCCATTGCACTAGCCAATAGCTGGCCACCTTTTAGAGGCAGAAACACCTAACTGACCCCAGAGGCCTGAAGAAGCCAGCACAGATCAGAAGGATCACTGAGTCCAACCCATGGATTCATGTGCCAAATAAATGCTTGTCGTTTAAACCATGACATTTTGAGTACTGATTTCATATGTATATTATTTATTTTTTTATTTGTAAAGACTGAAAACAACAAAAACATCTAAAACCACAGTTTCTGGGAGAACGACTTGTTCTTGCCCATCTGGTACCTCTCTTTGGACTTCACCTTGGCTCCCACTGGCCTTGCATTTAAGAGCAGGGTCTCTGAGGGTAT
Organism: Homo sapiens; assembly: GCF_000001405.40. NCBI lineage: Eukaryota > Metazoa > Chordata > Mammalia > Primates > Hominidae > Homo > Homo sapiens. The sequence continues at coordinate 206,922,838 of NC_000002.12, read as the reverse complement.
CCTTGTTGATGACAGTTTTTGTCCAAGGGAATATCCACAGAGCATCTTGTGGGCATGAAGTGATTGTGATTATAAACTTTCACAAAAGACTTGATCCTTGACCGCTTGAAGATTTTCTTCTTACCCAAGGCAGTTGTCCTGTCTCCTCCACAGTTCTGCTTTCTTCTGTAGTCACTTATGTCATTCTAATCCTTCTCTACCTGACTGCAAACTGCTTGACAGCAGGAACAGTATATATTTTCCATTTGTTCAGTGTCTTTCACAGAGTATTGTTCAGTACCTATTTGTTAGAATGATGTGAAGTTCAATTATCCCAGAAAAAATTAGTTCTTGATGCAGTCTTCCTGAACCTCTGAGTGTTCCCCACTTATTTGAAAACTTATGGAATTTTCAAATCTGTGCAAATCTTGTTTCCCTGCCTGGTATTATCTAAATAGAATATCTGCAAAATGGAAAGCAGAAGTCTTTGGTAGCTCAAAAAAAGATCATAAAACAGACATGTAAATTTAACTGACTAACATGTCAGTAGAAATAGGTTTTAGTTACCAGTAAAATAAAGAACTCAAGACTTGGAGACTGTTTCCAGGTTTGTGCCAGCCAGCTGGGCAGTACCCCCATGTGCTCGGTTCAGGGTCCACAAAGATGACTTGGGTATGGTCTGTGCTTTGAAAACCAGGGTAATAATAGTGACCAAAAGCTATGACAGTTGCAAAGTTTAACCACATGATTATGCAAATTTCATTTTATCTACTTTGAAGAAAAATTATCTGTACAAATTGAATGTCAATATTGTGGTTTAGAAGTAAAGTTCTAATATCTGTTTTCTTCTCTCACTCACAAATCTATTTTCAACTAGAATCTATTTGTTGTTTAAATGCTTTTCCCCTCCTTACCCTTAATGATGGGAGGTTCCCACTGGATTGCGAGGAATTCACCGAAAAGTAGAGCTTAGAGACCAGGAGACATTTGGACTGCCAAGGTCATATCCCAGCCCTGCTTCAATCCTCATTTTTCTCATAAGCACTCCGCTCCCATGGCCTCACCCCAAATGTTTCCTTCATCTGGATGTGTGCCACCTCTCAAATCCTACTCAACCCAGCCCTCATGGTGCACTGTGTCAGCAAGACTCTCGCCAGCACCCTTAACATCTTCACCCTGTGCCACATCCACCCTGCAAACCTTCTAACCACCTTGGATCATTTACACCATCTGCCTCCTTTGCTTCTCTACCCAGGCTTCTGAGAGAAATAGAAGAATCTCACAATGATGACAATGCTAATGTTTATTCAGCCAGTATTTATCGAGCATCCACTGTGCACTGGAAACAGCAGAAGAAATTGCTAGACTCAGAGCAATACACAAAAAATAAGAGGGAGGTTCTCTTCCTTCTCAGAGCATATAGTCTGATGGGGTGGGGTGGTGAGGTGGAGTTCAACAGTTACCCCATAATGTGATAAGCATTATCAGGATGGAAGAGCACAGTGCCCTGGAAGCCCAAAGGAGGGCTTCTAAATCAGAGACTTAGGAAGACAGAGAAGTCTTTGCCACTTCAAATTCATGGCCTTCAACTTCACTGGGATACTTGGCGCCATTCAGCAATCCTTTCTTTGTCTAGTCAGCTCCACCTCAATTCCCCCAACGATGGTCAAACCTTCATTGCTCTCAAGAGCTCCACCCATTCTTAACTTACTCATCTCTCAGCAGATGACACAGCCTCTGACTGTATTGAGGAAGTCCAATGCATATTTAAAAATCCACCTTTACTTCAACTCCTCCCCTCCTGACTTAGAAGAGAAGGTGCACTGCTTTTGACCCTATCTTTCTACCATCACCCCCAATTCATCTTGAGATCAGGACCCTGACAAATTGGTTTATTTTCTTCCTTGCTTATATTTCCTTATATTCAAGCTCTTCCTCCTAACTATTCAATCCCCAGCTAATAAACATATAAACCTGTCTTATACAAAAGGTAAACTATAAATAAATAGAACAACCCAAATATTTTCAGGTTTCACCAGCTTCCAGATTAAATCTAAATTGTAACCGGCTAAAAAAAAATTACCAGTTTACAAATGTTCTCTAGCATCTTGCAGATAATTCTAACCTAACCTCCACCCACTCCTGCCTCCAGGTATGCCTAGGATTCCCAAAGGAAAGGGAGGTCTCACACGTGTTCATGAAAAAGCTGTGTTCATTTGTTGCTGTGCTGCTTTGCTAGTGACCTTCCTCTTCCAGCCCACCCTTAGCTCAGCCATGTTAAGGTTCCATCGCACACCACTAGAGAGCTACTGGCACCGCTGCCTTCAGCTCAGCAGCCTCTGAAGATTCCAGCTGAGTCAGCAATATGCCTAAGTGCTGGCCTCATCCTCAGCTGAGGTAGGGTTTCAAGCTAGCATGCAGAATCTGCTGATGGCTGTGGCCACCAGTGTTCTCAATGTAATGGTGCTAGCATCTACTGATCTGCACCCTTGTGGTGCCTGGACAAGTGGGATTTGCAGACAGAAGGGAAGGTAATGATTCCTATCACTTTGCCTTAATCTTCATTAGAAGACCAACAACAAGCATGCCCTCAACAGGCCTGATACCTTGCCACAGGGGGCTCTGTGCAGTTATTTTCTGTGTGAACAATACACCCCAAACACAACTCCGTGTTTCTCTCTCTCAGGGGCTGTCCTGTCTAATAATCTAGTCTCTGCTTACCCGCCTCAAACTAAACCCCACCTGACAGACATGTCTAGCTATGTCTGAACCTCCATCATGGATACAGCTCAAGGTTTCCCAGGAAGATCGTCAGCATCCTATGAATCCCAGCAGTTTAGGAGGCTGAGGCAGACAGATCATTTGAGGTCAGGAGTTTGAGACCCGCCTGGCCAACATGATGAAACCCTATCTCTAATAAAAAAACAAAAATTAGCCATACGTGGTAGTTTGCACTTGTAATCCCAGCTACTTGGGAGGCTGAGGCAGGAGAATCACTTGAAGCTGAGAGATGGAGGTTGCAGTGAGCCAAGATCGCACCACTGCACTCCAACCTGGGTGACAGAGCGAGACTCCATCTCAAAAAAAAAAAAAAAAAAAGAACAGGCCTTGGAATGGGTGTCAACTGATTACCTGGGGGGAAGAAGGATGTTGCAAGTCAGTATAATAGGCTTATGCAAATCATGCAATAGCCATGACCCTGCTACAAAAAATGAAACATCATTTCTCAGTCTTGCAGCTCATACTAGCTCATCTCCTCACATTTGCCCTTCACAGCCAAGCCCCTTGCTTGAAAGTCAGTCAGCTATAATCTTTATTTCCTTGCTGTACACTCATTTTTAAATTTAATATTATCTTCTTTTAAAATATAGTTGTATATTCACTTGGTTTAAAATTCACAAAGTACAAAAAGCTATTCCTGGCTACCAAATGTCCCTCCTCAGATGCAACCAGTTTCCTGTGTATCCTATCAGAGATGTCTTATTAAACACAAGCAAAAGCCTTTTTAAAAATAGCAATACCATCCTGTATGTACACACCACACTCTTCCTTTTTTCCCTTAACACTATAGGGATCATTTTATATCAACAGATGAAGAGCATCCTTGTCCTTTTGGGGTGGGGGGAGCTGTGGAATATTCTCTTGCATAGTTGTACCATAAGTTATTTAACTAGTCCCATATTGCTGAACTTTAGGTTGTTTTTAATTTTTTGTGGTTGCAAATATAGCTGGATTCTTTTTTTGAGATGGACCTACATGGTTCATGGATTTTTTTTTAATGCAATTTCCACTGAGACACAAAGATGTTACATTCCAAAGTAAGGTGGAACATCATATAATTTCTAAAGATGAAAAACCAATTTTGTGACTCTTAAGTTTCTCACTCATAGAGTCTAGAGATGGGGTGGGAGTTGGAGGTTAGGAAGCATTATGGAGAGTAGATTCTATAGGTTTTGAATCCTATCTCCCTATGATGGAGCACTGGACATTCTTAAACTGCATTTCATGACTAAGGAAAAGGCTTCAAGATGATTGCCCAGGGAGTTTCATATGTGGTCCCTAGAAGTAGGGGATAACGTATTAAATCCACCTAGAAAAGCTAAAGGGTAAGGGATATCTGGCTAGTTGCTTGGAGGGTAAAGAGAGGCAGCTGCAGGGGAGCCTGTGCTCTCAGAGTTGATTAGGACAAAGAATGTATATGTATTTCCTTGGGACTACATGAGGACCCCAAGCAAGGGCAGTGTGAAATGTCTTGGGTTTTGTTTAAGAGGAATACTTGGGAGAAAAAAGTCTCAGCAGAACTGCAGCTGAAGTCACTAGCAGATGCACAGATGCATAAGGGCTGAGGAAGCATAAAAGGCCAGTTGTCATGGAGATGGATGTATCTTCATGAAGGGAATGTCAGGTGAGAGATTCCCTGGCAGTGCGGGGAGAGAGATCTAGGTCTTTAAGAAACCATGAAAGATCTCAAAAAGGAGGTGGGTTAAAAAAAAAAAATCTATCACAGCCAGAATAGGTGTCGATCAATTAGGTATTTCCTGCTTCCTTGCTTCTTCCTGTTCCCAGTATTCCCCCCTAGAGGGATCTGGAAGCAGATTAGAAAGACAGGAGGACAGAGAAAAGCACTGGAGGGGCGAGAGGGGAGCCAGTGTTGCCCTCCTCCCTCAGTGCTGGTGTTCAGCCTGCAATAGGCTGGACCTGAGAAAAGAGAGAAAGTTAAATGAAACTTAAAGTATTTATGATGGTATTGGAGTGAACATTTGAACAGCTGACAATAAGACCTTTTTATTAAACTGAAAATGATTAGAAAAGCCATGGGGCTTATATTACCTTTCATCGAGGGACTGAGTTCCACAAATAAATTGAGAGAGACGTCGGGGTACTTCCACTTTTTTTAAAGGTGTGGAAAGTCACAAGATACTGTTGCTTTCATCTTAGCAACAAGGACACTCAAAAGAAGTTATGAAATCATAGTTGTGGATTTTTTTTTATTTTTTAAATCTGTCAGAGAGCTGAGGATACATAGAAACCTAAATGAACTAAGTCACAAGCCCTTTCAAGGAGAAAAGAGATGCATGGTTGTGTTCATTCCTGGCAGAGTGGTGAGAGAAGGAAAATTCGATGTAGACAGGGGTATGGGAAAACCAGGCAAATCAAACTTTTAATGGTAACATGTAGACTGACATAGTAAATTTGAAATCCAAGGGTCTCTAATCACAGAGCAAGTCTACACCAATTTAGGAACTCTTTCCCACAGTCCTTCACTAAGTTCATTGGGTTAATACTTAGAAGACTGAGGACAGAGCAGGAGAAGTGAGAAAAATTCACCTCTGAAGATTTGCAGGGAAGAATGAGGAGCAGCTGAAATGGTAAATAAGCTATATATATATATATATATATAGAGAGAGAGAGAGAGAGAGAGAGAGAGAGGAAGAGAGAGAGAGAGATTTTCTAAAGCAAAAGGTAGCAATGTGTTTTGGGCCTTATAGCAAATGTAGAAGTAAAATTTATAACCACCAGAAGACAAAGGGTAAGGTGGGAGCTGAAAAGCCTCTTTATATCATTGTAGGGTTCTTTATACTGTGTGTAATATAATTAAATATTGTTGAAAGTAGACTGTGTTAAGGATGCATATTGTAATATCTAAAGCAAACATTCAAAAAAGTACAACTAAAAAGTCAATTGAGGAGAGGAGGAGAAAATTTTAAATAAAAAATCATACTCAATCACCCAACAAAAGTCATCAAAGAGGGAACAAAAAAATCCAAAGAGTAAATGGGAGAATCAGAAACCACAGCAACATGGCAGACTTAGACCCCACCATACCATTAATTATATTAATTTTAAATTAACTAAATACTCCCTTAAAAGTCAAAATTACTAGGTATGATTAAAAATTTAAGACCCAACTCTATGCTGTTTGCAAGAAATCTACTTTAAATATAAAGACAGGTGAAAAGTTAAAATGTACTATAAGATAAAACATATATAGGATAAAATATGCAAATACTAAGAAGAGCTGTGTGGCTACAGTAATATCAGATAAAGTAGATTTCAAGATCAATAATGTTACCAGAATTAAACAGGGACCTTACTTAATGATAAAACGTTTAAGTCTTCAAGAAGATATCACAATTCTCTAAATGTGCATGTGCCTGATTACAGAGTTTCAAATACGTGGAGCAAAAGCTAAGAGAATAAAAGGAAGAAATAGAAAAATCCACAAAGTTGTAAATTTTAAAACCCATCTTTCAGTAATAGATAAAACAAATAGACCAAATCAATAAGAATATAGAAGGTGTGAAAACTGCTATTAGCCCCATTACTATTTGATAGTTTAGAAAAATACCCAACACTTACATCCAAAAAGATACATTCTTTTCAAATGCACAAGGAGCATTTGCTAGGGTAGATGTACAGCATATGTCCTCTGTCCAAAATAATATTAAATTAGCAATTGTTCATCATAAGACATCTCAAAAATCTTCAAATATTTGGAAAGTTAGCTACACATGTCTAAATAACCCCTGGGTAAAATAAGAATTTAAAAGGCAATTAGAAAGTATTCTCAACCAAATGATATTGAAAATCCAACATATCAAAATTTGGAGATGCATTAAAGCAATTTTAGAGGGCAATTTATTACTTTAAATGCCTGTATTAGAAAATAAGAATGCCATAATCAAATTAATAATGTAAGTTTGCCAATTAAGCTAGAATAAGAAAATTAAACCCAAGATAAATACAAGAAAGGAAATATTAGAGCAGAAATTAATGAAATAAAGCACAGACAAAAATAGAGAAAGTTAAGTCAAAAGATGTCATTTAAAAAAATAAAATTGATGACCAGACATGGTGACTCATGCCTGTAATCTCAGCACTTTGGGAGGCCAAGATGGGCAGATCATTTGAGGTCAGGAGTTTGAGACCAGCCTGGCCAACATGGTGAAATCCCATCTCTACTGAAAATACAAAAATTAGCCAGGTATGGTGGCACACGTCTGTAATCCCAGCTACTGGGGAGACTGAGGCAGAAGAATCACTTGAACCCAGGAGGCGGAGGTTGCAATGAGCCAAGATCTTACCACTGCACTCCAGCCTGGGCAACGGAGTGAGACTCTTGTCTCAAAAATAATAATAATTAAATAATTAAAAACTAATAAAATTGATAAACCTCTAGCAAGACTGATCAAAGGACTCACATGCGCACAGAGAGAAAGAGAGAGAGGGAAAAAAAAAACCCCAATCAACAATAATATAAATGAAAGCAGCAACTTCACTACAGAGCTGTAGACATTTAAAAGAGAATAAAGCATATGATAATCAACCTATGCCAATTGTCAGGAACTGTGAAGGATCTTAAATTGTCAAGAACTATGATTATTTCACTCTATTTGCAAGCTTACAAGTTAGCCTGCCAGACTTATGTATGTTGGCAGAAGATATGAGACTCCTGGGTCACAGACTAAGGCCTTTATTACTCATGGCACAGCAAGCCACATGAGCTTCACGCTTGAGTCAGTTCCTCTTTAATCCTCCCTTCCATAGGGTGACACAAGCAGTTCAGATGAGTGTTGTGCACACAGCTGGTTTGTGTCAGAGATGAGAAATCTCAAGGCTTAGATAAGAAGCTGTAAGCAAACCTGCCTGAAGTTTGCCCCAGAAGGAGACATTATCTTTATTTTACTGGACAGCAAACAAACCTGCCTTCTACTCTAGAAAGAGAAACTATTTGTGTCTTTCTAGAGTACTCTCCATAGAAAAATCTTGAAAAGATAGTCTGAAACAAAAGCTGTTGGTGTCTCTGCTCAAGATGCGCAGAAATACAACAGACCCATGGAGAATTGTCTCCCAATACCAATTGGTGAATTGGACAGGCTCCTTGAAGAAAAACAACTTATGAAAACTGACACAAAAGATATAAGGTTAAATAACTCAATATCTAGTAAATTGAATTTGCAATCAAAACATTCCTACAAAGAAATTTCAAATTTTGGGGGTTTATTTAATCAAAAATAGAAGAAAACTCTTTCAGAAAATAGGAGTAAAAATTGTCCATTTTTTATGATGCTAGCATAACCCCAATAACAATACTTAACAACATTTTTTTTTTTTTTTTTTTTAGACGGGGTTTTGCTCTTATTGCCCAGGCTGGAGTGCAATGGTGAGATCTTGGCATAGACCAACATCCAATATGAACGTAGATTCAAATAAACAATTTTTTAATTTTTAATTTTGAGGGTACATAGTAAGTGTATATATTTATGGGGTACATGAGATGTTTTGGTACAGGCTTGCAGTGCATAAAAATCACATCATGGAGAATGTGGTCTCCATTCCCTCAAGCATTTATCCTTTGTGTTACAAACAATTCAGTTACACTCTGTTAGTTATCTTTAAATGTACAAATAAATTATTATTGACTATAGTCACCCTGTTGTGCTATCACATAGTAGGTCTTATTCATTCTTTCTATTTTTTGTACCCATGAACAATCCCCACCTCCTCCTCACCTCCAGCTATCTTTTCCGGCCTCTGATAACCATCCTTCTACTCTCTATGTCCATGAGTTCAATTGTTTTGATTTGTAGATCTCACAAATAAGTGAGAACGTGCAATGTTTATCTTTCTGTGCCTGGCTTATTTCACTTAACATAATGATCTCCAGTTCCATCCATGTAGTTGCAAAGGGCAGAATCTCATTCTTTTTTATGGCTGAATAGTACTCACTTATTTCACTTAATATAATGATCTCCAGTTCCATCCATGTTGTTGCAAAGGGCAGAATCTCATTCTTTTTTTTTTTCTTTTTTTTTTTATTATACTTTAAGTTTTAGGGTACATGTGCACATTGTGCAGGTTAGTTACATATGTATACATGTGCCATGCTGGTGCGCTGCACCCACTAACTTGTCATCTAGCATTAGGTATATCTCCCGATGCTATCCCTCCCCCCTCCCCCGACCCCACCACAGTCCCCAGAGTGTGATATTCCCCTTCCTGTGTCCATGTGATCTCATTGTTCAATTCCCACCTATGAGTGAGAATATGCGGTGTTTGGTTTTTTGTTCTTGCGATAGTTTACTGAGAATGATGATTTCCAATTTCATCCATGTCCCTACAAAGGACATGAACTCATCATTTTTTATGGCTGCATAGTATTCCATGGTATATATGTGCCACATTTTCTTAATCCAGTCTATCATTGCTGGACATTTGGGTTGGTTCCAAGTCTTTGCTATTGTGAATAGTGCCACAATAAACATACGTGTGCATGTGTCTTTATAGCAGCATGATTTATAGTCCTTTGGGTATATACCCAGTAATGGGATGGCTGGGTCAAATGGTATTTCTAGTTCTAGATCCCTGAGGAATCACCACACTGACTTCCACAATGGTTGAACTAGTTTACAGTCCCACCAACAGTGTCAAAGTGGTCCTATTTCTCCACATCCTCTCCAGCACTTGTTGTTTCTTGACTTTTTAATGGTTGCCATTCTAACTGGTGTGAGATGGTATCTCATTGTGGTTTTGATTTGCGTTTCTCTGATGGCCAGTGATGAGCATTTTTTCATGTGTTTTTTGGCTGCATAAATGTCTTCTTTTGAGAAGTGTCTGTTCATGTCCTTCGCCCACTTTTTGATGGGGTTGTTTGTTTTTTTCTTGTAAATTTGTTTGAGTTCATTGTAGATTCTGGATATTAGCCCTTTGTCAGATGAGTAGGTTGCAAAAATTTTCTCCCATTTTGTAGGCTGCCTGTTCAGTCTGATGGTAGTTTCTTTTGCTGTGCAGAAGCTCTTTAGTTTAATTAGATCCCATTTGTCAATTTTGTCTTTTGTTGCCATTGCTTTTGGTGTTTTGGACATGAAGTCCTTGCCCATGCCTATGTCCTGAATGGTAATGCCTAGGTTTTCTTCTAGGGTTTTTATGGTTTTAGGTCTAACGTTTAAGTCTTTAATCCATCTTGAATTGATTTTTGTATAAGGTGTAAGGAAGGGATCCAGTTTCAGCTTTCTACATATGGCTAGCCAGTTTTCCCAGCACCATTTATTAAATAGGGAATCCTTTCCCCATTGCTTGTTTTTCTCAGGTTTGTCAAAGATCAGATAGTTGTAGATATGTGGCATTATTTCTGAGGGCTCTGTTCTGTTCCATTGATCTATATCTCTGTTTTGGTACCAGTACCATGCTGTTTTGGTTACTGTAGCCTTGTAGTATAGTTTGAAGTCAGGTAGTGTGATGCCTCCAGCTTTGTTCTTTTGGCTTAGGATTGACTTGGCGATGCGGGCTCTTTTTTGGTTCCATATGAACTTTAAAGTAGTTTTTTCCAATTCTGTGAAGAAAGTCATTGGTAGCTTGATGGGGATGGCATTGAATCTGTAAATTACCTTGGGCAGTATGGCCATTTTCATGATATTGATTCTTCCTACCCATGAGCATGGAATGTTCTTCCATTTGTTTGTATCCTCTTTTATTTCCTTGAGCAGTGGTTTGTAGTTCTCCTTGAAGAGGTCCTTCACATCCCTTGTAAGTTGGATTCCTAGGTATTTTATTCTCTTTGAAGCAATTGTGAATGGGAGTTCACTCATGATTTGGCCCTCTGTCTGTCTGTTGTTGGTGTATAAGAATGCTTGTGATTTTTGTACATTGATTTTGTATCCTGAGACTTTGCTGAAGTTGCTTATCAGCTTAAGGAGATTTTGGGCTGAGACAATGGGGTTTTCTAGATACACAATCATGTCATCTGCAAACAGGGACAATTTGACTTCCTCTTTTCCTAATTGAATACCCTTTATTTCCTTCTCCTGCCTAATTGCCCTGGCCAGAACCTCCAACACTATGTTGAATAGGAGTGGTGAGAGAGGGCATCCTTGTCTTGTGCCAGTTTTCAAAGGGAATGCTTCCAGTTTTTGCCCATTCAGTATGATATTGGCTGTGGGTTTGTCATAGATAGCTCTTATTATTTTGAAATACGTCCCATCAATACCTAATTTATTGAGAGTTTTTAGCATGAAGCGTTGTTGAATTTTGTCAAAGGCTTTTTCTGCATCTATTGAGATAATCATGTGGTTTTTGTCTTTGGCTCTGTTTATATGCTGGATTACATTTATTGATTTGCGTATATTGAACCAGCCTTGCATCCCAGGGATGAAGCCCACTTGATCATGGTGGATAAGCTTTTTGATGTGCTGCTGGATTCGTTTTGCCAGTATTTTATTGAGGATTCTTGCATCAATGTTCATCAAGGATATTGGTCTAAAATTCTCTTTTTTGGTTGTGTCTCTGCCCAGCTTTGGTATCAGAATGATGCTGGCCTCATAAAATGAGTTAGGGAGGATTCCCTCTTTTTCTATTGATTGGAATAGTTTCAGAAGGAATGGTACCAGTTCCTCCTTGTACCTCTGATAGAATTCGGCTGTGAATCCATCTGGTCCTGGACTCTTTTTGGTTAGTAAACTATTGATTATTGCCACAATTTCAGCTCCTGTTATTGGTCTATTCAGAGATTCAACTTCTTCCTGGTTTAGTCTTGGGAGAGTGTATGTGTCGAGGAATTTATCCATTTCTTCTAGATTTTCTAGTTTATTTGCATAGAGGTGTTTGTAGTATGCTCTGATGGTAGTTTGTATTTCTGTGGGATCGGTGGTGATATCCCCTTTATCATTTTTTATTGCGTCTATTTGATTCTTCTCTCTTTTTTTCTTTATTAGTCTTGCTAGCGGTCTATCAATTTTGTTGATCCTTTCAAAAAACCAGCTCCTGGATTAATTAATTTTTTGAATGGTTTTTTGTGTCTCTATTTCCTTCAGTTCTGCTCTGATTTTAGTTATTTCTTGCCTTCTGCTAGCTTTTGAATGTGTTTGCTCTTGCTTTTCTAGTTCTTTTAATTGTGATGTTAGGTGTCAATTTTGGATCTTTCCTGCTTTCTCTTGTGGGCATTTAGTGCTATAAATTTCCCTCTACACACTGCTTTGAATGCGTCCCAGATATTCTGGTATGTTGTGTCTTTGTTCTCGTTGGTTTCAAAGAACATCTTTATTTCTGCCTTCATTTCATTATGTATCCAGTAGTCATTCAGGAGCAGGTTGTTCAGTTTCCATGTAGTTGAGTGGTTTTGAGTGAGATTCTTAATCCTGAGTTCTAGTTTGATTGCACTGTGGTCTGAGAGATAGTTTGTTATAATCTCTGTTCTTTTACATTTGCTGAGGAGAGCTTTACTTCCAAGTATGTGGTCAATTTTGGAATAGGTGTGGTGTGGTGCTGAAAAAAATGTATATTCTGTTGATTTGGGGTGGAGAGTTCTGTAGATGTCTATTAGGTCCGCTTGGTGCAGAGCTGAGTTCAATTCCTGGGTATCCTTGTTGACTTTCTGTCTTGTTGATCTGTCTAATGTTGACAGTGGGGTGTTAAAGCCTCCCATTATTAATGTGTGGGAGTCTAAGTCTCTTTGTAGGTCACTCAGGACTTGCTTTATGAATCTGGGTGCTCCTGTATTGGGTGCCTATATATTTAGGATAGTTAGCTCTTCTTGTTGAATTGATCCCTTTACCATTATGTAATGGCCTTCTTTGTCTCTTTTGATCTTTGTTGGTTTAAAGTCTGTTTCATCAGAGACTAGGATTGCAACCCCTGCCTTTTTTTGTTTTCCATTTGCTTGGTAGATCTTCCTCCATCCTTTTATTTTGAGCCTATGTGTGTCTCTGCACGTGAGATGGGTTTCCTGAATACAGCACACTGATGGGTCTTGACTCTTTATCCAATTTGCCAGTCTGTGTCTTTTAATTGGAGCATTTAGTCCATTTACATTTAAAGTTAATATTGTTATGTGTGAATTTGATCCTGTCATTATGATGTTAGCTGGTGATTTTGCTCATTAGTTGATGCAGTTTCTTCCTAGTCTCAATGGTCTTTACATTTTGGCATGATTTTGCAGCGGCTGGTACCGGTTGTTCCTTTCCATGTTTAGCGCTTCCTTCAGGAGCTCTTTTAGGGCAGGCCTGGTGGTGACAAAATCTCCCAGCATTTGCTTGTTTGTAAAGTATTTTATTTCTCCTTCACTTATGAAGCTTAGTTTGGCTGGATATGAAATTCTGGGTTGAAAATTCTTTTCTTTAAGAATGTTGAATATTGGCCCCCACTCTCTTCTGGCTTGTAGGGTTTCTGCCAAGAGATCTGCTGTTAGTCTGATGGGCTTCCCTTTGAGGGTAACCCGACCTTTCTCTCTGGCTGCCCTTAACATTTTTTCCTTCATTTCAACTTTGGTGAATCTGACAATTATGTGTCTTGGAGTTGCTCTTCTCGAGGAGTATCTTTGTGGCGTTCTCTGTATTTCCTGAATCTGAGCGTTGGCCTGCCTTGCTAGATTGGGGAAGTTCTCCTGGATAATCTCCTGCAGAGTGTTTTCCAGCTTGGTTCCATTCTCCCCATCACTTTCAGGTACACCAATCAGACATAGATTTGGTCTTTTCACATAGTCCCATATTTCTTGGAGGCTTTGCTCATTTCTTTTTATTCTTTTTTCTCTAAACTTCCCTTCTCACTTCATTTCATTCATTTCATCTTCCATTGCTGATACCCTTTCTTCCAGTTGATTGCATCGGCTCCTGAGGCTTCTGCATTCTTCACGTAGTTCTCGAGCCTTGGTTTTCAGCTCCATCAGCTCCTTTAAGCACTTTTCTGTATTGGTTATTCTAGTTATACATTCTTCTAAATTTTTTTCAAAGTTTTCAACTTCTTTGCCTTTGGTTTGAATGTCCTCCCATAGCTCGGAGTAATTTGATCGTCTGAAGCCTTCTTCTCTCAGCTCGTCAAAGTCATTCTCCATCCAGCTTTGTTCCGTTGCTGGTGAGGAACTGCGTTCCTTTGGTGGAGGAGAGGCGCTCTGCGTTTTAGAGTTTCCAGTTTTTCTGTTCTGTTTTTCCCCCATCTTTGTGTTTTATCTACTTTTGGTCTTTGATGATGGTGATGTAAAGATGGGTTTTTGGTGTGGATGTCCTTTCTGTTTGTTAGTTTTCCTTCTAACAAACAGACAGGACCCTCAGCTGCAGGTCTGTTGGAATACCCTGCTGTGTGAGGTGTCAGTGTGCCCCTGCTGGGGGGTGCCTCCCAGTTAGGCTGCTCGGTGGTCAGGGGTCAGGGACCCACTTGAGGAGGCAGTCTGCCCATTCTCAGATCTCCAACTGTGTGCTGGGAGAACCACTGCTCTCTTCAAAGCTGTCAGACAGGGACATTTAAGTCTGCAGAGGTTACTGCTGTCTTTTTGTTTGTCTGTGCCCTGCCACCAGAGGTGGAGCCTGCAGAGGCAGGCAGGCCTCCTTGAGCTGTGTTGGGCTCCACCCAGTTCGAGCTTCCCGGCTGCTTTGTTTACCTAAGCAAGCCTGGGCAATGGCGGGCGCCCCTTCCCCAGCCTTGCTGCCGCCTTGCAGTTTGATCTCAGACTGCTGTGCTAGCAATCAGTGAGACTCCGTGGGCGTAGGACCCTCCGAGCCAGGTGTGGGATATAATCTCGTGGTGCGCTGTTTTTTAAGCTGGTCCGAAAGGTGCAATATTCGGGTGGGAGTGACCCGATTTTCCAGGTGTGTCTGTCACCCCTTTCTTTGACTTGGAAAGGGAACTCCCTGACCCCTTGCGCTTCCCAAGTGACGCAATGCCTCGCCCTGCTTCGGCTCGTGCATGGTTTGCACACCCACTGACCTGCGCCCACTGTCTGGCACTCCCTAGTGAGATGAACCTGGTACCTCAGATGGAAATGCAGAAATCACCCGTCTTCTGCATCGCTCACGCTGGGAGCTGTAGACCGGAGCTGTTCCTATTCGGCCATCTTCATCTCATTCTTTTTTATGGCTGAATAGTAGTACTCCATTGTGTATATACCACATTTTCTTTATCCACTTATCTGCTAATGGACATTTAGGTTGTTTCCAAATCTTGGCTATTGTGAACAGTGCTGCAACAAACGTGGGAGTGCAAATATCTCTCAGATATACTGAGTTCTTTTCTTTTGGGCATATGTCCCACAGGGGGATTGCTGGATCCTATGGTAGCTCTATTTTTAGTTTCTTGAGGAACATCCAAACTGTACTCCATAATGGTTATACTAAATAAACTTTTTAAAAATTAGCAAGTTGAATACAGAAATACCTAAAAAGCATGACCAAGTTCATGTTATTCCCAGAATATAGTTAGGTTATTATTTGAAAAATCAACCAGCAATTGGCAATAATAGAATAATTTAAAAATATGAATATCTGGATAAATGCAAAAAAGGAATTTGACAAAATTCCTTGTCTATTCATGATAAAAATTCTCAGCAAATGAGGAACAGAAGGGCACTTTTTCAATGTGATAAAGATCATATATGGAAAACCAATAGCTATATTATATATCACAAAATGATGGATACATTTCCTCTGGGATATGGGAAAATGTACACTCTTATCACTTCTATTAAACATTGTACTGCAATCTAGTCTAGTGAAATAAGAAAAGAGAAAGAAGCAAAAAGTTTGGAGAGGAAAATGTAAAACTGTCACTATATGTAAACTACAGGATTGCATGCCTGGTTTTGCATTGAAAATACTCATTATAATTCACCAAAAACTGCTAGAACTGACAAGTGAATTTGCAAGGTAGTATGATACATGTTCAATGTGCAAATCTACCGTATTTCTATATACTATCACTAAGCAATTGGAAAATGAAATTATTTTAAAATGCTATTTACAATAGCATTTTAAAACTAAATAACTGGAAGTTAAACTAAAGGAAGACATACAAGACCTACATATTGAAAATTACCAAAGATTGCTGAAAAAATTAAAGAAAACACAAATACATTGGGAGATATATGACTTACACATTGAAAATTACAAAAGATTGCTGAAAAATATTAAAGAAAACATAAATACACTGGCAGATACATATGGCATTCATTAATTGAATAGTTTAATATTAAGATGTTCGTTCTCCCCAAATTTATCCATAGATTTAATATACAAACAAATTTAGCAAAGTTAGTTGAAGACATTTAAACTGATCCTAACAATTTTCTGAAAATGCTAATGATCTATAAGAGCAAAAACAATTTTGGAAATGAACAAGTTCAATAATTTGGAGGATTTACACTACACAATAGCAACAATTATTATAAAACTATAGTCATCAAGACTGTTTGATATTGCCATAAGAATTGATAAATAAATTAATAAAACATAATATAGACTAGAGGTATTGACTCACACAATTGACTTTTGACCAAGGCCCCAAGTCAGTTCAAGGTCTTTCAAGAAATGGTGGGAGAGAAACTAGATATCCATATGGAAAAATAAAACAAGGAATCTTGTCATGAGTTCTATAGTTCATCACCCCTACATCCCTCC
This sequence comes from Homo sapiens, assembly GCF_000001405.40. Taxonomy (NCBI): domain Eukaryota; kingdom Metazoa; phylum Chordata; class Mammalia; order Primates; family Hominidae; genus Homo; species Homo sapiens. Next base: position 206,906,480 of record NC_000002.12, on the reverse strand, counting down.
GACCCACCCGTACCCCATTCATTTGACCCCTCCTCCTGCCCTGTGACTCCTTTTCTCTTTTGCTAGCATGTTGGTGGCTGCTAATGGCTCACAACTGAGTACCTGTCTCCCCGGGAATTGTTCTGGCCAACCAATATCACAATCTCTCCCTGGTGGCAGCCCAAATCCTGTAACTGGTTGATGCAGAGGTTCAAATGCCCAGCTCTCTTGCATCATTTGGAATGATACTAAGGAGCTAGATAAAATATCAGGCTCCTCATAGGATTCACTGAGGCCCCTGTTGTACCACAGTTCCTCTGCACAATTCTGCTTTCTTCATCCCTCAAGAGTATTTTAGCTGTGAATACTCCTGCATGTAAGTCTGTTTCATGGATAACTCAATCTATAACAAACTTGACCCTTACCCCACTCCCTACCCAAAGAAATCATCTGAGATGGATTACTTGGACCTTGCGTGAAAGTTGGTAGTAACCAGGTAGTGGTTGCCATGGGCCTTGGATGAGACTCAGTGCTGTGCTGGCTTTGTGTCTGACCCAGCATAGTCCTATTGGTGATGGGCACAGGGTTGCTTGTGTCACCAGCCCCCCAGCTCCAGACATCTCAGCATGGAGAGAGGGACTGTTTTTTGCGCTAGAGTAAGGGAAGAGAACAAGAGTCTTAGCCTGGTAATTCAGGGAATTCTCCCAGATCTTACCCAAGGCACCTCTATGATTCTACAAGAGTCATAGTATTACTGGGCTTGGGGTATCTCCTAATGCAGATACAGCTGCAGTGACTAAAGATTTAGATCATAGCAGTCAATTCCCTTTGAATACTTGGAAAACCTTCCCAAGAAGGATGGGTACACAAACAAGGCCAGATTGTGAAGACCACAATAAATACCTAATTCTTCAATGCCTACACATTGACAAGGATCCACAAGCATCAAGACCATCCAGGAAAACATGACATCACCAAGCAAATTAAACAAGGCACCAATGACCAATCCTGGAGAAATCTTTCTGACAGAGAATTCAAAATAGCTGTCTCAGGCAACCTACAGAATGGGAGAGAATTTTTGCAATCTATCCATCTGACAAAAGGCTAATATCCAGAATCTACAAAGAACTTACACAAATTTACAAGAAAAAATCAAACAACCCCATCAAAAAATGGGCAAAGGATATAAGCAGACACTTCTCAAAAGAAGACATTTATGCAGCCAAAAAACACATGAAAAAATGCTCATCATCACCAGCCGTCAGAGAAATGCAAATCAAAACCACAATGAGATACCATCTCACACCAGTTAGAATGGCAATCATTAAAAAGTCAGGAAACAACAGGCGCTGGAGAGGGTGTGGAGAAATAGGAATACTTTTACACTGTTGGTGGGACTGTAAACTAGTTCAACCATTGTGGAAGACAGTGTGGCGATTCCTCAAGGATCTAGAACTAGAAATACCATTTGACCCAGCCATCCCATTACTGGGTATATACCCAAAGGATTATAAATCATGCTGCTATAAAGACACATGCACACGTATGTTTATTGCAGCACTATTCACAATAGCAAAAACTTGGAACCAATCCAAATGTCCAACAATGATAGACTGGATTAAGAAAATGTGGCACATATACACCATGGAATACTATACAGTCACAAAAAAGGATGAATGGTTCATGTCCTTTGTAGGGACACGGATGAAGCTGGAAACCATCATTCTGAGCAAACTATCGCAAGGACAGAAAACCAAACACTGAATGTTCTCACTCATAGGTGGGAATTGAACAATGAGAACACATGGACACAGGATGGGGAACGTCACCCACTGGGGTCTGTCATGGGGTGGGGGGTCTGGGGGAGGGATAGCATCAGGAGATATACCTACTGTAAATGACGAGTTAATGAGTGCAGCACACCAACATGGCACATGTATACCTATGTAACAAACCTGCACATTGTGCACATGTACCCTAGAACTTAAAGTATGATATTAAAAATAAATAGCTGTCTTGAGGAAGCTCAATGGAATTCAAGATAACACAGAGAAGGAATTCAGAATCCTATTAGAGAAATTTAACAGAGAAATTGAAATAATTTTAAAAATGCAGAAAATTTGGAGCTGAAAAATTCGATTAACATGCTAAAGAATGCATCAGAGTCTTTCAACAGTAGAATTGATCAAGCAGAAGAAAAAATTAGTGAGCTTGAAGATGGTGTATTTGAAAATATACAGTCCAAGGAGACAAATAAGAATAAAGAATAAAAAAGAATGCAGCACACCTACAAGATTTAGAAAATAGCCTAGCTATTGGCCTTATAGAATGCAGCACACCTACAAGATTTTGAAAATAGCCTAGCTATTGGCCTTATAGAGGAGGTAGAGGGAGAGATCAGGGTAGAAAATTTATTCAAAGGGATAATAACAAAGAACTTTCCAAAGCTAGAGAAACATATCAATATTCAAGTAAGAGAGTTATAGAAGAACATCAAGCAGATTTAACCCAAGAAGACTACCTCGAGGCATTTAATAATCAAACTCCCAAAGGTCAAGGATAAAGAAAGAATCTTAAAAGAAGGCAGTAAGAGAAAAGAAACAAATAACATACAAATGAGCTCCCACACATCTTGCAGCAGGCTTCTCAGGGAAACCTTACATGCCAGGAGAAAGTGACATAACATATTTAAAGTGTTGAAGGAAAAAACTTTCATCCTAGAATAGTACATCCAGTAAAAATAGACTTCAAACGTGAAAGAGAAATAAAGATTTTCCCAGGTAAACAAAAAGCTGAGGGACCTCATTAACACCAGACCTATGCTATAAGAAATGCTAAAGGGAGTTCTTCATTCTGAAAGAAAAGGGAGCAATAAGAAATTGTCTGAAGGTACAAAACTCACAGACAAACACAGAATATTATGACACTGCAATTGTAGTGTGTAAACTACTCATATCTTGTGTAGAAAGACTAAAAGATAAACCTATCAAAATAATAACTACAACAACTTTTCAAGACATAGCACAATAATATATAAATAAATAAAAAGTTAAAAAGGGGAATAAAATTAAATGTAGTGTTATTAGTTATCTCTGTGCTTGTTTGTTAATTTGTTTTTTTCTTTTTCAATCAGTGCTGTCATCACTTTAACATAATGGCTTATAACATGTTATTTGCAAGCTTAATGGTAACCTCAAATAAAAAAGCCTAAGACAGATACACAAAAAATAAAAAAACAAGAAATTAAAATATGCCACCAGAGAAAACCACCTTCACACAAAGGAAGACAGAAAGGAAAGAAGGAAGGAAGAGAAGACCACAAAACAACCAGAAAACAAATAGCAAAATGACACAAGGAAGTCCTTACTTATCAACAATAACATTTAATGTAAATGAGCTAAACTCTCCAAGAAAAAAACATAAAGTAGCTGAATGGATAAAAATAAAAAAACGAGACCCAGCTATCTGGTTTTTTTTGTTTGTTTGTTTGTTTTGGAGTTGAGTCTTGCTCAGTCGCCCAGGCTGGAGTGCAGTGGCATGATCTCAGCTCACTGCAAGCTCCGCCTCCTGGGTTCACGCCATTCTCCTGCCTCAGCCTCCTGAGTAGCTGGGACTACAGGCACCCGCCAACACGCCCAGCTAATTTTTTTGTATTTTTAGTAGAGACGGGGTTTCACTGTGTTAGCCAGGATGGTCTCGATCTCCTGACCTCATGATCCGCCCGCCTCAGCCTCCCAAAGTCCTGGGATTACAGGCATGAGCCACTGCACCCGGCCCCAGCTATCTGTTTTTTACAGGAAACATACTTCACCTATGAAGACGTAAATAAACTGAAAATAAATGGATGGAAAAGATATTCCATGCAAATGGAAACCAAAAGAGAGCAGGAGTAGCTATACTTACATCAGATAAAATAAATGTCAAGACAAAAACTATAAAAAGAGACAAAGAGAGTCATTATATAATGATAAAGGGGTCAATTCAGCAAGAGGATGTAATAATTGTAAGTATATGTGCACCTAACACTGGAGCACCTAGATATATCAAGCAAATATTATTAGAGTGAAAGAGAGAGATAGACCCCAATACAATAATAGCTGATGACTTTAACACCTCACTTTCAGCATTGGAAAGATCATCTAGACAGAAATCAACAAAGAAACATCAGACTTAATGTGCACTACAGAACAAATGGACCTAATAGATATTTACAGAATATTTCATCCAACGGCTGCAAAATATACATTCTTCTCCTTATCATATGGCTCATTCTCAAGGAGACCATATGTCAGGCCACAAAACAAATCTTACAAGTTTCAAAAAAGAAAAAATGAAACCATAATAAGTATCTTTTCTGACCACAATGGAATAAAACTAGAAATCAATAACAAGAGGAACTTTGGAAACTATACAAACATATGGAATTTAAACAATATGCTCCTAATGACCAGTGGGTCAATGAAGAAATTAAGAAGGAAGTTTAAAAATGTCTTGAAATAAATGAAAATGAAAACACAACATACCAAAACCTATGGGGTACAGCAAAAGCAGTACTAAGAGGAAAGTTTATAGCAATAAGCACCTAGATCAAAAGAGTAGAAAAACTTCAAATAAACAACTTATTGATGCAGCTTAAAGAACTAGAGCAAACCAGCCCAAAATTAGCATAAGAAAAGAAATAATACAAATCAGAGCAGAAATAAATGACATTGAAATAAAAAATACAAAACATAAATGAAACAAAAAGTTAGTTTTCTGAAAAGTTAAACAAAATTTGAGAGAAGACTCAAATAAAATCAGAGATAAAAAAGGAGCCATTACGACAGACACCACAGAAATTCAAAGGACCATTAGAGGCTAATATAAGCAACTATATGCCAATAAATTGGAAAACCTACAAGAAATGGAGAAACTCCTAGATGCATACAACCAACCTATCAAGATTGAACCATCACAAAATCCAAAGCCTGAATAGACCAATAACAAGTAATGACATTGAAGCTGTACTAAAAAGTCTCCCAGCAAAGAAAGGCTCAGGGCTCAATGGCTTTGCTGCTGAATTTTACAAAACATTTAAAGAAGAACTAATACCAGTTCTACTCAAACTACTCCAAAAAAATAGAGGAGGGAACACTACCAAACTTATTCTATGAGGACAGTGTTACCCTCCAAAACCAGACAAAGACACATTGAAAAATAAAAAGAAAACTAAAGGCCAATATCCCTGTTGAATATTGATGCAAAAATTCTCAACAAAATAGAAGCAAAAAATTCAACAACACATGAAAACAACATTCATCATAATCAAGTGGGCTTTATCTCAGGGATGCAAAGATAGTTCAATATACACAAATAAATCAATGTGATACATCAATTCAACAGAATAAAGGCCAAAACCATATGATCATTTCAACTGGTGCTGAAAAAGCATTTGATAAAATTCAACATTCATTCATGATAAAAGCCCCCCAAAAACTGGATATAGAAGGAACATACCTTAACATGATAAAAAACCATATACAACAGATCCATACTGAATGGGGAAAAACTGAAAGCCTTTCCTCTAAGATCTGGACCAAGACAAGGATGCCCACTTCTACCACTGTTATCAACATAGTACTGGAACTCCTAACTAGAGCAATTTGACAAGAGAAAGAAATAAAGGGCATCCAGACTGGAAAAGAAGAAGTCAAATTTTGCTTGTTTTCAGATGACATGGCTTATTTTTGGAAAAAACTAAAGAGTACCCTGAAAATCTATTACAGTGGATAAACAAATTCAGTAAAGTTGCAGGACACAAAATCAACATACAAAAATCAGTAACATTTCTATGTGCCAACAGTGAACAATTAGAAAAAAGAAATCAAGAAAGTAATCCCATTTATAGTGGCTACAAATAAAACAAGACACCTAGGAATATACTTAACTAAAGAAGTGAAAGATCTCTACAATGAAAATGTAAAACATGATGCAAGAAATTTAAGAGGACACCAAAAAGAAAAGGAAAGATATTCCATGATCATGGGTTGGAAGAATCAATATTGTTAAAATGGCTATACTACCTAAAGCAATCTACAGAATCAATGCAATTCCTATGAAAATACCAATGACATTCTTCACAGAAATAGAAAAGGTAATGCTGGCCCTCCTCCCAAGATGGCCAAACAGGAACAGCTACCAGTGATATCGATGTAGAAGACGGACGATTTCTGCATTTCCAACTGAGGTACCTGGTTCATCTCATTGGGACTGGTTGGACAGTGGGTGCAGCCCACAGAGGGTGAGCCAAAGCAGGGCAGGGCATTGCCTCACCCGGGAAGTGCAAGGGGTAGGGGGATTTCCCTTTCCTAGCCAAGGGAGGCCATGAGTGACTGTACCTGGAGGAGTGGTACACTCCTGCCCAAATACTGTGTTTTTCCCATGGTCTTCACAACTGGCAGACCAGGAGATCCCCTCCCATGCCTGGCTCAGCAGGTACCACACCCACGGAGCCTTGCTCACTGCTAGTGCAGCAGTCTGAGATCGATCTGGGATGCTGGAGCTTGGCAGGGGGAGGGGTGGCCACCATTGCTGAGGCTTGAGTAGGTGGTTCTATGCTCACAGTGTAAACAAAGCAGCAGGGAAGCTCTATCTGGGTGGAGCCCACCGTAGCTCAGCAAGGCCTACTGCCTCTCTAGATTCCACCTCTGGGGGCAGGACATACCTGAACAAAAGGCAGCAGACAGCTTCTACAGACTTAAACATCCTTGCCTGACAGCTCTGAAGAGAGCAGTGGTTCTCCCAGTACAGCATTCAAACTCCGATAATGGACAGACTGCATCCTCAAGTGGGTCCCTGACCCCCGTGTAGCCTGACTGGGAGACACCTCCCAGTAGGGGCTGACAGACACCTCATAGGTGGCTGCCCCTCTGGGATGAAGCTTCCAGAGAAAGGATCAGGCAGCAATATTTGCTGTTCTGCAGCATCTGCTGGTGACACCCAGGGTCTGGAGTGGACCTCCAGCAAACTCCAACAGATCTGCAGCTGAGGGGCCCATATGTCAGAAGGAAAACTAACAAACAGAAAAGAATAGCATCAATATCAACAAAAAGGACATCCACACCAAACCCCATCCTTAGGTCACCAACATCAAAGACCAAAGGTAGATAAAACCACAAAGATGGGGAGAAACCAGAGCAGAAAGGCTGAAAATTCCAAACACCAGAATGCCTCTTCTCCTCCAAAGGAACACAACTCCTCACCAGCAAGGGAACAAAACTGAATGGAGAATGAGTTTGACGAACTGACAGAAGTAGGCTTCAGAAGGTCGGGAATAACAAACTTCTCCAACTAAAGGAGCATATTCTAACCCATTGCAAGGAAGCCAAAAACCTTGAAAAAAGGTTAGATGAATGGCTAACTAGAATAATCAGTGTAGAGAAGAGCTTAAATGACCTGATGAGCTGAAAACCACAGTATGAGAACTTCGTAAAGCATACACAAGTTTCAGTAGCCAATTTGATCAAGCAGAAGAAAGGATATCAGTGATTGAAGATCAAAATAATGAAATAAAGTGAGATGACAAGATTGGAGAAAAAAGAGTAAAAAGAAATGAACAAAGCCTCCAAGAAATATGGGACTATGTGAAAAGATCAAATCTACGTTTGATTGGTGTACCTGAAAGTGACGGGGAGAATGGAACCAAGTGAGAAAACACTCTTCAGGATATTATCCAGAAAAACTTCCCCAACCTAGCAAGGCAGGCCAACATTCAAATTCAGGAAATACAGAGAACACCATAAACATACTCCTCGAGAAGATCAACCCCAAGACATAATTGTCAGATTCACCAAGGTTGAAATGAAGGAAAAAGTGTTAAGGGCAGCCAGAAAGAAAGGTCGAGTTACCCACAAAGGGAAGCCCATCAGACTAACAGTGGATCTCTCTCGGCAGAAACCCACAAGCCAGAAGAGAGTGGGGGCCAATGTTCAACATTCTTAAAGAAAAGAATTTTTAACCCAGAATTTCATATCCAGCCAAACTAAGCTTCATAAGTAAAGGAGAAATAAAATCCTTTACAGACAAGCAAATGCTGAGAGATTTTGTCACCTCCAGGCGTGCCTTACAAGAGCTCCTGAAGGAAGCATTAAATATGGATAGGAACAACCGGTACCAGCCACTGCAAAAACATACCAAATTGTAAAGACCACTGACACTATGAAGAAATTGCATTAATTAATGGGTGAAATAACCAGCTAGCATCATGATGACAGCACCAAATTCACACATAACAATGTTAACCTTCAATGTAAATGGGCTAAATGCCCCAATTAAAAGACACAGAATGGCAAATTGGATAATGAGTCAAGACCCATTGGTGTGCTGTATTCAGGAGACCCATCTCTCTCACATGCAAAGACACACATAGGCTCAAAATAAAGGGATGGAGGAAGATCTACCAAGCAAATGGAAAGCAAAAAAAACATGGGGGTTGCAATCCTGGTCTCTGATAAAACAGACTTTAAACCAACAAAGATCAAAAGAGACAAAGAAGGCCATTACATAATGCTAAAGGGATCAATTCAACAAGAAGAGCCAACTACCCTAAATATATATGCACCCTATCCAGGAGCATCCAGATTCATAAAGCAAGTTCTTAGAGACCTACAAAGAGACTTAGACTCCCACACAATAATAATGGGAGACTTTAACACCTCAATGTCAATATTAGACAGATCAACGAGACAGAAAATTAACAAGGATATCCAGGACTTGAACTCAGCTCTGGACCAAGCGGAAACTAATAGACAACTACAGAAATCTCCACCCCAAAATCAACAGAATATACATTCTTCTCAGCAGCACATCGCACTTATTCTAAAATTGACCACATAATTGGAAGTAAAACACTCCTCAGCAAATGTAAAAGAATAGAATCACAACAAACTGTCTCTCAGACTACAGCGCAATCAAATTAGTACTCAGAACTAAGAATCTCACTCAAAACCACACAACTACATGGAAATTGAACAACTTGCTGCTGAACGACTACTGGGTAAATAACGAAATGAAGGCAGAAATAAAGATGTTCTTTGAAACCAATGAGAACAAAGACACGACATACCAGAATCTCTGGGACACATTTAAAGCAGTGTGTGGAGGGAAAATGATAGCACTAAATGCCCACAAGAGAAAGCAGGAGAGATCTAAAATCGACACCCTAACATCATAATTAAAAGAACTAGAGAAGCAAGAGCAAACAAATTCAAAAGCTAGCAGAAGGCAAGAAATAGCTAAGATCAGAGCAGAACTGAAGGAGATAGAGACACAAAAAAACCATCAAAAAAATCAATGAATCCAGGAGCTGGTTTTTTAAAAAATATCAACAAAATAGATAGACTGCTAGCAAGAAGAAAAGAGAGAAGAATCAAATAGATGTAATAAAAAATGATAAAGGGGATATCACCATTGTTCCCACAGAAATACAAACTACCACCAGAGAATACTATAAACACCTCTACACAAATAAACTAGAAAATCTAGAGGAAATGGATAAATTACTAGACACATACACCCTCCCAAGACTAAAACAGGAAGAAGTTGAATCCTTGAATAGACCAATAACAGGTTCTGAAACTGAGGCAATAATTAGTAGCCTACCAACCAAAAAAAAGTCAGGACCAGATGGATTCACAGCCAAATTCTACCAGAGGTACAAAGAGGAGCTGGTACCATTCCTTCTGAAACTATTCCAGTCAAGAGAAAAAGAGGGAATCCTCCCTAATTCATTTTATGAGGCCAGCATCATCCTGATACCAAAGCCTGGTGGAGACACAACAAAAAAAGAGAATTTTAGGCAAATATCCTGATGAACTGCGATGTGAAAATCCTCAATAAAATACTGGCAAACCAAATCCAGCAGCACATCAAAAAGCTTATCTACCATTTTCAAGTTGGCTTCATCCCTGGGATGCAAGGCTGGCTCAACATACGCAAATCAATAAATGTAATCTGTCACATAAACAGAACCAATGACAAAAACCACATGATTATCTCAATAGATGCAGAAAAGGCCTTTGACAAAATTCAATAGCCTTTCATGCTAAAAACTCTCAATAAACTAGGTGTCAATGGTACGTATCTCAACATAGTGAGAGCTATTTATGACAAACCCACAGCCAATATCATACTGAATGGGCAAAAACTGGAAGCATTCCCTTTGAAAACTGGCACAAGACAAGGATGCCCTCTCTCACCACTCCTATTCAACATAGTATTGGAAGATCTGGCCAGGGTAATCAGGCAAGAGAAAGCAATAATGGGTATTCAAACAGGAAGAGAGGAAGTCAAATTGTCTCTGTTTGCAGATGACATGATTGTATATTTAGAAAACCCCATTGTCTCAGCCCCAAATCACCCTAAGCTAATAAGCAACTTCAGCAAAGTCTCAGGATACAAAATCAATGTGCAAAAATCACAAGCATTCCTATATACCAATAACAGACAAACAGAGAGCCAAATCATGAGTGAACTCCCATTGACAACTGCTACTAACAGAATAAAATACCTAGGAATACAACTTACAAGGGATGTGAAAGACTTCTTCAAGGAGAACTACAAACCACTGCTCAAGGAAATAAGAGAGGACATAAACAAATGGAAAAACATTCCATCCTCATGGATAGGAAGAATCAATATCATGAAAATGGCCTTACTGCCCAAAATAATTTATAGATTCAATGCTATCCCCATCAAGCTACCAATGAATTTCCTCACAGAATTGGAAAAAAACTTCTTTAAACTTCATATGGAACCAAAAAAGACCCCGCATAGCCAAGACAATCCTGGGCAAGAAGAACAAAGCTGGAGGCATCATGTTACCTGACTTCAAACTATACTACAAGGCCACAGTAACCAAAACAGTACGGTACTGGTACCAAAACAGAGATATAGACCAATGGAACAGAAAGGAGGCCTCAGAATTAACACCACACATCTACCACCATCTGATCTTTGACAAACATGACACACACAAGCAATGGGGAAAATATTCCCTATTTAATAAATGGTGTTGGGAAAACTGGCTAGCCATATGCAGAAAACTGAAACTGGACCCCTTCCTTACACCTTATACAAAAATCAACTCAAGATGGATCAAAGACTTAAACATAAGACCTAGGACCATAAAAATCCCAGAAGAAAACCTGGGCAATACCATTCAGGACATAGGCATGGGCAAAGACTTCATGTCTAAAACACCAAAAGCAATGGCAACAAAAGCCAAAATTGACAAATGGGATTTAATTAAACTAAAGAACTTCTGCACAGCAAAAGAAACTATCATCAGAGTGAACAGGCAACCTACAGAATGGGAGAAAAATTTTGCAATCTATCCATCTGACGAAGGGCTAATATCAAGAATCTACAAAGAACTTACACAAATTTACAAGAAAAAAGCAAACAACCCCATCAAAAAATGTGCAAAGGATATGAACAGACACTTCTCAAAAGAAGACATTTATGCAGTCAACAGACATATGAAAAAATGCTCTTCATCACTGGTCATTAGAGAAATGCAAATTAAAACCACAATGAGATACTATCTCACGCCAGTTAGAATGGCAATCATTAAAAAGTCAGGAAACAACAGATGCTGGAGAGGTTGTGGAAAAATAGGAACGCTTTTACACTGTTGGTGGGAGTGTAAATTAATTCAACCACTGTGGAAGACAGTGTGGCGATTCCTCAAGGATCTAGAACTAGAAATACCATTTGGCCCAGCAATCTCATTACTGGGCATATACCCAAAGGATTATAAATCATGCTGCTATAAAGATACACGCACACGTATATTTATTGTGGCACTATTCACAATAGCAAAAACTTGGAACCAACCCAAGTGTCCATCACTTCATCAGTGATAGACTGGATTAAGAAAATGTGGCACATATACACCATGGAATGCTATGCAGCCATAAAAAAGGATGAGTTCATGTCCTTTGCAAGGACATGGATGAAACTGGAAACCATCATTCTCAGCAAACTATCATGAGATCAGAAAACCAAACACTGCATGTTCTCACTCTTAAGTGGGAGTTGAACAATGAGAACACATGGACACAGGGAGGGGAACATCACAGACTGGGGCCTGTAGGGGGTGGGGATCTAAGGGAGGGATAACATTAGGAGAAATACCTAATGTAGGTTACAGGTTGATGGGTGCAGCAAACCACCATGTCACGTGTATACCTGTATAACAAAACTGCACGTTCTGCACATGTAACCTAGAACTTAAAGATAATAATAATAATAAAAGAAAAGGTAATGCTAAGGTTTATATGGAACCAAAAAAGACTCAGAATAGCCAAAGCCAACCCAAGCAAAAAGAACAAAACTGGAAGAATCACATTACCTAACTTCAAATTATACAACAGAGCTATAACAACCCAAAGAGCATCATACTGGCACACAAAAAGGCCCACAGACCAATGAAACAGCATGAAGAACCCAGAAATAAATTTATACATCTACAGTGAACTCATTTTTGACAAAGGTGCCAAGAACATACAATGGTGAAAGCACGGTCCTTTCAATAAATATTGCTGGGAAAACTGATATCCATATGCAGAAGAATGAAACTAGACCCCTATCACTCACTGTATACAAAGTCAAATCAAAATGGATTAAAGACTTAAATCTAAAGCCTCAAACAATGAAACTAGTAAAAGAAAATATTGGAGAAACTCTCTAGGACATTGGTTTGGGCAAAGGCTTTTTGAGTAATACCCCTAAAGCACAGGCAACCAAAGCAAAAATGGACAAATGAGATCACATCAAATTAAATAGTTTCTTCACAGTAATGGAAGCAATCGGCAAAGTGAAGAGACAACCCACAGAATGGGAGAAAATATTTTCAAACTATCCATCTGGCAAGGGATTAATAACCAAAATATATAAGAAGCTCAACTCTATAGGAAAAAAATCTAATAATCCAATTTAAAAATGGGCAAAAGATCTGAATAGATACTTCTCAAAAGACATGCAAATGGCAAAAGTGTATATGAAAAGGTCCTCAACATCACTGATCATCAGAGAAATGCAAATCAAAACTACAATGAGATATCATCTCACCCCAATTAAAGTGGCTTTTATCCAAAGACAAGCAATGACAAATGCTGGTGATGATGTGGAGAAAAAGGAACCCTCATATACAGTTGGTGAGAATGAAAATTAGTATAGCCACTATGGAGAACAGTATGAAAGTTCCTCAAAAAACCAAAGATAGAACTAACATGTGATCCAGCAATTCCACTATTGGATATTTATCCAAAAGAAGTGAAATCAAAAAAGACATCTGCACTCCCATGTTTATTGCAGCACTATTCCCAATAGCCAAGATTTGGAAGTAACTTAGGTGTCCATCAACAGATGAACAGATAAAGAAAATGTGGTACATATACACAATGGAGAACTATTCAGCCATATAAAAGAATGAGATCCTGTCATTTGCAACAACATGGATGGAACTGGAGGACATTGTGTTAAATGAAATAAACCAGGCACAGAAAGACAAATATCACATGTTCTCACTCATTTGTAGTATCTAAAAATTAAAACAATTGAACTCATGGAGATAGAGAATAGAATGATGGTTACCAGAGGCTGGGAAGGGTAGTGGGGTATAGGGAGGATGGAGATGGTTAAGAAGTATAAAAATATAGTCAGCCAGAATAAATAAGATCTAGTATTTGATAGCACAACAGGGTGACTACAGTCAACAATATCATACATTTTAAAACAACTAAAAGAGTATAATTAGAATGTTTGTAACACAAGAAATGATCAGTGCTTGAGGTGATGGATACCTCATTTACCCTGATGTGACTTTTAAGTACTGCAAGCCTGTATCAAAACATTTCATGTACCCCATAAATGTATACACCTACTGTGTACCCATTAATTTTTTAATTATTAAAAAAAAAAAGAAAGACAAGTCACAAACTGGGAAAAAGAAAAAATCTTATGAGGCACAATATATGTGAAAAAAGAACTCATATTCACAAATACAAAATACTCTTTACAAATAAACAAGATAAAGACCAATGACCCGATTACAAATGAACAAAAGACTTAAACAAAAATAAATTTATGTAAAGCCAATAAGAACACAAAAAAGGTGCTTAACATGATTGTCATGGAAATGCAAATTAAAGGCACAAAGTAACATGGTTTTGCAATTACTTAGAATGTGTAAAATTTTAAAAGTTTGATAATATAAGGCAAGGATATGGAACACCTGGACCCCTCATATATTGTTGATGGAATGTAAAATTCTATAAAAACTTCAAAAAAACTGTTTCCGGTCTCTTATAAAATTAAACATACATCTACCCTATGTCTCAATAATTCCAGTCCTAGGTAAGAAATGAAAGTATATATCCAAAAAAAAAAAAACATGTGCAATGATGTTCCTAGAAGCTTTGATCATATTAGCCAAAAACTGGAGACAATCCACGTATCTGTCAACAGAAGAACATATAAACAAATTGTGTTATATCCATTCATTGGAATAGTCCTCAGCAATTAAAAAAAATGAACAAAATAAAAAGGTCCCCAAAACATGTCAAACAAGAAAAGCCACACACAAAATAATCATGGTGTTTGATTCCATGTAAATGAAATTTGAGAAGAATAAAATAGATCTGTGGTGATATAAATCAGAAAATAATTGCCTCTAATAGTTAATAATGGAGCATGATGAAATTTCTGTTGCAGTTGGATTGTTCTCAAGTATTTTTACTTGCAGGGTTTTAGAAAGGGTTTCGAACAGATACAGGGGGAAAGAAACCCCACAAGGTTACCAAGGTTAAATTTATCATTTTTTAAGATGAGATAGATAGCAATTTCCTCACACGGTTGTATCTTCAAGGTCATCACACATCTGCCAAATTTAGTATTGTAAAAATCAGGAATTACTTTTTCCTAAAGAGTTAGCAACTTAGTAGAAAGGATTCAAGGTTTTATTTATTTTGAAGACTAGTGTTAAAGAGTGTCCTTTTATTGTTTTCCCTTTGTTTTGTTTTTATCTCAGGATGCAAAGAGCTTGTTTTTGTTTTCTGGGTTTTTTTTTTTCACTGTGATACATGAATATGTTAGTCATTTGGTACTAAGACAAGGTATTCCCTTTGCTTTCTCAAAATAAAAGACTCTATTCCAACACCAGAGATTCTTAGGAACATCAAGGTTATTGTTGTCATTGTATTTTGCTGTTATACCATATGCCTTACTCTTAATAAGTAAAAGTCCTTCCTATGGTCGCTAGGAGATCAGGAAGGAACATAATAAATCTTATTTTAATTGTATTAGTCTTCTCACAGGCTTCCTTTTGTGGTTTTCTGCCAGAAGCAGTAAGTACTGTTGCCCCCAAAGAAGCATTGGAAGATGTGTAGGAGCATTTTTTTTGTTGTCATAGTGACAGAGTAGCACTACTAGAATTTTATAGTTGGAGACCAGAGACACTACATATCCTATAATGTATGGGATAGTCCTGAATAATGAAGGACTGTACCAACCAAATGCCAGTAGCACTCTGCCTTAATCCATCAGGATAGCCATAACAAAATACCATAGACTGGGTGGCATAAAAAATGGTAATTTATTTTCTCACAGTTCTGGAGCCTTAAAGTCCAAGGTCAAGGTTCTGGCACAATTCAGTTTCAGGTGAGGACTCTTTTCCTGGCTTGCTAATGGCATCCTTCTCACTATATTTTCACGTGGTAGAGAGAGAGATAGATCTCTAGTGTCTCTTCTTGTAAAGACATTAATCCTGTCAGATTAGGGCCCCAGCCTTTTGACCACATTTAACCTTGTTCTAAAATATTGTCACATTGAGGGTTAGGGCTTCAATATACGAATGTTAGGGGCAACACAGTTCAGGCCATAGGACATCCCTATTGAGAACAGTAGAGGTTAGTCTGTTCCAGTTTAGGATTATACCAAAAGATTAAAACTAACATTAGTCAACTGATATGGTTTGGCTTGGTGTCCCCGCCCAAATCTCATCTTAAATTGTAATCCCCATGTGTCCAGGGAGGGACTTGGTGGGAGGTGATTGTGTCATGGGGATGGCTTCTCCCATGCTGTTCTTGTGATAGTGAGTCAGTTCTCATGAGATCTGATGCTTTTGTGTGTTTGATAGTTCCTCCTTCACACTCATGCTGTCTCTTGCCTGCTGCCAGGTAAAACGTGCCTGCTTCCCTTCTGCCATGATTGTAAGTTTCCTGAGGCCTCCCCAGCCATGTGGAACTGTGAGTCAATTAAATCTCTTTTCTTTATAAATTACCCAGTCTCAGGCAGTTCTTTATAGCAGTGTGAGAACAGACTAATACATCGACCATTGTGGAAAGAAGATTGGCAATTTCTCCAAGAACTCAAAGCAGAATTATCATTTGACCTAGGAATCCTATTATTGGGTGCATACCCAAAGGAATAAAAATTGTTCTACCATAAAGACACATACACATGTATAGCACACATGTATAGCAACACTATTCACAATAGCAAATACATGGAATTAACCTAACTGCCCATTATGGTAAACTGGATAAAGAAAATGTGGTATATATACACCATGGAATACTACAAAACCATAAAAAAGAACAAAGTCACGTCCTTTGCAACAACATGGATGGAGCTGGAGCCTATTACCCAAGTGAACTAACGCAGGAACAGAAAATCAAATACCACATGTTCTCACTCACAAGTGGAAGCTAAACATTGAGTACACATGGACCCAAAGGACAGACACTGCGGCCTTCTTGAGAGTGGAGGGAAGGAGGAAAGTTAGTATCGAAAAACTACCTATCAGGGCCAGGCATGGTGGCTCAAACCTGTAATCTTGGCACTTTGGGAGGCTGAGGCGGGTGGATGTCTTGCGGTCAGGAGTTCGAGACAAGCTTGGTCAACATGGTGAAACCTTGTCTCTACTAAAAATACAAAAATTAGCTGGGTGTGATGGCATGCACCTGCAGTCCCAGCTACTTGGGAGTCTGAGGTGGGAGGTTGGCTTAAGCCTGTGAGGCAGAGATTGCAGTGAGCTGAGATCATGCCACTGCACTCCAGCCTGGGTGACAGAATGAGACCCTATCTCAAACAACAACAACAACAACAACAACAACAACAAACTACCTATCATGTACTATGCTTATTTCCTGGATGACAAAATAATCTGTATACTTAATCCCCATGACAGGCAATTTACCTATCTAACAAACCTGCACATGTACTCCTGAACCTAAAAGTTTAAAAAAATAGCAAAAGCTAATATTACTTCCTTAGGAAAAATGAAAATAATGCCTTTGTGATAAATCTAAACTTCTGATCATGGCATTCAAGACCTTTTAAATCCCATCACCAGACTATTTTTCCAGTCTTACTTCTAACCAGTTCCCCAAATTACTCACTATTTCCCTAACTCCATTCTCACTTTCAGGACCTTTTGCCTTCACCCATGTTATTCCCTCACCCTGGAAGGCACTTCTCTTTTCAGTCTGCCTAAGAATATCTACTCATACTTAGAAGGCATACTTTCCAGGACTCCCTCTTTGCAATTTTTTTCTCACCACCAACACCACTATCAGAATCAATTCATTTCTTCTTTGGATTGTGTTGAAATTACTTACAGCCTGTCTACTCTGACAGTTTCATCTTCATATCTCTAGCATCTAACAATCCAAGGTATATGCTCAACAAATATTTCTTGAGTTGCATTAAAATTTAATTAATGTCCATTTTGACATCATTTATTTTTATTTTTTATGTTTTTAAGACAAAATCCCTGTCACCCATGCTGAAGTGCAGTGGCACAATCATGGCTCACTGTAGCCTCAATCACTCAGGCTCAAGGGGTCCTCCCATCTCAGCCTCCTGAGTGCCTGGGACTACAGGTGCATGCCACCATGTCCAGCTAATTGTTTTTTAATTTGTAATTGTTTTGTAGAGATGGGGTCTCACTGTGTTGCCCAGGTTGGGGCTTCCTGTTATAGAAAATTATGATTTAGCACCAACATCACCCCATTTCTTCCTTCCCTATTCTCCTGATATTACTATATCAAAACTTTCATAAAGTAATTGTTCATTGTTTACTTTATAATAACTATACATGTTTAGTAATGGATAATTATATTTTATTTCATGTTTTTTATTTTATCATTTTTACTATAAAATATTATCTCTAATTCATAGTTGGTTCTTGTCTTTGACAAGCATATCATGTTCCTCAAACATCCCCATCACCAACATTTCAACAATGCTGGTAAAACCTCTCTAATACAAATTTTGACTTCTAAATCTACAATGATCATTTTTTGGAGGATGAAATTTTTAACATCCCATATATCTGTATGTGAAACGAAGAGGCTAAATTTATTGCTTCCTAAGTAATGGAGAGCTACTCTTATAAATCTGTCTCTCTGAACAGACCAAGACTTGCTATCTTAAAGGGTTTTAGGAACAGGGAGCTCAGGGGTTGGCAGATTTTCTGAAGCAAGAGTGTTTAGGGATTGGCTGACTTTCAGCTGTGTGGTTTAAGGATGAGCTGACTTTCAGAAGCAGTTCCTGGAGTGATACTGTAGTTGATTGGCTGACCTTCAAGAGCATGACACTATCAACAATCAATTAGGATGGGGTTACTACTTGTTCTGTGGTTAGTTGTTTACTACTTTGGACTAGGGCAAAGGGCAGTCTTTTGATCCTCCTTTTCAAATTAGGAGGCAACACCTTTTCAGTTAGGGCATACATCAGAATCAGCTAGTGTCTTTTAAAACATGGACTGCTGGGCATCACCCCAAACTTTATTATTCAGTAGGTCTTGAGTTTCACCTAAGAATGTTCATATCTAACCAGTTTCCAGTGATGCAGGTGCTGCTGGTGTGGGAACCACACTTTGAGAACCTCTGAGTTAGAGAATAGAAATGTCACAAGGGTAAACGGTAATAGAGTTGCCCAGGCTTAAAGAGCCCTTTGGTGGTGGTAATCTATAAGATGAACTGGGCTATAGTTGGATAGAGGAATGCAAACAGTCATTACACAAGGACAAAGGCTAACCATGGAATTTTTTTCAGGGGCTCATGGATGGCAGGGCTTCGGAACTATTGGTGTGGAATATCTGCTAGAAAGCCATAAAACATTTTGCTCACCTCCTTCTGAAAAATGCATGCATGCCTTTCATTTCTAAATTCTCAGCTAGACAAAAGAGGTCGCTTTCCCTTATGTTTTTCTTTTTTGTAAACATATAATACATAAATGAAATAGGATTTTAATCTCTCCTTCCTTATCAATGTTGCATACATAAATTTTACCATTGCTAATTAGCACATCCATTCAAGGTGGTACATCCTTTATACATCTGAGCAAGCAATTTAATGCCTTAAGAAAAGGAAAATCCCCGGGGGAGAAAATGTGCAGCATCAGTTCCTAACACATGAAAGATGCATGTTGAAAAATCAAGGTCCGTGCCCAAATGTGCAATATAATTTTTGTCTTAAATCCATTCCAGCACAAGAAATATGGTTTCAACTAGATTAAAGATTTTTCTTCTCTTAAGAAATGTGATAGTTGCCAACTAGTGATGGAGTTTCCAGAATTCTTCTCCCAATGCTTAACAGATGAATTTATTGGATGGAAAAGTAAGAGCAAATCTGAGCTTCTCTGGAAGTATGCCCAAACTCAGCAACAGTGATATCAATAAGTGTCACGTGGAGGCATGTATAAAATATAGGAAAAGAGGGAAGTAAACACAAAACTACTGAAAAGGCAGCAAAGTCGAGCATATCTAACCTTGATGGAGCATTGGAGTCAGGGTGTGAGCCTTACCAATCCATCAGCATTGCTCGGTGGCTCATCAGGCTAACCATAAGGAATGAAGGTGTCCTCACTGAAGTAATGAATGCTCAGGAACACAGCATGGCAGCCTTCCAGTTCTCTACAAAGATTATGACAGCTCCAGCCCTCCCCAGTATAGATCTTCCCTACAAAGTGTTACAGACTACCCATTTTCGGAAGCACCAATAACTTCCAAGAGAAGTTCCCCAAAAGTCCAAGACTGTACATATCTTCATTTTGAAATGATAGCATCTTTCTTAATGGTGGGAGAATGCAAGGAATTGAGCACAGAAATTCATTCTTCTCCATGTTTGTAATACCAAGCCACTGATAGTTGGTGGCTTTTCCAAAGTTCTCTATGCTAATTCCTGCCTGTCTAACAGAGCAAATCACTTATCAAGGGTGCAGACTTTCAGCCAGAATAGTATTCATTTTAACAGTATTTTATTTTCAGGGTTTTTTTTCCCACGGTGAGTGAGGAAACACTAGGTAGGATGTATTCTTTTAAGTTTCTCCAATAAGTCCCATGGACAATTCCAGAAGGCTCATGATGGCACAGACTTTCTGTGCACATACAACTTATGTACTTCCTTCTCACTGAGGGATATGCTAGACCGGTGTGACTCTGTTGATTCAACATGCATGCCTGTGCACCCACCCTGTGATGGACACTGTCCCTCTACTGAGCTTCCTATGTGGGTCGAGTCTTCAGTCACCTACAAGTGTGGTCTCCTGATTTCCTACTGGCTTCTTAAACTTGACATTACACAATTTGAAGTCCATTCCTTTGGTTCAAAACCAGTAGGGCTTTGTTCCTTGTGAAAAATACAAACCATCTTGAACAAGTAACACGGTCATTTACTCTTTTCTGCCATTTAACCCAGGAATGTGAATGCTTTCCAAGAAATAGACTTTGGTTGGGGGAGGATAGAAAGCCCAAGATCGAAAGGGTGGGGAGAAAAGCAGGCAGCATCAAACATGGGAACACTTAAGCTTCATTTCACTTCTATCCTACCTCAGCCCTGGTGCTCCATTTTCTGTGCATGTTCCAAACATCTAGCTTTGCATCTCAAAATGTGGTCCCTTAGCAAATGCTATCAAAATCACCTGGGAGCACTGGTCTAGACAGACAGGATGCAAAATATAACAGACAAGTTGAAAATCTACAAGGGATTAACTCTCACCACTACCACCCCATAAAACATAGCACCTTATTGGTACCTATATTAAATATTTGTAGTCGAATGCCTATGTGCCAGTCACTGTGCCAGGTACAGTGGAATAAAACACACATGTAACCCCCTCAGAGTTTACATTTTACTTATGGAGACAGATGTGGAAAGAAGTCATTTCATTATTCTGTAATGAGTGCAATAAAAAACAAGAATATGCCTCTATAGCAGGACATAGTTGGGGCACCTAACCTAGTTGAGGGAGGGCTGTGAGGGAAGACAAGTAGGAATGAGGCAGGAGGAAGGAGTTTAAGGTTGAAAGTGGGAATATTATTTGCGGCAGAGGCAATAACACATATGAAGTTCTGGAGTGAGAGCAGGCCATGCCTCAACCCATGTGGAATGTAGCTACTGTAGGCACAGACAGATGTTTAGAACCTGATGACCATAATGAACCCACTTTTCAAAAAATATGCTTACCTTATAATTTTGAGGTCTCCAAGGAGAAATTGAAAGCTATTTTCTTAGGTTGGAGGGAAGATTGTTACCCTTCTGTTCTCTAACCCACACTACTTTCCAGTCTACTTGAACATCTAAAAGGTCTTTCGCTTTTCTAATGCAAGCTAATCTGTATTTCCAGAAAACTGTAATAAAAACCCAGCTGACCTCTGCCAGCCTGGCTCCAATCATGGACTGCACCTTCCTCCTATATTTCCTCTTCTTTCTGGCAGTGAGTATCTTCCCCAAAGATGAAGCAGAACCTTATTAGGTAAAAGTAATCTATAAAACAAAATTTCTCCTTGTATTAGTCAGAGTCCAGTTAGGAGGCAACAATCTAACTGTTTATTTCAAAAGAGGGAATTTAATATTAATTAAATATTAAATCTGTAGAAGCCATTGGTAATGGAGGGGAGATGACCACATTCACTAGCCAAAGCATCTGGACCCCAGCTCCCACCCAAACAAGTCTCCCCACTCTGCTCATGGTTTGAGCTAAAGGGAATCTTATTATTATCATTATTATTATTATTTGAAGACAGAGTCTCTCACTCTGTTGCCCAGGCTGGAGTGCAGTGGCACAATCTCAGCTCACTGCAACCTCTGCCTCCCAGGTTCTAGGGATTCTCGTGCCTTAGCCTCCCAAGAGTAGCTGGGATACAGGCATGCGCTACCACGCCCAGCTAATTTTTTCCAATCTTTAGTTGAGACGGGGTTTCACCACGTTGGCCAGGCTGGTCTCGAACTCCTGACCTCAAGTGATCCGCCTGCCTCGGCCTCCCAAAGTGCTGGGATTGCAAACATCAGCCACCATGTCCAGCCTAAAGGGAATCTTAGAGGTTTCATTTAATGGTTTAATTTTAAATTTGAGAAACTCAAAGTTGCAAAACATAAAATGATTTTCTCAAGGCACAAGGTTAGCTAATAAGATGTTTAAGTAAGCCAGATAGACACAAACTAAGGGAGAGTCCATGGCAGGCAGGAGGGGATGCATGGGATGCTGGGAGAGAAAATAGAAGGACCAGGGAAAGAATAGCTTAAAGAATAGAGTAGGACTGTATTTGAGCAGTGATGAAAGAGCTCAATTTTCTTCAACAGCCGTACCGTGCCTCTTCATAATTCTTCTCTTCTTGAGTTGTAGAATTACAACTCAATTCACTAAATAAAAATCTTTCAGTGTGTATTGAAACAGTAATACTGACTGAGAATCCACTATGTTCGGTAGCACCTAACACAAAGCAAGAGAGACGGGCTGGCCTCCTCTATCGGGAATGAGATAGGGTCATTGTGGCGGCTCCTCCGCTATCTAGAGATGTGGTCTCACCTTGGGCAAGTCATCTTGCCTCCCTGTGCCTGTTTTCCCCTCTATAGCATGTAGCTAACTCTGTGAGCCCCATTCCTCTCACAGAATTGC